>NC_000001.11:62887168-63190198 GCF_000001405.40 Homo sapiens | reverse complement strand
GTTGATATTTGGTTACAGCTACTTTTAGACACTGAACTAGCCAGTGGAACAAGTTCTTTCTGAGGTCCCTGAACTTTAAACAGTCACTCTAGAACAGTCTTTCTCAAAGTCTCAACCCGAGGAGAATTGTCTATATCACCAGTGTGTTTGTTAAAAATATAATTTCCTGGCCTTCAACTTCAGAACTACAAATTTGCAAAACTTCAGGAAGCACCATTTATATGCAATACCATGTGAATGATGCCCCCTGGTGTTGTTCAATGTGGCAGCAGTGCTTACCTCTGACTGAATGGGGAATTCTGACTGTGAGGCCTGGGAATTTACATTTTTAGCAAGCACTTCAGGTACATTAGCATCGAGAACCAATGTCAACATTGAAAAAAGTGTGACTGTCATTTCCTTTGTAAGTTGGAAGGATAGGAGATTGCTGGGGGAGAAGGGAGCACAGCTGAATGATAATGAGCTCTTCACACTTTCACCCTCTCACTGAGTAATAATAAACTAATTAGGAAAATAATAGCTAACATTTATTTTGTAAATTTATTAATGTCAGGCAAGGTGCAAGGCACTTTACAGGCATTATCTCATTTCATCCTTACAATAACTTCATGAGATCAGTGTTAACATTATTATCTCCATTTTGTAAATGAGCAAAATGAAGTTTGGAGAACATAGTTTTGGTATAGGATAAATATTCAATAAATGTTAACTATTATAAGCTTATCTGTGAAAGTACTTTTAAAAATACAAATCCTCTACTTTAGCATTCAGATAAGAATGGCAGCATTTTCTTCTCCACTCCGACTGCTTCACTTGACTAGCCTTAAAAAAAAAACTAACAAAAAGGATGGCAACATTGATGAGAGTAATGATTGGGAAATGGAAACTAGGATAAGCTTGCGTGAGACGTTTGGCATAGTATGAAGGGGATAGGCACCTCAGGAAAGCAGAGTAACAAAGTAATAAGGTGTTGAATTAAAATACTTGCTTTTTAAGGTCAACCTTTTTGTTTCCCCATGAGTAGGGGAGGAAATTTCATTCTTCTATACTGTGTCCAAAACTCAGCAGGTTTCATAGTGTTTGTCTACATAAGATAAATTACTTAGTATAAATAATTTATCTTATGAAGTGAGTTGGTCTATTATTATTCTTCTATCAGAAAATATATTTTAGAAAACTCACAAGTGAACTTGCGCAACACAATCCCTTCATAAATTGTGAACTGTGAGGCCATGTTCTGTAAGGGTCTTCTCTAGCATGCACATTTAACTGGAGGCTAACCACTGGCAAATATTCTAGGGAGAAGAATATTTTAGAGAATTAAGGTTTCATTTACAATTCTATTATGTCAGAGATAACCTATAGTCTATAAAATACAGTCTTCTCTTCCTGGATCAGAGCTTGACTATGTTTTCTGGCTTCTTTTGAAGTTAGACGTGGTTTTGTGATGTGGAATGTGAGTGGAGGTGCTCTGTAACACTTTCAAGTCTGGCCCTTAAAACCTTCTAGTTATGATCCTCATACCCTTTCCTCTTTCTGACTGACTGGAATAGTGATGCCCAGGGTAACCTTGGAAGCTGTGTGTTGAAGATGGCAAAGCTGTTATCAGCTGAGTAGTTGAATGACCATGTAGAGCAGAGCTACCCCTGACCTGAATCCCTTCACTGGACTGTTACGTGAGAAAGGATAAACTTTCTTTAAAAAGTCCCCTCATTCTAGCAAATACATCCATGGTGAACATTAATTTTTTTTCCCCATGGGTATGTGGTCTGTTTACTCTTTGAATATTAATATTCAATTGGTTAACTCTATGCTATTGTTTGTAGATACTATTACTTAAAAGATCTCCAGTTTAACCTATGGAGACTCCTATTAAGAACACATGATTAACCTTAAAAAAAGGAATATATGAGCAAATAAAGGTTGATATTCCTTTCGGCAATTTCAATACAGGCAATATTCAACTTGAAATCAATGCCATTGCCTCAGGATCATGTTTAATGTAAAAAAAAAGAACCAAATTAATTGTAAATACGTTTTCAGTTTGTGATTGTTGTTTGTGGTTATGCCTTACTCACTTTTCCATTAACAACATAATTAACTACTAAATGCCAGGTTAGGGGCTGAAGAAATACCAGAGAATATGGAGTGTATTCAAGAGAATGTTTTTGTCAACAATTAGTAAAGATCTTTATACCAGATAATGGAGATTAAATATGAATAAGAAAGTCTCCTAAGAAGTAGAGGAACACATGAATGACTTTATAAATTGCTCACTTCTAAAGAAGGGGGGTTCCTTGTTTTTTAATTAGCATCGACTATTTGGCAATCTAGTAGGTTTGTAGTAGCTATTCAGGTGCTGACAAGATTATGAATTCAGAAGAGCAGGGATTTTGGTCTTGTTCATTACTCAATAATATTTGTTGAATATTAAATGATGTAAGAGACTATAACAGGTCATCTACCTCACTCACCGTCTGACACTTGTACTCCCTTTGGAGCATCCTTACCCTCTGGTAGTTCATTGTGTTTGAATATTTCCAGAGAAGGAAGCATCTTTGCCTCCTGAGGCAAATGCAACTTTGAACAGATCTAATGTTAAAAAGTTCTTCTTTATAAAGAAACGGGTTAATTTTTTTCTTTTTCTTTTTTTTTTTTTTTTTTTTTTTTTTTTTTGGTATTTTTAGTAGAGACAGGGTTTCACCATGTTGGTAAGGCTAGTCTTGGAACTCCTGACCTCATGATCCACCCGCTTCGGCCTCCCAAAGTGCTGGGATTAAAGGTGTGAGCTACCACGCCCGGCCCTGATTTTTTAAAGATTTTTGTAGAGATGAGGGGTATCACTATGTTGGCTCAGGCTGGTCTTGAGCTCCTAGGCTCAAGCAATCCTCCCACCTCAGTCTTCCAAAGTGCTGGGATTACAGAAATGAGTCACTGCACCCAGCTCTTTTGCTTTTATTAAAAATGTTTTTATATTACTGAAGAGTGCATACACTTTATAGTTCATTTGGAAAATGTGGAAAGTTTCAGAGAAGAAGATATACATGATCTATAACTCCAATGTTTAGAGAAAACTCCACTTAACATTTTGATATAGTTCCTTCTAGTCTTTAAAAAAAAAATTTTTTTTTTTAAATTGGCCCCTGAAAATCCATCTCCTCTTTTTTTCTTGGATGTGTTTTTTACTTTAACAAAACAAGAATCATACTGTATGTGTTTTGTTGTATCTCACTTTTTAAAAAAATAATAACATCTTTAGTATGTTACTGAATATACTGTATTATATTTATATTACATGAAAGTCTCATAATTTATTATACCTTTCTACTGTTTTTGGATGTTTGGGTTCATTCTAACAATTATTAGCTAGTATAAATAATGCTGTCATAAAGGTCTTTCTTTCTTTCTTTCTTTCTTTCTTTCTTTCTTTCTTTCTTTCTTTCTTTCTTTCTTTCTTTTTTTGAGACTGAATCTCACTCTATTGCCCAGGCTGGAGTGCGGTGGCGCAATCTCGGCTCACTGCAACCTCCACCTCCTGGGTTCAAGCGATTTTCCTGCTTCAGCCTCCCGAGTAGCTGGGATTACAGGAGCGCATCCCGCCCAGCTAATTTTTGTATTTTTAGTAGAGACGGGGTTTCACCATGTTGGCCAGGCTGGTCTTGAACACCTGACCTCAAGTGATCTGCCCTCCTCAGCCTCCCAAAGTGCTGGGATTACAGGCATGAGCCACCACGTCAGGCCCATAAAGGTCTTTATAAGTAAATCTTTTCTCTTGATCTCATCTGATCTTGGAGATGAGGCAGAGTTAAGCCTGGTTAGTACTTGAATGGGAGAACATCTGGGAATTTCAGGTGCTACAGGCTTTAAAATATATAAAATAAAATAAAATAAAATAAAAATAAAATAAAATATTTTCTGAGACTGAATATTTTCTTAAGGTAAATTTCTAAAATTGAAATTATTGGCTAAACAATCTGAAGTTTTTGTTTGCTTCTATTTTTTACTATGAAAATTTTAAAAGAACAGAAAAGTAGAAAGAACTCAACTTCCAATTTTTAATAACCTAAGTTTTATAGTTTTTAATATTTTGCTATATTTACTTCATTTATTTTTAATACTAGTTTTAAAATTTAAAAAATCAGTTTAAGAAAACTAGTCTTAAAATCTCGAAGTGGTAAGGACTTTAAAAGGACTGTTTAAAAGTCATAATCATATTATAATGTTCACACACAGTAAAACAAATAATAATTCTTTAAAATCATGTCTAATTTTTCCTAATTGTCTCAAAACATCTTTTTAAAAAAGTTGAAACAGGATTAAATAAGACCCACACATTTATTTCGTTGTTATAACTCTTAAGCTTCCTTTAACCTTTAGTACTTTCCTTTTCTTTTTTTCTCTCTCAAGTCATTTATTTGTTGAAAAAAATGGAGAATTGATTGCATAGAATTTCCCACACTCTAGTTTTGTTTGGTTGTGTTCTCATAGAATTATTTAATACATTATCCTATCCATTGTATTTTTTGTAACTTTACAGCAGTGGTTCTCAGACCTCAGTGTGCATCAGAATCACCTGGAAGGCTTGTGAAAACACGTATTGCTGGGCCACACCCCCAGAATTTCTGGATCAGTAAAGCTGGGTGAGTGCGAGAATTTGCATTTCTAACATATTTCCAGGTGATGCTTTTGCAAACGGTCCAAAGACCACACTTTAAGAATTACCACTTTAGAGAAAAAATTAGATCCCTTTAAAAGAATGGTTAGATTTATAATTTTTAAAATTACATATATATGACATATAAGATGGGATTCAAAGCATGCTGCCCCCAAATAAGGCATCCTGGCATTTAAGGAAACATCAGAAACAGGAAGGTCACTCTGACCTTATGCCGTCCTTCTCCTCTGAAGCAGGTTGTAAAACTCTCATTGGAGAAGTACTCTCCCTATACCTGGAGGAGAGGGGCATCTTTATCTCTGAAGACACAAGGACACAGAGAAGAATCTGAATAGATAGGCCTTTCTAAGTTCCCCCTAGTTTATCACCATTAGGTCATACCCGCTTTGTGCAATCATACTTCTCCACAGCTATACACTTCTTCATCAAACTTAGCACAAAATGGCACAGGTTTCCTTGTTTCTTTGGGTCTTCATTTTTGAAGGCTTCTGCATCATGTAAAACTTATATATGTATGCTGTTCTGTTGTTAATCTGTCATTTGTTACGGGTGACTCAGCCATAACCAGCGAGGTGTAAGATATCTTTTCTCCCATACAATATGTTTGAAGTATTTTCTTAAGAAAATATGGGCCGGGCGTGGTGGCTGATGCCTGTAATCCCAGCATTTTAAGAGGCCAAAGCAGGCAGAGCACGAGGTCAAGAGATCGAGATCATCCTGGCCAACATAGTGAAACCCCATCTCTACTAAAAATACAAAAATTAGCTGGGTGTGGTGGCACACCTGTATGTATTCCCAACTACTTGGGAGGCTGAGGCAGGAGAATCGCTTGAACTCGGGAGGTGGAGGTTACAGTGAGCTGAGATCATGCCACTGCACTCCAGCCTGGTGACAGAGTAAGACTCCGTCTCAAAAAAAAAAAAAGAAAAGAAAATATGTATTGGTTTTGCTATGAGGATTCTTTCCTCTTTTTATATTTCAATTTTTTATTTTGAAAAATTTCAGTTTTACAGGAAAGTTGAAAGATGTTGGAAATTTTTAAAGGCTTTGCTTTCTAGAAAGGTACTAATGTATCAGTGAATGAGTTTGCTCATTTTACCATATCCTGTCCCAAAGTGAGTATTAACATTTAGACAAAACTTGATCTATCTGATGGGTTAAAAAAAAAAAGATTTCTTAATTCAAAATTATTTGGTTACTGGCAAGGTTGAGAGTACTTCTAGTACTTTATTAGCTATTTCTTACCTTTGATTCTATTAATTTTTCATTTTCTTTATTCATTTTTCTTTTTTTGTTTGTTTTTTTTTTTTTTTTTTTTTGAGATGGAGTCTCACTGTGTCACCCAGGCTGGAGTGTAGTGACGCAATCTCAGCTCACTGCAACCTCCGCCTCCCGGGTTCAAGTGATTCTTCTGTCTCAGCCTCCTGAGCAGCTGGGACTACAAGTGCACGCCACCATGCCCAGCCAATTATTGTATTTTTTAGTAGAGACAGGGTTTCACCATATTGGACAGGCTGGTCTCGAACTCCTGACCTCGTGATCTGCCCACCTTGGCCTCCCAAAGTGCTGGGATTACAGGCGTGAGCCACCGTGCCCGGCCTATTTATTTTTCTAATAGATCTTTAGTTTTTTCCATTATCAATATCTATGCATTCATCACATATGAAAGATAATTATTCTTTCTCATATTTGTAACATATTTTTCCAGTTTATTCATTTATTTTTTCCAGATTCCTTTTTAAGCCATAAAAAATTAAATTACAACATGTTTGTGTCATCAAATATTTTGATCTATTATTTGGAATTTTTACCATTACTTTGGATAGTCCTTCCCAATCTGAGACAGATAACTAATAACTTATATTTTCTTCTAGTTTTTATCTGTTTGTTTTTGTTATAGTTAACTAAAGTATTCAAACGAAATTTATTTGTGTGTTCTACAAGGATTCTTACTTTGAGTAGCCAACTTGCAGAATACAATAGAATTTTGGGAGGAGCCCCTCGATGCCTGGCTTTACTGTTGGAGAGACAGTACAGTATACACCAGATGACTTATTTGTGAACCATGGAAACGTTTGGAAAAGGTAAAGCAGACAATACACTGAAGAATCATTTGTCACAAGTAATTGCGGGCAGTCAAAAAGAGCTGGGAGAGTATATGAATCATGATGTAAGAACTGTGAAGGGCAGGTATTTGAGTCCAGTCAGCGGCTATTATTGAACAGGATGGTACTCAAATGAGATACAAATTTTATGCCAAGAGGGGCAAGTCTACAGAACAAATCATTCTGGTTTGTGCCCCAGCTTCTGTAAAATAGGAAATTTTTTCATCAATTTTTGCTCTCTCATTTAAAAAAATTAACTATAGTCCATAGTTCATTAGCGTTTCTTTAATTTTTTAAATTTATTTTTAAATTGACAAAAATTGTGTATATTTATTGTATACATGTTGTTTTGAAATATGTATACTATATGTGAAATGTCTAAGTTGAACTAATTAATGTGCATTACTTCACATTTATCCTTTTTGTAATGAGAACATTACAAAAGTCTATTATTTTAGCAATTCTCAAGAATATAATACATTGTTATTAACTATAGTCACCATGTTGCACAATAGATCTCTTTATTTCTCCCATCTAATTGAAATTTTGTATCCTTTGTATCCTTTGCCCACATCTCCCCAGTCCTTCATGCCCTGAGCCCCTCTAACCACCATTTTACTCTCTATTTTTATGAATTCAACTTTTTTATACTCCACTTATAAATGAGATCATGCAGTGTTCATCTTTCCATGCCTAGTTTATTTCACTTACCATAATGTCCCCCAGGTTCATCCACTTATTCCAAATGACAGGAGTTTCTTCTTTTTAAAGGGTGGATAGTATTCCATTGTGTGTGTATATACTATTGTATTCCATTCCAATATGCTTCTCTCTCACTCTCTCTCTTCCTCTTCCTCTCCCTCTCTCTCTATATATATGTGTATATACCCATATATGTATACATATATATGGGTACATATGGGTATATGGGTATATGGGTATATATGGGTACCCATATATGTATATATGTACATATATATGGGTACCCACATATGTACATATATATGGGTACCCACATATGTATACATATATGGGTATATACACATGTGTACATATATGGGTATACACACATATGTGTATATATGTGTATATACATACTGGACGCTTAGGTTGATTCTACCTATATGTATATGTATATACATATACGTATACGTATGCATATACGTATACATATATGACATATACATATACATACAAGGCCAAAGAAGCATCCAGTATGTATATATACATACATAGTATGTATGTATGTAGGTCGATTTTACCTCTTAGCTATTGTGAATAATGCCGCAATGAACATGAGAGTGCAGTTATCTCTTTGACATACTGATTTCATATTCTTTGGATGTATACCCAGTAGTGGGATTTCTAAATCATGCTAGTTCTTTTTTAAATTTTTGGAGCAACCTCCATATTGTTTTTCATAATGGCTGTACTAGTTTCTATTTCCACCAGCAATGTGCAAGGATTCCTTCTTTTCCACATCCTCTCCAACCCTTGTCTTTTGCCTTTTTGATAATTGCTGCTGTAACAGGTGTGTGGTGATATCTCATTGTGGTTTTATTTTGCATTTCTCTGATGATTAATGATGTGGAGCATTTTTTAATATACCTCTTGTCCATTGCATGTCTTTTTTACAGAAATGTCTGTTCAGATCCTCGGCCCATTTTAAAATTGGATTATCTGTTCTCTTACTATTGAGTTGTTTGAGTTTCTTATATATTTTAGATATTAAACCCTTATCAGATGCCTGGCTCTCTAATCTTTTGCATCCTTTTCATTCCGTTTTTTTCTCCTTGTCTTTTGGTCACAGTAAATCATAGTATCTATAGGTATGAAAAGTTTGGCTTGTGCAATTATGTGTGCTACTGGGGATGTGAAACAAAGCTGAACCATGGCACCCCAAACCTGCCCTTATTGGGGTTCGGTGTGACTTGATAAACCTGCATAGATGTCAAACATCCAAAGTCTTCATTTCTAATTGAGAAATAAAAAATCATCTTCAGTTAATAAGAGCGTTTTAATTATGTGTGGCTCCTAAGAAAAATGTTGAAAGATTTCCTTTCTCCCAAGATCTTTGCCTTGCACTCTAGGGAAATAGCATCTACACTTTTGTTAATACTGGGCATTGTAAAAACCACTTAGCATCTTGCTATATCTGACTGCATCAACACCCCCAGTTCCCCCAAAAATATTGAGTCAGCCAAAGGAGAGAAATAATAATTCATTAAACAACTACTGTGAGGCAACTCCCAAATATATTTTACCTTATTTAATTGTTAGTAGTTTCTACAATGTAGCTATTATCATTCCCATTTTACTGATGAGGAAATCAATTGAGTACCCTGTACCCCAAAGTCACAGGGCCATTTACATGCTTGAACTGGAATTCAATCAGAGATCCGTACATGGCTGAAAAATGCACTTCCCCTTCACTCCACTCATGTTTAAAGCCCCTCTCTCTATAGCCAAACATCAAAATTCCACAAGAACCTGACAGAAAAGGGGAAATAGGCCAGGGTGAACTGCAAAGCTCATGTCTTGCTCAAAGAGGAGAGCTACTAATCAGTTTCAGCCATTGCTCCTTCTGTTGCCATTCAGAAATGCAGGTCCAGTGTTTCTTGATCTGACTTTTCAAAGGAAGGTGAGAGCCTGCATTTTGATGTGAAATCTGTCAATGTTTAAATGCTGCCAATCAATTACAAATTGTTTTAATTGTGTGGGCCAAATAAAATATATTTGTTGGTTGTATTTAGTCCTTGCCTTATACTTCAACTAACTACAGACTTTCAGATATGACAAGGAATTAATTAGAACAGTACTATTCAATAGAAATGTAATGCCATCCACATATATAATTTTAAATTTTCTAGTAGCCACATTAAAAAGTTTAAAAAAGGGTAAAATTAATTTTAATAATATGTTGTATTTATCCCAATATATCCAAAATGTTATTATTTTAACATACAATAAATATAAAGATTATTAATGAGATATATCACTTACAGAACATCTCAATTTTTCCTAGCAATATTTCTAGTGCTCCATAGTCACATTTGGCTGGTAGCTACCATATGGAGCAGCATAGGTTTGGAAGCTGTAAATATCTCCCAGGTGGAACCTGTTTATTCAGAAATTTCATCTTCACCAGGAAACCATGCCCTACTCTAGTTGGTCTTAGAATTTGTCAAAAGCCTCATTTTTCCTTAGGTAAATGAAAGGAATTTCCCATTCTTTTTTTTTTTTCTGAGACGGAGTCTCGCTCTTTTGCCCAGGCTGGACTGCAGTGGTGTGATCTCGGCTCACTGCAAGCTCCGCCTCCTGGGTTCACATCATTCTCCTGCCTCAGCCTCCCGAGTAGCTGGGACTACAGGCGCCCGCCACCACACCCGGCTATTTTTGTTGTTGTTGTTGTTGTTGTATTTTTAGTAGAGACGGGGTTTCATCATGTTAGCCAGGATGGTCTCGATCTCCTGACCTCGTGATCCACCCGCCTCGGCCTCCCAAAGTGCTGGGAATACAGGCGTGAACCACCGCTACCGGCCGGGAATTTCCCATTCTTTTAGCTATGACAGAATTCAGTTTGTTAGGATAAATTGATGATTAAATTTACTTTAGTATCTTAGAGACTTTGCATCGAATACTTCTTTAAACTTCTTTAACAAACATGAATTTGTTCGATAAATGTCAAGTAAACAAAAGAGTAAAGAATGTCAGCTTTACAAAAATGATGATTAATGTTCTGAAGTGTAGTACCTAAGTGTTTGTAAATTCAACTCAATGAGTAGTTTATTAGAATTTCCTATCTGTTGCTGTGATGCAGTAATTTCATTTAAGGAACAGCTGGATATAAAACTTACAGGGGTTTCGAATGCGGTGCAATGTGGAGATTAAAAATGATATTCTTAGAGAACTCCAAATATAGAGTTGGATATTTCTAATGGATATGGTATATAACAGGTGTCTTAGCTTGGGCCACCATAACAAAACATCACAGACTGGGCAGCTTAAACAACAGAAATTTATTTTCTCACAGTTGTGGAGTCTGGGAAATCCAAGATCAAGGTACCAGCAGATTTGGCGTCTGGCTAGGGGCTCGTTTCCTGGCTTGCAGTTGGCCACCTCTTTATTGTGTCCTCGCATGGTGGAGAGAGAGTAAGCTCTTTGGTCTCTCTCTCTCTCTCTTTTTTTTTTTTTCTTAGAGATGGGGTCTTGCTTTGTCTCCCAAGCGGGAATGAAGTGACATGATCATAGCTCACTGCAGCCTTGAACTCCTGGGCTCAAGGGATCCTTCCTGCCTCATGCTCCTGCGTAGCTGAGGCTATAGGTGCTAGTGTCTCTTCTTCTCCTTCTTTTTTTTTTTTTAAAGAGGTTGTGTACACTGTACCCAATGTGTACCTAACGGAGTACACTGTACCCAGTGTGCAGTCTTTTATCCCTCAGCCCTCCCACCTTTTCCCCTAAGTCCCCAAACTCCATTGTATCATTCCTATGCCTTTGCATCCTCATAGCTTAGCTCCCACTTATGTGTAAGAGTATATGATGTTTGGTTTCCTATTCCTGAGTTACTTCACTTAGAATGATAGTCTCCAATTCCATACATGTTGCTGCAAATGCCATTATTTTGTTTCTTTTTATGACTGAGTAATATTCCATTGTGTGTGTGTATAGATATAGATATAGATATAGATATAGATATAGATATAGATATATCTCACATTTTCTTTATCCACTCCATTGATGGGCATTTGGGCTGGTTCCATATTTTTGCAATTGTTTAAGTAACTAATTTTATTGCATCAGAGACATATCCTTATGAATTTAACCTTAATAATTTCCATCAGGGCCCAATTTCCCAATTAGCCACATTGGAGGTTGGGGCTTCAATATATGGATATCGAGGGGGCAAAATTCTGTCCACAGGAACAATTTTCAGGGACAGAATAAGAGTTTTATTTTCTTTTCTCATGTTTATTTTGGACCTTTTCATTTCACATCAGAATCAAGCAGTGTGAAAGACAAAAGGGACCACAGTGGGCATCTAAAATCCACAGGTCCTCAGTTATTTAATTAGTGGTTGAAGTAAGTCAAGTAGCTAGGACTCTTGAATTCCTTTGTAGTATTCTTTCTATTATGTTGTTCATTCATTCATTGACTTACTCTATAAAAATTGAGCACCTACCATGTACTGTATTCTCAGGGAAAGGAAGACTCAGATCTAGCTTTCAAGGAAAGTATCCCAGGTCTCTTCTATCCCAGCACTAGTCTCATTAGAAAATATATTAGGCCATATCTAGTATATACATACATATATATATATATGTTTGTTTGTTTTGTTTTGAGACAGAGTTTCGCTCTTGTTGCCCAGGGTGGAGCGCAATGGCGTGATCTTGGCTCACCACAACCCCGCCTCCCGGGTTCAAGAGATTCTCCTGCCTCAGCCTCCCGAGTAGCTGGGATTACAGGCATGCGCCACCACGCCTGGCTAATTTTGTATTTTTAGTAGAGATGGGGTTTCTCCATGTTGGTGAGGCTGGTCTTGAACCCCGACCTCAGGTGATCCGCCCGCCTCAGCCTCCCAAAAGCACTGGGATTACAAGTGTGAGCCATGGTGCCGTGCCCTAGTCTTAATATTAATAATAATAGTGATTAGTCCTTAAGCCCCCAAAATATACCAAGCTGTGCCAAGCACTCCATGTACGTTATCGGTTTTGATCCTTACGGCAAGTTTGTGAATATTAATTATATACTTGTTTTATAGATGAGGAAAAGTAGCTTAACAAAGATCATCTTAGAAATTAGCTGTGCTGACTAATTCAGACCTGACTGCAATGCCCAGGTGTTTCCAGGTGTAATGGAAATTCTTTCTTTCTTTCTTTTTGTTTCTTTCTTTCTCTCTTTCTCCTTCCTTCCTTCCTCTCTCCCTTCCTTCCTTCCTTTCTTTCTTTCTTTTTCTTTTTCTTTCTCTTTCTTTCTTTCTTTCTTTCTTTCTTTCTTTCTTTCTTTCTTTCTTTCTTTCTTTCTTTCTTTCTTTCTTTCTTTCTTTCTTTCTTTCTTTCTTCTTGGAGTCTTGCTATGTCACCCAGGCTGTCTTGAACTCCTGATCTCAAATGACCCTCTCACCTTGGCCTCCTAAAGTCCTGGGATTACAGGCATGAACCACTGCACCTTGCCAAAACATTTTCTTTGGGACTTATAAACATATTTTATGAATATTGTCAGCTTTTTGAGACTATACGTTATGTAGCACACAGAGTCAACATTTTTAAGTTCAAGTTAAATTAGTCTAGCTCTAGAGATGAGAGAAAAGAGCCTGTGTGCATACTAACACGGAGAAGAAAGTTTGCCTGTGTAGTGGAGAAAAGATTTCTTTCCTTACCCATTGCTAGGTTCATGGTGGAGACCCCTATAGCAAAAGACAGATTAACAAGAAAAAAAAGCAAACGTACAGACTTATTTAATACAGGCATACTTTATTATATTGCACTTCACAGATACTGCGTTTTAAAAAAATTAGTTTGTGTCAACCCTATTTTTTTTTTCCAATAGCATGTGTTCACTTCATGTCTCTATATCACATTTTGGTAATTCTCACAGTATTTCAAACATTTTCATCATGATTATATCTATTATAGTGATCTGTGATCAGTAGTCTTTGATGTTACTATCATAATTATTTTGGTGTCCATGAACAGCACCCATATAAGACAGTGAAGTTATTCAAGAAATATTGTGTGTGTTCTGACTGCTCCACTAACTAGCTATTCTCCCATCTCTCTGTCTCCTTGGGTCTCCTTATTTCCTGACACACAACAATATTGAAATTAGGCCAATTAATAACCCTACAGCGGCTTCTAAGCATTCAAGATAAGTCAAGTTAAGTCAAAAGTTAGAAATGGTTAAGCTTAGTGACGAAGGCATGTCAAAAGCCAAAATAGGCCAAAAGCTAGGTCTTTTGAGTCAAACAGTTAGCCAAGTTGTGAATTTAAAGGAAAAGTTCTTCAAAGAAATTAAAAGTGCTATTCCAGTGAACACAAGAATGGTAAGAAAGCAAAACAGCCAAAGCAGGCTTATTGTTGATATGCAGAAAAATTGAGTGGTTTGGATAGAAGATCAAACCAGCCACAACCTTCCCTTGAGCCAAAGCCTAATCCAAAGCAAAGCCCTGATTCTTTTCCATTCTATGAAGGCTGAGAGAGGTGAAGAAGCTACAGAAGGAAAGTTGGAAGTTAGCAGAGATTGGTTAATGAGGCTTAAGGAAAGAAGCCATATCCATAATATAAAAATGCAAGATGAAGCAGCAAATGATGATGTAGAAGCTGCAGCAAGTTATCCAGGAGATCTAGCTAAGATAATCGATGAAGGTGGCTACACTAAACAACAGATTTTCAACGTAGATGAAACAGCCTTCTATTAGAAGATGTCATCTAGGACTTTCATAGAGAAAAATCAATACCTGGCTTCAGAGTTTCAAAGGACAGGCTGACTCTCTTGTTAGGGGCTAATGTAGCTGGTGACCTTAAGTTGAAGCCAATGCTCATTTACCATTCCAAAGATCCTAAGGCCCTTAAGAATTATGCTAAATCTACTCTGCCTGTGCTCTTAGAAATGGAACAATAAATCCTGGATAACAGCACATCAGTTTATGGTGTGGTTTACTGAATATTTTAAGCCCCCTGTTGAGACCTACTGCTCAGAAACAAAGATTCCTTTCAAAAGATTACTGCTCATTGACAATGCACCTGGTCACCCAAGAGCTTGGATGGAGATGTACTAGGAGATAAATGTGTTCATGCCTGCTAACACAACATCCATTCTGCAGCCTATCAATCATGTAGTGATTTCCAACCTTCAAGTCTTGTGATTTCAGAAACACATTTCATAAGGTTATAGCTACCATGGATAGTGAATCATGTGATGATCTGGGCAAAGTAAACTGAAAACCTTCAGGAAATAATTCACCATTCTAGATGCCATGAGAACATTTGTGATTCATGAAAGGAGGTCAAAATATCAACATTAATAAGAGTTTGGAAGAAGTTGATTCTAACCCTCATGGATGACTTAGAGGGGTTCAAGACTTTGGTGGAGGAAGGAACTGAAGATGTAGAAATAGCAAGAGAAGTAGAATTAGAAGTGGAGCCTGAAGGTATGACTGAATTGCTGCAATCTCATGATAAAATTTGAATGAACTACGAGTTGCTTCTTATGGATGAGCAAAGAAAGTGGTTTCTGAGATGGAATGGAGTCTATTTCTTGTGAAGATGCTGTGAAAATTGTTGAAAGGGCAACAAAGGATTTAGAATATTCCATAAACTTAGTTGATAGAGCAGCAACAGGTCTTGAGAGGATTAACTCCAATTTTAAAAGAAGTTCTACTGCAGATAAAATGCTATCAACAGTATCACATGCTACAGAGAAATCTTTCCTGAAAGAAGAGTTGAATGATGAGGCAAACTTCACTGTAGTCTTATTTTAAGAAATTGCCACAACCACCTCAGCCTTCAGCAACCACTACCCTGATCAGTTAGCAGCCATCAACATCAAGACAAGACCCTCCACAGCAGAAAGACGATGACTTGCTGAAGGCTTATATGATCATTAGTATTTTTTAGCAATAAAGTATTTTCAAATGAAGGTATGTTGTACATTTTTTTAGACATAATGTTATAGCATACTTAATAGATTACAGTATAGTGTAAACATAACTTTTATATGCACTGGGAAACCAAAAAATCTTGTGACTCTCTATAGTGACACTTGCTTTGTTGCAGGGATCTGGAACCAAACCCACACTATCTCCGAGGCATGCCTGTATAAGTTTTATGTGACATGGCTGCTTTCAGAAATGAAGACCCAAAGAAACTGGGAAAACTGTATTTTTATGGACAGCCATGCAGTATGATTGGAGGACAAAGACTATGATATAATTGTAATAAACTGGGGGAACTTAGCAAGGCTCATTTGTTCAGATTCTTCTCTGTGTCTCCATATCTTCAGCGATAAGAGCATTCCTTTCCTCTGGGTATAGCGAGGATACCTTTGGAGTGAGGTCCTTGTGTCCTACTTTTTTTTCTTTTTTTTTTTTTTTTTGGAAATGGAGTCTCGCTCTGTCACCCAGGCTGGAGTGCAGTGGCACTATCTTGGCTCACTGCAACCTCTGCCTCCCAGGTTCAAGCTATTCTCCTGCCTCAGTCTCCTAAGTAGCTGGGGTTACAGATGCACGCCACCACGCCCTGCTGATTTTTGTGTTTTTAGTAGAGGCGGGGTTTCACCACGTTGGCTAGGCTGGTCGAGAACTCCTGACCCCAAATGATCTGTCCGCCTTGGCCTCCCAAAGTGCTGGGATTACACGCATGAGCCACTGTGCCTGGCCCTTGTGTCTTACTTTAAAGGAAAGTCACATAATTCTTTCATGGCCTGTTTCATGGGAGAAAGGTGGGAGAAGAGGAGAGTGACCCTCCTGCTTCTGCTGTTTTCTCAAATACCAAAGTGCCATATTTGGGGTGGTGTGTCCTGAACGCCATCACCTGTTTTGAAGATTAGGAAACCTAGTGTGAGAAAGTCATGCATTTTTCATAGATCAATCAAATAGGAGGTGGTAGAACCAGTATTTGAATCCCTACCTGCTGACTTGACTGTTCTGGCTACCCTGAAAACAATTACTGAGGTTGAGGCAAGGCTGTGTTTTTCATATTCTTTCTTCCTGAAATCTCTTTTAAAGGTTTTATAAACTTCTCCCCTCAACAAACAAGGGACTGGAGTTGAGCCAGGGGAAACTATAATCAATTAGTTTAGAATAAAATAGGCCTACTGAATCCAGGACTTCATCCAAAGAGACAGGGCAGGGGATGACAACTAAGCTGGAAGCAGAGAGCCTATATCAAGTCAACCACCTGGAGTGAGATTCTGGAGGGGGAAATATGAGACTTGCCTGGAGAGATTTCTGGAGACAGCCAGGCCCTTTTATAGGCACTTTGTGGCTTTCACTAAGAGTGAGGAGGGAGCATTTAAGGTTCCTAAGTCAGACTGGACTCCGGTTACCCTTATCACCATTTCATTTGGTTAACACCTACCCCCTTAGGGGGCCTGTGTTGAAGTCCACACTTACCACATTCTCTGTAGAGTTCTGCTTGATTCTCTGTAACATATGCTTTTCATGGTGTTTAATTGGGGTCTAAATCATTCATCTTTTAGGTGGTTGATAATGCTGGTATGTGGCATTAATGAGGGAGTATTTTTCCATTGATCATTGTGACTCTGTTGTGGGCATTTGTGAAAATTCCAGAGCTTATATATGACGTTTTCAGAGAGCTTTCTTCATTCAGTGAGAGTTTACCAGGGGTTGGAGGGAAACATCAGTGAGGAAAACAGTTGATGATCCCTGCCACCATAGAGCTTGCTTCAAGTTGGTAGGGGTACAGAGATAATAATAAAATATAAACAATAAGTAAATGAATTATATACTGTGTTAAAAGGTGATAAGTGTATAAAAGAAAAAGTAAGCAGCCTGCGGGGGTTGGGGGAGTTTGATTTCAATCTTAAATTGACTGGTCATTAGAATTAGATCTATTTATGTCAATATGACTTTCACAAAGCAGCTCCATGTCATTATTTTCATTTTATATGTTAGAAAATAGAACTTCTCAGATTTATCTTTTGTTTCTCTACTTTCTTTTCTTGTCCCTTCTCCATTTTCCTTTTTTCTTTCTTTTCCCTTTCTTCCTTTTTTCTTTTTTCTATTTTCCATTGTCTTGAAAAAAAAATTAGATGCCATAGTGCCTCTCAGGAAATTTACAATCCAATCAAGGAATAAAAAAGGCCCAAATTAAACAATTTGAGAGCAATATGCCAATGATAGTTTGAATAAACTTTTCTAATTATTTTTTTGTCCACACACTTACAATGTTCTTTAAAACGAGTGGAATAACTGGATGATCAAAACAGAGGGGGATTATTTAAGGAACATTGCAGAGGTGGCAGGTGCATTTTGATCTGATTGAAGGAACAAATGGGAGAAAGAAGGAATTACATAAGTAAGTACTTGGAGGCAGGCTTTTTTAGCAAGATATATTCAAAGATTTGAAGTGAGATTGGCTTGGATGGAGTGGACATATTTCACTGGATGAATGACATTGAAGGAATAACGAAGTTGAGAAGTTTAAATTAAGTGTAAATTAAGGATGTGGAATGCTGGTCTGAGGGGCTTAGGTTTTTTTCAATACGTTATTGAAAGAGCTGAGACTAGAACTTGGAACTCTCTGAATCTTAGTTAAGCCACTGAACCATGTTGAGTAAAAATCACCTTTCCAATCTTACTAAAATTCAGAAATTACTTGCTGTTCCCAGACTCCTGATTTAGTACATACATTAGGTTATAGGAGATATTCTGAGAGGCAGGGGAGAGTGAGAGACTACATCTTCGGGACCATCCAGTTCCACTTCATCTCCCTCTTATTTGTAATCTTGCTCTGTTGCCTGTTGACTTCTTCTCTCTCTTTGGTAGTGTTCTTCTCAATTGGATGTTTCCTTTATATTCAACAGACTGTACTATCTTTGAAGTTAAGAAGAAAGTTCAAAATAGAGACATGAATTTCGAAGAACTGAAGCAGGGAATTTAGAATGAAGTGTCCTTAACCTCCACCTAAAAGTCCCTTTTAGCTAGGCAGTAGCAGAGTTCTTTATTCTTCAAGCCTTACTTATTTTTTGCTTTATGTCTCTGCCCATTCATTTCCTGCAGCTTCTGAGTTAACTTTCTATGGACCATCTGAACTGTTTACATACATCCCATCCTCGAGCACTTTTCCTGTGCAGCTTCCCAAGGGGGAAATTTTTTCTCCCTGGCTACATGATCCAGGTTTATTTCTTTCTAGATACATCTTAAAATATCTTATTTGTGGGCATTCTAGGTTTATTTATTTATTTATTTTGAGACAGAGTCTCGCTCTGTCGTCCAGGCTGGAGTGCAGTGGTGCCATCTCGGCTTAATGCAACCTCTGCCTCCCGGGCTCAAGGGATTCTCTTGCTTCAGCCTCCCGAGTAGCTGGGATTACATGTGCCTGCCACCATCCCTGGCTAGTTTTTGTATTTCTAGTGGAGATGGGGTTTTGCCATCTTGGCCAGGCTAGTCTCAAACTCCTGACCTCAGATGATCCCCCCACCTCAGCATCCCAAAGTGCTGGGATTACAGGCGTGAGCCACCGCTCCCGGCCACATTCTAAGTTTCTATGTCTTTCTTGTTTTCAGGACTGTTTCTGCCATGCGTGTTACTCATTGCCATGGTGCTTATGACAGTGAAGGAAAGGTAAAAGTGCTTTGGTAGATCCTTTGAATTTACTTAGTGTTTCCTTCTATATTATTTCTGATTCATAGTTTTTCTGGCTGATGATGAGATGGGACAGGAATAATGTGGATAAAAAATAATATTTATTTAAAAACTCACTTTATTTCTGTGTACATTCAAATAATATAGAATATGTACATATTAAGAAATATGTTAGAGGCTGGGCGTGGTGGCTCATGGCTGTAATCCTAGCACTTTGGGAGGCCAAAGCGGGCGGATCGCCTGAGCTCAGGAGTTTGAGACCAGCCTGGGCAACATGGTGAAACCCCATCTCTACCAAAATACAAAAAATTAGCTGAACGTGGTGGCATGCACCTGTAGCCCCAGCTACTCAGGAGGCTGCAGCCGAAGAATTGCTTGAACCCAGGAGGCAGAGGTTGCAGTGAACCGAGATCCTACCACTGGACTCCAGACTGGGCGACAGAGCAAGATTCTGTCTCAAAAAAAAAAAAAAAAAAAAAAAAAAGAAAGATAAAAAAGAAAAGAAATATGTTAGAGAAAGACGTATAATAATTTAGAAGGACATTCATTATATGATATGAGATGAAAACAGGAGGCAACAAACAGGAGGTAAAAAAAAATTCACCTATATGCCTAGAAAAAAGATAATAAAATTTCAATAAATATTATCTCTCTTTTTTCTTTTTGAAACAGAGTCTCACTTTGTCGCCCAGGCTGGAGTACAGTGGTGCGATCTTGGCTCTCTGCAACCTCTGCCTCCCAGGTTCAAGTAATTCTCCTGCCTCAGCCTCCCGAGTAGCTGGTACTACAGGCACACATTTGTAGAGATGGTGTTTCCCCATGTCATCCAGGCTGGTCTGGAACTCCTGGGATCAAGTAATCCACCCGCCTCGGCCTCCCAAAGTGCTGGGATTACAGACGTGAGCCACCACGCCCTGCCAATAAAAAGATTATCTCCAGATGCTGGAATGACCAGTAATTTATTTTCTTCCTTTTTTTTTGTCTGCACTTTCTACCATAATCATATGTTAGCTTCTTACTAAGAAGAAAAGTCAATGTTATTTCCCTGAAAAAGTAATGTTGTTTGGTTATTAAACAAATTTAATTTTCTAAACAAGAGTACGACAGGTAAACTGCCTACCTTAAAAGCAAACGAACACAAATAAATAAACTAACCATCTTCCACTTCAGTCTCTGTCCTTTCACCAGAGTTGCTGATCAGCCCAGAATGGACTGATTTGAATTTGCTTAGTTGTTCATTCATTCATTTATTTAACAAGTATTTATTAAGCACTTGCTCTGTAGAAAGCACTGTGCTGGTATTGGAATACTGGCTTATGTAAGTGTGATAGTAATGGGATTCTGACTTAGGCCTGACTCCTGGGCCGTAATGTTTGGATACTATGTATACATCTAACTATAAAACGAGGGAAAATGAAAAAAAGAGCAAAAATGATTTGAGGGGGGATGGTCTCCATTTCCTATTACCTATTTATATGTAGATCATCTTGGGTATTATAATTCCTATTTTTATTAGGAAAGCATAGTCCTCATAGCTAGTTGCAGTCACATGTTGCATAGCAACGGGAATATGTTAGGCAATTTTGTTGTGTGAACATCATAGTGTGTACTTACACAAATCTAGATGGTGTAGCCAACTACGCACCTAGGCTACATGGTATAGTCTATTGCTCCTAGGCTACAAACCTGTATAGCATGCTACTGTACTGAATACTGTATGCAGTTGTAACACAGTGGTAGGTGTTTGTGTATTTAAACATATCTTAACGTAGAAAGAAAATGTAACGTATTGTGTTATGACATGATGACAGATCACAGCTACCATGTCACTAGGTGATAGGAATTTTTCAGCTCCATTAAAATCTCATGGGACCCCTGTTTTATATGCGATCAGTCCATCATTGATTAAGCACATACTATGCTGTAGACAAGCCGTTCTCAAATTGAAGTTCATGTGTCCCCTGGGTTCCCCAAGACTTTTTCGGTAAGTCCACAATGTCAAAACAATTTTCACAATAATACTAAGACACTATTTGCATTTTTACTGTGTTAGCATTTGCTCCAATAGTGTAAAAGCAATGGTGAGCAAAACTGTTGTTGCCTTAACATGAATTGAAGCATGGCAGCAGAATCTGCCACTAATGCATTGTTGTATTTATCACTGCTGTGCACACACAGGGGGAAAAAGCCAGTTTCACTTAAGAATGCTTTGATGAAGCAGTAAAAATTATTAATTTTAATAAATATAGACCCTTGAGTCCACACTCATTGAATCTTCTATATGACACCATGGAAATATGCATAAAGCACTCTGATACACACCAAAGCATGAGGCTTGTCTTGAGGAAAAACACTCGCATGAGTGAGTAGCCACTTTTTTTCATGGAACACATTTTCACTTGAAAAGAAAAACTGACAGGCAAACTACATTTATTTAGACATGGGTATTTTTGGCTGATGTTTTCTCAAAAATGAATGAAGGGAGCCTGTCACTTTGAGGAAAAATGACTGACAATATTTGTTACCAATGATAAAATTTGAACTTTCATATGAAAATTAGAATTCTGGAGGACTTTTATACATCACCGTGAAATTGTCAGCTTCCCTAAATCTGAAGACTTTTCTGATGAGATGCGATGCTATTAATGACTGCGATTTTTTTCCATGTTGCATAATGAAACATGTCAATGTTTTGTAGATCTGCATAACCCAGTGAACCAACACTATTCGAAATGACCAATGCATGATGGTGTAAAATTGTATGTGAATGAAAGACCCACTCAAAGTGCAAGATAGCCACTGTATTTTAATACAACAGAATATGAAAAGTTGATTGATATTGTTTCAGATTCCACATCTCAACTTATCTAACTAACCAGATATTACTTGTCAGATTGATAGAGTATTCAAGAAAGATATCCACAGTTATCTGAAAAGACTTAAAATACTCCTCTCTTTTTCAACTACATGTCTATGTGAGGCTCAATTTTCTTCTGATTCTTAAATAAAAACAACATACTGCAATAGATATTAAAGCCAGACAGACACTAAGGAGACATACAAATATGGAAAACAAAGTCAGTCCTCTTGCCTTTTTTAAAAGATATAGTTTTTTCATAAAAATATTATTAATGTTAATACATAATTTGTGTAACATATAACAATATTTATTATTGTTATTTTAAAATAAATTAGTAAAGAAATATTAAAATGTGAATATTGTAAATATCTATAGCTATAACCCATGTAAAATCTCTTTGGAGTTCTTAAAATTTTTAAGAGAATAAAAGGGTTCTGAAACTAAAAAAGTTTGAGATTTGCTATTCTAGATGTCCTAGTAATCATTTGATGTGTATAATCTTGCTTCATCCCCACAACCACTCTAAGTATTATATCTACTACTATTATTTTTATTTTACAATTGAGGAAAATGAGTTTGAGAAAGTTAAAAACTTGTCCAAGATCATATAACTAGTAAAAGAGAGCTACAAACTCAGGAAGTAAGTGTAATCAACAATTTCTTTGGAATGATAGAGAGGGAGAAAAATATTTCACAAAGAAGGCAAAATTGTACAAGCTGTGAAGCGGGAATCAATAGGAAAAGGAGGGTAGGGCATTTGGGGCAGAGGGATAGCATGAATCAAAGCTTTGTGAGTGAATGGTTAGGTCAGGGGTTCCTAACCTTTTTTGTGCCAGAACCCCTTCGGCCATCTAGTGAAGCCCACTGAACCTTTCTCAAAATAATGTTTTTAAATGAATAAAATGAAATACATAAGACTATGAAGGGAACCAGTTATATATTCTATATATGGCTATCAAAAGATAAAAATCTCAAAGATATGATATAGTAATATATATCCTTCATTATTAATGCATTAAATAACAAGATCTAGTGGTGAGAAGTATTGATGAACATAAGTGCTATTTCTGTAACAATTAATTATAAAGTGAGATGAAAATATCTGTGATTTCTAAGAGTGACAGAGTCATAGATACTGTTCATGTTACAGTGATTACATTAGCAGATAGTAAAACTAAAGAAGTAAACTTGCCCCATTCAAGTTCACATATTCAAGGGTCTTTGGATGCCAAGTTAAGAACCCTTAGGTTTAGGGTAAGGCTCATGTTCTTTTATTTATGTTGCCAATCCTCTGGTAAAGGAAGTGCTAGTGAACAAAGATAGAATAGTAGCAGCAGCAGTAATAGTAATAGTAGTAATAAGAGTAGAAACAGTAAAAGAAGTAGCAGACGCCACAGTAGTAGTAGTAGTCATATTCATAGTCATAGCAGCAGTAGTGATGGTAGTAATAGGTACTGAGTACTTACTACCTGCCAAGAACTCTTCTAAGTGCTTTACAAATAAAGGGCAGAAGTGAGGCAAGCTCTCTATAAAGAGGAAAGAAGGGCCGGGTGCAGTGGCTCACGCCTGTAATCCCAGCACTTTGGGAGGCCGAGATGGGTGGATCATTTGAGGTCAGTAGTTTGAGACCATCCTGGCCAATATGGTGAAACCCCATCTCTACTAAAAATACAAAAGTTAGCTGGGTGTCGTGGTGTACACCTGTAATCCCAGCTATTTGGGAGGCTGAGGCAGGAGAATCGCTTGAACCCGGGAGGCGCAGTTTGCGGTGAGCCAAGTTCATGCCACTGCACTGCAGTCTGAGCAACAGAGTGAGACCCTGTCTCAAAGAAAAAAAACAAAAAACAAAAAAAAAGGAAAGAAATCCGAATAATCCACAGACTAAGTAGATAACCCAAATAACTAAAAATTCATCATGTTTTTAATGTATTAAGTATTTTTAACTTTCTGGAAAAAGAAATAGAAGAGTTTGACTCTGTTTGAGTTTGGAAATGATTACAATCGGGTCTAAAATTCTAGAATTTTTTGAAAGTCATAGGTGTTGAAATGCTGAATTACAGCTTTGTAGCTCATGTGAATATGTATGTTTTTAATAGTATTCATAAGAATATAGGATATAGTATAGCACAGCTTAAGTATTCTATAGCCTGCATGAAAAATGTATAAAATTATAAATTTTGGGGGAAAGTTATTAATCTGGTTAAAGTGAATTTTACAGTATTTTTGTACTTTGAGAACCCGAACTTTTTATTATATTCTTTTTTCATTTTAGCTCCAACTAATCATTTTCTCAGAATTAAAGAGATGCTTTCTCAGTACCATCAGTTTAGCATTAAAATATTCTGAGCCCTCCCATGTATCTTTTCCTTCCACAACTGTATCATAAGTTCTTTGAGGACAAAGAGATCTGTCATATATTTTGCATTTGTCACAGCACCTGGGATTGTGGGCACTTCAGTTGGTAGATGAATTACTTGTAAAATAGTTTGAAAGGCTGGGCACATTGGCTCATGCCTGTAATCCCAGCACTTTGGGAGGCTGAGCTGGGCAGATCACCTGAGGTCAGGAGTTCGAGACCAGCCTGGCCAATATGGCGAAACCCCAGCTCTACTAAAAATACAAAACTTAGCCAGGCATGGTGGTGCATGCCTGTAATCCTAGCTACTCAGGAGGCTGTGACAGGAGAATCACTTGAACCCAGGAGACAGAGGTCGCAATGAGCCAAGATTGTGCCACTGCACTCTAGCCTGGGCAACAGAGCGAGACTCCATCTCAAAAATAAATAAATTAATTAATTAAATAAAATAGTTTGAAAAAGTCCATTTTCAATCAAGACTCCATGTTCAATATTATTCTAAGTATCTAGACAATTCTATGCCTTCCACATCAATGTCATGAGATTTGCTGCTTTTGTATCTGTTTATATGGTGATCTGGAACTATTTCTGCTCTCATATATTGAAAATTGTTTAAGACACATGCATTATTTTCCTCTAATTGAAGGCACAAGCAGAAATGATTAAAGAGTAAATATTTGCGGTGAGCCCAGGTCTGAATGGCGTACAGTTTCTTTGGTATGCAGATTCTTTTGCAGTTCAGTATCCTTCAGTCAGTAAACTTGTACTGAATGCCTCCTGTGGTCTAGGACAGATCAATTCAGGTACAGAGAGACAAAGCAACGTTAGTGAACCTGAGAGAAGGCATAGCGAGGGTGGGGCTCCACATGTTGTTTGCTTTTGCTGAATTTTAGTGTGCACTGAGTGACAGGTAAAGAGCTGGAGAGGTAGGAAAGAGACAGAGATGATGGGGCTGTGAGAAATGGAGAAGATGCCTCCCTGGAGGCCCTTAGACACTGAGTGGGTATTTTTGGGGGGTAAGTGGGCATAAGGGAAGAGAGAGACTTAAGGAACTGCTATCCTTGGAAATTCTGCCTAATGGCCTGATAATCAAAACATTTATCCAACTCACTATGGGCTCCAAAAGAGATTTTGTATAAAGAGACAAGAAATTTATCTTCTGATTTGATTATCTATAAAATAAAATAAGAGTGGATGTTCATATATTTCTGCTTGGTATAGAGACAGCTCCTATAGAGAATAAACTTAATGAAAAAGAATGCTTTTTTGTAAAAGAAATCATCTTTTACTTTTATTGTCTAAGTAATAACAGGTAGTATTTTTTGAGCATCTACTATGTGCCACCATTGATGTTAAGGGCTTTAAAATATTATTGTCACTATAATTATGATTATTAGCAACTAATGTTTATTCAATATTTACTATGTGCCAGGATCTGTTCTAAGAGTTTCATATGTTTTAACTCATCTAATTTTAACAATCTTATGAGGTATGCACTTTATTTTCCTTGTTTTCAAATGTTGAGACTAAGGTACAGAGAGGTCAAGTAACTTGCCCAAAGTCACACAACTATCAAGGAGCAGAGCTGAGGTTTGATGTCACAGAGGGGTCAAGATACAGTCATATTTATTAAACAGGTAAGGTTGGCCGGGCACGGTGGCTTATACTGGTAATCCCAGCACTGATCACCTGAGGTCAGGAGTTTGAGATCAGCCTGGCCAACATGGTGAAACTCCATCTTTACTAAAAATACAAAAATTAGTTGGGTGCGGTGGCGGGTGTCTGTAATCCCAGCTATTCGGGAGGCTGAGGTGGGAGAATCGCTTGAACCTGGGAGGCGGAGGTTCCAGTGCGCTGAGATCACACCACTGCACTCCAGCCTGGGTGACAGAGCAAGACTCCGTCTCAACAAAAACAACAACAAAAAGATAATGTTATATAACATGTCTACTAAGTGCCTATCACATAATAGATATCCCTAAATTTTTTAATTTTTGTCTCCTCCATCTTCCTTCTTGTCCCCTCCTCAACTTACTAAAAGAATGACTTTAATTTACAGGAAGAGCCCACACAAATACTCACACTGCTTTTTGTTTTTCTCATCATCATTCTTAGGCTTTTTGGTAAAGGTGCTTATATGATGTGAAACACAACGAAAGAAAAAAAATTCCTTTTCTGAAAAAAAGCAAATGCTTCATTTATTTACCTTAAACAATTTAGTGGCTAACAAATGTAGCTTTTTTTTTTTTTTTTTTGAGACGGAGTTTTGCTCTTCTTGCCAAAAATGTAGGTTTAAAACAGTATATTGGAAGTCCTAGAAGATGAGGGAAGGAGGGCAAGGAACAAACATTGATTGAAAACCTCTTAGCTCCTACGTAGAGTGCTAGAAACTTTATGTATGATTGCTTATTTATTGTTCACAACAACCCCTGTAAGGTATTGCTTATCAGCCCTATTTTGTGGATAGAATGTCCAAGGCTAAGAGAATTCAGACAGCTTCTTTGTTAGGAAGGGATGGAGCCCAGAATTCTCTGATGTCTATAGTGCTGTTGCCTCCCTCTCAGACCCAGGAACCATGTCTTTAGAATATTGATCGCAGGAAGTTTCCAGCTTGGGAATTCCAACAAGAAAGAGATGATGCTAAAGGATTTACTAATGCCGAATTTTACTGGCAAAAAATTACTCTTTTATTACAAACAAATTCCTGAACAACACAGCTGTTTCCGCTTTTGAATCCTTGTTGGCTATGTTAAGCAGCATTTGGCTGAATGCTAATCCTTAGATTAAGCATCTCTTAATCAATTTGTCCATCATTACTTTGAGCTTACAAACTGTTGTTCCATGAATAGTGGTTGTCTTTAAGAGGCAGTAAGAAAAGTATCAGCGTCATTATTTGCTGTTTCATACCCCTGTGACAGTACTCACAGTCTGTGATGGGTGACAGAGGAAGCGGGGCAAAGGGGAATGGTTATGATTTCATTTCCACAGGCAGGTGACTGGTGGGCATATAGTAATATTGCTAAGGGCCTGTGCTTTGGCTTAAGGTTAGTTTCTGTTTTCATGCTTGCTTCTCCGACTTGACTCCCTGTTTGAGGCGAAGGAAAAACATTCATGTCATCTGCATCATCTGCATCCTGTTGGCATAACATTGTGCATTGAAGGATTAATCAACATAACAGTTTTTTTCATTTTTTTCAGCCTACTTCATGCTTTGAACAGAAGAGTTTTATCAGTTTTAAATGTTTCTTCATTTCTATACCTTCTTTTATCTGAGGAGCTTAAGCCATTTTGTAGAGGCATTAAGTATTGCCTCAGTCTTAATATGTGAGACAAGGTAAGTAATTCTTTTATTTTATTATACTTTAAGTTTTAGGGTACATGTGCACAATGTGCAGGTTAGTTACATATGTATACATGTGCCATGTTGGTGTGCTGCACCCAGTAACTCATCATTTAGCATTAGGTATATCTCCTAATGCTATCCCTCCCCCCTCCCCCCACCCCACAACAGGCCCCGGTGTGATGTTCCCCTTCCTGTGTCCATGTGTTCTCATTGTTCAATTCCCACCTATGAGTGAGAACATGCGGTGTTTGGTTTTTTGTCCTTCTTGCAGCTCTTGCCAATAGCACGTGAACCCAGTGATGGGGAACTGTGTTTGTGTCCTTCCATACAGGGTGCTTGGTAAATACCTATAGTTGAGCCTTTATTATTATTATTATTATACTTTAAGTTTTAGGGTACATGTGCACAACATGCAGGTTTGTTACATATGTATACCAACATGGCACATGTATACATATGTAGAGCCTTTTCTTCCCACTTTAACTGAGGGTAGGAAATCAGATCTCATGTTGGCCATAGCCAAGGCTCGTTTTCTCCAGATTCATCCCTACCCTTCTTCCCTTTCCCAGCACCTCTGGTAGTTCAAAAAGGAGCAGAGTAAAGAGAGTCAGTCCTAAACCCAGTTCCTATGGACTGCTAATTCTAACATTTGTGACATTTTGGGCTCAGCTTTCTAATTTGTAATCATGGTCTACAATTTCAATCCCATCTGTCTGATAGTCCCTGTCTTCCTCCTATTTCTCCTGCTCAGCTTTGCTGTGTTACCCACCCATGCCCCAGGATGCCAGGGAATCTGAAAGCAGTTTTTTTCTGTTGATTTTATGGGTGTGGATACTGAAATCTATGCAGCTTGAGAAAGATGCAGGTTGATCCCATGCTCAAAGAACTGCTATGGAGTATCCTCTTTGACGGTCTCAGGGCAATTCATTCACATAGCAATAATTATATGCCTCTTTGTCTGGCATTTTCTAGGTGTGAGGAATATAGAGATTCATAAAATAATCCCCATCTTCAAGGAACTCACAGTCAGGAAGAACAGAGCCTGCAACACAAATAATTGCAATATAGTAGAAGTGCCAATAGGAGCTCTATGAAGGGCGTGAAACAGGAAAGGCTACATAGAGGAGATGGCAGGTGAGGAATAAGGAGTTACTATTCTACTGGGGCATCATTTCAGTGTATGCGTGGGCATACCTGTGGCATTATTGCCCAGCCCCAATCTGTCTCCCCACAACCTGTGGGAACTTTGAAGGCTAACCAGTGTGTTTTATTTTGATGTTTGGTAGGCTGCTTTGATGATGTAGTTTATGACAGAAATGTAAGCAACAGTTTCTAATGGACATCTATTGCCTTTTCCTTATCCAGCCTCTCTTTATCCCAGACTCCTCCCCTGCAATCTCCCTCTTAGAGACCGCCTCTCTGCCCTCTCAACCCAGAGCTAGGCATGTGACTAAAGCTTGGCTAATCAAAGCATCCAGTGCCTTTGACCACAGTAAGAGCTGGAAGACTGAGCACATGGCCTCTTCAGAGCCACAGAGATGGAAGAGAATTTTTTGCTGAAACTTCTGGGAAAGAAATTAACTTTCCTGCTGGACTTTATTCATGGGAATATGCTTCAGCCATATTCCAAGGGAGATCAGGACAAACATGGTGGGCAATAATGCTAAGAGAGATTGGTCTTTCCTGGTGTCATTAATTTGGCCCCAGATCAAGCTGTGCCAGCAGCTAGGACAATCCTTGGCTTTTTCTACTATATAAGCTGATGAAGCCCCTTTTTGCTTAGGCCAGTTTGGATTGGCTTTTGAGTTTTTACTCACCCGTGGTTAATAGATCTAGAAATGTTTATGCTGAAGGGGAAAACAGCCAAGAGAAACACTAATGCATTCCAAATATTTCAAGGATATTAGGTAGAAAAAATATTAGAATATTCTGTGTGTCCCAATTGGTAGAACCAGAATTAGTGGGTAGAAGTTTCAGGTGGTCAGATTTCAGGTCAAAGTAAGAAACAGCTTTTTAACTCTTAGGGTTCTTTCCCAACGATTCAATGTGAAGAAATGAACACTTTTCTAAGTTTCTTCTAAAACAAGGAGAGTGGAAGGAACATAGCAGCTGCCCCCATGTTAAAAGCACCTCGAAATGATCCAAGGCAATTTAAAAAAAGTTGTCTGATTACCTTTACTAATGCATTGAGATTTAAATACCAGGGCTTTCATTTAGCTTTCCGTTCCTCTGTGTCGAAGAGGATGTGGTTACTTACTTACTCTTATTTCTCTAGACACTCTGTGGATTGTGACCTGTTGGTGGGCCATGAAATCAATTTGGGGGTTTGAGAGCATCATTCTTTTAATAAAACAGAAGAGAATCATCTGCAATAAGGGTAAGAATTGTTTTGTGAAACTTTTAATTCCATTTTATGAATAAAACACACATATGGAGAGGTAGTATAGAGTCATGTTTAAAGGCATGAACTTTGGAATTGTACTACTACAGTTCAAATTCTAGGTCTTCTATTTATTAACTGTTTAGAGAATGAAATGAGAGATACAGGCAAAGAATCGAGCAAGAGCCTGGTACTTAGTAAGCACTCAATAAACGTTAGCTACTCTGTTATTAGCATTATTACCAAATGGATAACTCTTAGGATCCAGAGATTGACTCCTATGGGATAGAGGTGAAAGTCTATCTCTGCTTTCCAAGTCCCCAGATTCTGCCAAACAAACTGAAACTTTCTTTATGATTTTGTTAGTGAGAAAAAATTACCAGATGTTTCCTACATCCACTGGTGGTGCCAGAGGTGCTACGTTGCCAATTACCATCAAAGCCAGTAGCAGGACCATGAAAATAACCAGTCATTAGCTTATAAACTTTCGCATTAGACAGAGGGCATGTTTATTCGTCTTTATATCCTAGTGTTTCCCTGAGTGCCTGGAAAATAACTGCTCAATGTTATTAAACAGCCCTTAAATTTGGCCTCATATCTTTTGATGCTCTTTCTGCTACCTAAAATTCCTCTGTCCTTTGTTTCATTAAGGAGTCTTTCTTGTTTTTGTTTTTTTAAAAAAAAGGAAGAAAATCAGCCCTGCTCCCCACCCCAGCCCCTCCAAAGGCTCCAGAATACTCAAGGATCATGTGTGCACACACGCATTCCACACACATATTTGATACCATATTAATGACTTTGCAATCTTCAGGGATATTGGCTGTTTTTAAGCATCTCTTACATATCCTTGTCACTGAACTTGTGATTTCCCACTTTATCTCATTCAGAACCCATGGATGAATACCATCTGGTCCTGGTGATTTACTGCACAGAGTCCCTCAAGTTGCTCCATACCTTTCTCCTGAGAGACTGAAGAATCTCTGTCAAGGCCGTTCTCTGCTTTGCCATAAAATGTGTCCTTGGAACAAGAATTTCCCCATTGTCTTCTTCAATAAATACTGATTCAAAGTATTCATTTAGCTGTTCCTCTCCTTCATCATTCCATTTAACATTCTCTTTCTCCTAATGAAAGTCCCGAACATAACAGACATAGTCACCTTACTAAAATGCCAGGGATGCTTTATTACTATTATTATTTATCTTGATGTTTCTACATGTTTTTCATATTATCTCTTTGACCTCTAACAGTTCTCAGCTGATACAGCTTGAGCTCCCATCAGAGTGTGTGGCCTATAAAGAATGTGTGCTTTTCAGTAGAGTGGCTTTAAAATAGTTATTGTTGCCAGGCGCGGTGGCTCACGCATGTAATCCCAGCACTTTGGGAGGCCAAGGCAGGAGGATCGCTTGAGCCCTGGAGTTTGAGACCAGCCTGGGCAACATGGTAAAACCCTGTGTCTACAAAAAATACAAAAATTAGCCAGGCATAGTGGTGCATCTGTATTCCCAGCTACTCAGGAGGCTGAGGTGGGAGGATTGCTTGAGCCTGGGAAGTCCAGGCTGCAGTGAGCATGATCACACCACTGCACTCCAGCCTGGGTGACAGAGAGACACTGTCTCAAAAAATATACACAAAATAAAATTTTCTAAAAAAGTTATTGTTAGTTTTTCTACTATAAAATGAGAGTATATTGTGCCTAGAAAATTTGGAAAATTTAGAAAAGTAGAAGAGAGCGCGTGTTTATAAAAAAGCACTTATGATCCTCTTCTGCGTAGATGGTGTGTTTAAGGGGCCTTCATTTGCATTTCTTTCTGAAACCTAACCTCTCTGATTTCCCTCTCTTCTTTACTTTTATTCTTGTGTGTTGTACTGTTAGGGTGATGAGAAACAGCACATTCTCTATCCCTCAAACATGGTAGGGGTCTCCTCACTCAGCCTTTATAAAGGATATGTTATCAGGTATGTCCTGCAGGCAGCCCTGGCCCCCCAAAAGCTTCAGCTACTGCACATTCTCAATTTTCATGGAATCCCATTTCCCCACAACTACTAGCACCTCACCGGGTTCTCTCTTTTGCATCGAATCCCTCTTTTATTCCACCAGCCCTGTTTGTTTACGTTCTTCTCATGGACCATCATCTCTCCTATAACTCAGCAAATTTCAGACGAATCTCATAGTAACTGACCTCTGACTTGGCCCCCAGAACTTTCTCTGATGAACATCCCCTCTCCAGTGGGCCAACTCTGACCAAGGTTCAGGACCGTTTGGAACAGAGCCATGGCAATTTCAGGCTGTTTCCTCCCAACTTCCCACTGGGCACTGTGGTGCAGTGAAAGAACCTGGCTTTGGAGTCAGACAATGCGAGTTTGAATCATGGCCTTTCACTCTTTGGGCTGGTAACTGAACCTCACTGAACTTCCTAGTCCCTCATCTGTAAAATGGAATGATAATACAGTCTACTCTTCTAGAACATAACTTTTATTTTATTATTTATCTAACACATAATGCATTCTGTGTTAGATATTATTTTGAGTGCTTTACAGATACTAATTCACTTACAGTTACAATCCTAAGAAAGTGTGGTTTATTTATTCATTTATATTAATTATATATTCATTTATAATGAAAGTTTCATTACAAAGCAATTTTTGCAATGGAGAAAAAAGGGTTAGAAGCTAGAAAGTTTCAGACTTGTCATAACAACCATTTTAATTTTTCCTGTGGGATTTTCAATATTAAAGTTTGCTTTGGAAAATATAGCTGTAAGTATTGTAGTGGGTTGAATGGTACCTCCCCCTTCCCACAACAGATATGCACACCAGGAACCTGTGAATATGACCTTATTTGGAAAAAAGGGTTTTATGCAGATGTCATTAAGTTAAGGATCTGGAGATGATGTCATCCTGTATTAACAGGGCGGGCCTTAAATCCAGTGACACACATTTCTATAAAAGACGGAAGAGTAAAGACGTGCAGACGCAGGGGAGAAGGCCATGTGAAGACAGAGACAGAGGTTAGATTGATGTAGCTACAAGCCAAGGAAGCCAAGGCTCGCAGCCAGCCTCCAGCAGCTGGAGAGGGGTATGACATGGGCTCTCCCTCAGAGCCTCCACGTGGAACCAATCCTGCCAATGCCTTAATTTTGAACCTTGAGTCCCCAGAACTATGATAGAATAAATTTCTGTTGTTTTAAGTCACCAAATTCTTGGTAATCTGTTATGGCAACCCTAGGAAATGAATAACAAGTATATTTTGTTATCGTAGGCTAAAAATCATAAATTAAGGGATCAAAACTGAGCAGAAACAAACCTAAAAGCCCCAAATTATGAACAAAATATAAAACCAGATCAAAAGCAGCGGGTTCCTGGGCCTTTAAAATAAACAGTGTCAGAGTTCATAACTACAAACGGTTAACAACAAAACAGAAGTCAACCAGCTTCCCAAACAAAGCTGCCAGATGTTGGTCTACTGGAATACCAGCTTTTTAGAGGGTGAGGTGCCAATTCCCTGTTACAATTGTGTCGTGACCATTTGAAGTCCACATGATGCAAAAACATATTCCTTGCTTAATCAATCAAGTTATATCCAGTAGTCAAGTACAAACTAGAGCAGAAGAAATCTCTGCGTATATCCTGTTTTACTACGAAGCCTACAAATGAAATCATGCAAATACAACTCCTAGGACATTTACTGGCACATAAAAAGTGTTCAATGCATGCTCCCAATTCCCTGTAGAAAGTAGCTGGTCATAGCTGGTCATCAGGAGATGCAAAGTAGGTGTTTTGTAAATATTGGGGATATATATTTCTTGCTTGAATTACCTTGCACTTTTACAACACTGAATATGCTGTTGTTTATAAACCAGGCCACAAGGCTTTCAATACACCTTGTATAAGGCAAAAATTATAATGACTAGGGGATGATATTATGATATGTTAAGGACTGATGTTTAAACTTTTATAAGTTAAAACAGAAGTGTTTGTTATTAGTGTCTTCATGGGATGAAATGAATGGAATCCAACATGATAAAACATAACATCACAGCAAACATTCAAAGATCGTCCTCATGCAAATCTTGTCCATTCATTCATTTGTCCAATCATTCAGCCCTCTTAGCTAATTATTTGTTGTGTGTCCAGAACTACATGAGGCACTCCAGAACTTAAAAATAATGCAAGTTAAGAGTCCTGAGGAACACTTGAGATAAGATGTGTAGTGTCAATTAGTGAATGAGTCTGAGATAGCAGCAACAAGGCTGCGTGATGTCATGGAACAGAGTAAGTGGCTATGGGAAGGAAAGTTTTAAGTGATATTGGAAGGGAAAGCTTTATGGATGAGGGCTTCCAAATTGGGTCTTAAAGGATCATTAGAGAACGACTTTTTAAATATGTTTGTAGCTCTGCTAATGACACACCATCCTTCCAATCTCCAAGCCTAAAAGTATTGCATGGTGCCTAGCACATACTAGGTACTCAGCAAGTATTTATTGAATGAAAAAAATAAAAGAGTGGATGAGTCATCATTGCTCCTCCATGCAGCCCCAAGGCTAATCTTCCCAATACATAGCTCTGTTGCTATCATTCACCTCCTCCAAAGCCTCAGGGATTCCCTGCTGCTGCCCCAGAAAGAGTGGAAAGTGATGAGCCCATTATCTTCAAGTCAAATAGTCTTGGGTTTGGCTTCCAAACACTTCCGATCTGGCCCCATTTCTATTCTATCTAATCCTATCTCTTTTTCATAGCTTTACTGTTCTTTTGCTACCTAAACCTAGCTATGTCACCCCTGCTGCACCCTCCAACCTCCATTCTACCCTCTGTTCTCAGAACCTGGCATCCGCCAACCTCTCCAGCTTTTGCTTTCTTGTCTGTGTCCTTTAAGCTCCTCACTGCCTGGAAGATGCCCCGTTTTTCTCTCTCCTCTGGGCCTTTGCATTTACTTGGAATGCTCTGTTTGAAATATTCCCTACCATATTTTATCCCCATCCTACCCCCCATTATCAAGCTAACTCCTCTGAATCTTTAGGGCTTCAATGCCACTTAATTCTTGAAATCTTCCCGGTCTCCCTGGGCTGTTGGGCTCTCAAAACACCTTGTACTTCTTCCGTGTAGCATACACCATACTTGATTGTAATGATTTCTTTATAATGGTGCTTTTCTTACCTAGTGGTGGTGTTGTGAAGACTATGACTATGTCTGCCTGGTTCGTGGTTATCTTTGGTGCCTAGCACAGCACCTGACCTAATAAGTATCTTCTTTTTTTTTTTCCGTTTCCTTTTCTTTTATTTTGAGACAAGGTCTCCCTCTGTCACTCAGGCTGGAGTGCAGTGGCACAAACACGGCTCACTGCAGCACCAGCCTCCTGGGCTCAAGCAATCCTCCTGCTTCAGCCTCCCAAGTAGCTAGGACTACAGGCAAGCGCCATCACACCTGGTTAGTTTTTAAATGTTTTTTGTAGACACGGTGTCTCCCTATGTTGCTCAGACTGGTCTCAAACTCCTGGGTTCAAGCAATCCTCCCATCTTGGCTTCCCAAAGTGCTAGGATTTCAGGCGTGAGGCACTGTGCCCTGCCACAAGTATTCTTTGAATCAATTAATGAGATGTGAAACCTTCTGACTGCATGATTCTGAGTGGGTAACTTTGCCTCTCTGAACCTCAGGTTTTTCATTTGTCAAATGAAAATAATAGTTGTCTCATGAATCTTGTACACTTAAAATATCACATAAATATTCACTTTTAATGACCTCCTGTGAGTATTCTCTCACTTGTCTTTCTCCCTAATCTCCTGCTTCACTCAATAATGGACAGCTGGCACCAAACTGGACTTCCTGCTTTTTCCTGAATGTGTCCTATGTTTTTCCACCTTTGTGCCATTGCTCATGATGTTACCTCTGCCTGGAATCTCCTTCCAATCATCTCTCCATTTCCAAATTTTCTCTATCTCAGCTCTGTGGAATTTCCCTCGAGTGTTTTAGTCAAAAGTTGCCTCTCCCTCTCTTTAACTTTTGTGGTATTTTATCTGTCCCCCTCCTAGAGCATCTATCACTTTCAGCATTGCATTATGGTTACTTACGTACAACTTCCAGTACAGCAAGTTCTAGAGCCAGTCTTCTTGGGTTCATATCTCAGATCCACCTCTTTATCAACTATACAATCATGGGCTAGTGAGTAAGCCTATCTAAACCTCAGTTTCTTTCTCTGTAAAATGGGGATAATAATAACATCTATCTTATATGTTCTTGGGATGGGGGACATTAAATCAGATTATGTAAGATCGTTTAGCACAACGCCAGACACATAATCAATAATTATGTGCTTAACATAATCAATCTCATCATTATTATCATCTCTTCTCCAATTAAACTGTGATTCCTGAAGGACAATGATGATATTTTTATAGGACCCCTTATTGCATCTAGCACAATGCCTGGCCCCATAGTTGGTGCTCAATAAATGTTTGTTGAATACAAGCATAGATAATAGAGACAAATATAGAAAAGTATGACAAAATAATGACCTTTTCTTTTGCTATAAGATGATGCAAATTTACTGCATTTTGGGGCTTTTTAGAACTACTGTCCCTGTAGATTTCCCTAACGAGCATGAACATTTGAAAGAGTGTCTAGTAGAATAGGCCCACTATGTTGCCATCAGTCTGGAATTTGGAAAATTGCAAGCAGAATTAAAGAACAGTATTAGAATTATTTATTCTTTCTATGCCCCTTTATTGCATTCATTTTGGGGGAAATTATCTATTCTTATTTAACAAGATGATTACATTACATATTCATGTAGAAAGAATTTTACCAATTTGTGGAAACTTTTCTCAGATGTTGCCACATGTTAGATGTCAGGCAATGTCTCATTTGGAGAGCGAAAAAACAACTAGAGCTACTGTGATTTACAGCAAGGCAAGTTCTGAATTTCCTTGGTCAAAAGAAAATGGAAACTACATTAGTAAAATATAGAGGTTCTTTCTTCTAAACAGTCTCTTATCTGGAAAATATATGTAGTCATTTGTCTGACTTAATAAGGGGATAAAGCAAGTTTCACTTATCTTAATTTTGCCTGTAATGAATATTCCAGATGAAATTTTGCTATGATATGTGACTGCTCTTTCATTAACAGATTAGATAATTGCCCTCTTGGAACAGACCAACTTTATTATTTTGCACCTTATTTAATCCTGCAATAAGCCAGAACTTATTTGGTTTGCAGAGGTCTGGTTAAAGAAAAGACACTGTGTATACTGGGCACTGAGGAGAATTCACGGGTTCCCATATGTGGGGAAGGCTTTCTGGGAGGTGACCCATTGCCTGCATGGCACAGCTCCAGAAACAGTTGAAAGATTTGATCCCATTTAACTGCGAGTTCCATTCATTCCACCTGGTCAAGGGGAGGACTTATGAGAGTTGGGAGCTTGGAAGGCAACCTGATATAGAGCTGGGGTTGACAAACTATGACCCGAGGGCAAATCCAGTCAACTGTGTTTGTACAGCTCATGAGGTAAGAATGGTTTTTACACTTTTAAATAGTTGGGAAAAAATCAAAAGGAGTAATATTTCATGATGTGAACATCATGTGAAATTCAGATTTTAGTATTCATACGTAAGGTTGTATGGGAACACAGTCACATTCATTAGTTTACGTATTGTCTGTGGCTGCTTTGTGCTAAGGTAGCAGAGTTGAGCAGTTGTAACAGAGTCCATATGGCACCCAAAGCCTACATGTTTACTATCTAGCTCTTTACGGAAAGTGTATTGACCTCTGGTGCAGAGGAAAGAGCATTAAAAACCATGGAATCCATTTTGGGGTTGAAGCCCATCTTTTCTAGTTACTAGCTCTATTACCTCAGGCAAGGTGACATTCTTTCATTCAATGAACACTGATTGAGATTTTCTTGTTTCCAAGAGATTGTGCCTGACATTAGAGATGCAGTGGTTTCTGCAGTTGAGGATCAGCAATGCCTACTTTGCTGACTTATTGAGAGGATTAAATAAAGTTAGTATTCAAAGTGCCTAGCACATAGTAGTTGCTCAATAAATGATTTTTGAAAGTCTACCAATAACCATTCTACCCTATTTTGGAAGGAAATAGAGGTGGGATGAAGAGAGGCAGAAGGATGAGCTGATGGTTAACTGGGAGTTAGACTGGTGTCTCAGGTGGTGGTATGTTTAGAAATCTAAGGGGTGAGAGGGGCATTGAGAAGGCAGGGGAAGGGAAGCAGAGACAAACAACTTCACAGTTTTGCTCCAGGACTGTTTTGTTCAGTTGTAAATTTCAGTGGGAGCCAATCTGGGGTGACACGTGGTTCCTTAGTAATAGCCACTAGTCAAAATAGCTAACACTTATTGAGCATGTGGTAAGTGCTGGGCACTGTTTAAAGTGTTTTATGCAGCAATCATAGGAGATATTGTATATTTATCACTCAAAATCACATGGCTTATAAGTGATGGAGCCAGAATTTTGAGTCATAGATATTCTGATTCTGATGCCTTTAGCCATTATACCAGTACCTTTCAAATTAGGGTCTAGGGTTTCATGGATGTATTAATAGGGGTCCTAGAGTTTTCTAGAAGAGCTTTTAAATTTAGGGCTTCCATTTTAATGATAATCCTACAAAGGAAGAGAAAAACGGCAGTAGAAGCATATTCTGAACACTCAAATTACCACCTTATAACCTAATATTGCTCTGTGGTACCTCTCTGTGAAGGCATTTGTGTTTAAATTAGATGACTTTAGTGGGCTAATGAGGAAGGAATGGAAGAAGCAGACCTAATAAGAAAATGATGTGTTGACACTATAGGAAGGTCAAATTATATTACCGCACATCTAAGGGCAAAGGTTTCATTGCAATTCTAAGAGAAAAACAGGTGGGAGAGCCGAGTCATCTCATAGCATTGAGGGCTACTGGTATGCTACACAAAACCTGGACATGTTTCAAATGGCAAGCTAGTTTTAGCAAAACTACTGCCACTATATAACTTGAACTTCATTAGCTATGTGGTTTGCTTATATTTAATTTATAAATTTGCTCTGGTTTTATAAATTGTACAAAAGCTATGTACATAAAGGGATTTTTAAATCTAGTTGTTTAAAACTAAATTTTATTGCATTTAAGTGACATTGTGATAAAAATAATTTCAGCGATTTTCCAAATAACTCTTTATTCTTATGTGCTCCTGCCTTATTTCATAATGTAAAGCTTCATTGAATGGGGGCACTCTTTAAATTCTTCCCTAAGTGTTCAAAATAATAGCCCAAAGCTGGAGAGAAGGGAGGAGAAATTTATCCCTTTAGTGTGTGGATATCCTGAGGTTATCTTTTCATGCACAGAAATATGTCCAAAAGAGAAGAATACTGATACTTCAATATGGTTATGTAAATGATTATCCTTTTTCTTTCTAATGTTATTTCAGATAATTCAATTTCCATTTGTCTGATTTTTGCTTACCAGTGAAATTCCTTCTCATCAGGGACTGATGCCTGTGCTTCTGTCTTCAGAATGGTTCTTGGCTCTTATTTACCCAGAGAAGCAGAGGGGAAAGGAACTATCAGTCCCCTCCATCCCTCCATACTGAAATTGTTACATTTATTTATAGTCTATCTCCCCCACTAGAATGTAAAGTCCATAAAGGTAGGAATTTTCTTTCATTTATTTCATTCAGGGGTTCTAAACCAGGGGCAGTTTTTCCCTAGGCAACATTTGGTAAGGTCTGGAGACATTTTTGGTTGCTAAGACTGGGGTGGGACTTGCTACTGGCCGTTAGTAGGTAGAGGCCGAGGATGCTGCTAAACATCTGACAGTCCACAGGACAGGATCCCTCCCCATCCCCAGCAATAAAGAATGGAGTTCAAAATGTCAACAGTTCTGATGTTGAGAAACCCTCTGTTCAAAAATAGTGCCTGGCAAATGATAGAGACTTGTAAGTATATTTTAATAACTGAAAAAATAATTGGCATATGCCATGTGTCAAGGAGTATGTTAGAGGCTTTTTAGTGTAGCAAGACAGTTCGTTGAGATATTAGTTTAGTTTTAATTTCCACTGTATTTTTTCTGGTCCTGCTTCTAAGTTGGTGGCTATTGGGCTTTCGCTGTCCTCAAGCTGTGAGATAGGGCTGAAAAGTGACAGAAGAAAAGTTCTCTGCTTGTCCTTGTGAAGGGAAAGTTACTGTGATTGTGGGGTTCGTCCTTGTGAAGGGCAAGTTACTGCGATTCTGTGCCCTTATGGAGATGGGGGTGTGAAGTGGAGTCCCTATAATGACAAAGTTGAATTTCTTTCCAGCCTGAAGCTGGATTTATTTTAATAAAATATTATGCCATTTATTGTATGCCTAAATTTGTAGAAAAACATTTATATATGTTATACATTATTTGATTTAAACATTCTTAGGACAACCATACAAGATAGGTATTATTATTCCCATTTTATAAATGAGAAAACTGAGATTTAAAAAGATGAATTAACTTACTTCAGATCATATGTATTATAAACGAAAAAAAATCAGGATTTGGACCTCATTCAGTCTGACTTCAAACCACAAACCAAGACTGCCTTTCTGTGAATGAAGGAGGCTTATGGGTGAAGGGATAAACCTGAGCTTCCACACGGTACAAAACTTTCCTCCTAGACTATCCTCTTTCTCACCAGAGTAGCTTTTGCTTCTAGAGATTTTTTCCCCCCAGGTGTACTGTTGATTAATACTAGCAACTACCCCACCCAAGGCAGGGAGCTCCCAGAAACGACTTTCAGGTTTTATTTCCTGTGTCATCTCTGATCCTTTAGTAGTGGCTACATGTATTGAGAAGGACTCTCAGGCTGAGTCTGGGCTAAGCTGGCAACAGAGCCATCATCAGTTAGTTGTGTCTGCTGCTGGGGCTAGTAGTGGCACACATTCCTCACATTTACATTCCCTGTGCTGGGCACTAGGGGGCAATCAAAGACGAATAAGGTCCCCAATGGAAATATCCATCCTTCAAGATTCAGCTCCATTTCCAACACCTCCAGAAGCATTTCTGATATCTCAGCTTCTCTCTCTTTCCTATTCCTGGAGCCACTGTATAGTAGGTGAGACAGAGAAATAGAATAGTATACATGAAACTTAGCACTGCTGCAGGTTAGTACTCTTCATGTATGTATCACTTCCTCAGCTGCACAATAAAACCTTAGAGCTCAGTAGGATGTGCTCATGGAGTTCCACATCTCTGCCTGGCCTAATGCAACAGGCATTCAATTAACATTGGATTAGCCCATAGTTAAATTAATTAATGAATGAGGTGTGATGCTACATACCAGGACTTTTTATTCCTATTGCATTGAGGGACATACATATAAATACATGATCCTCACACTAAGCAATGAATGCCTAGCATAGTGGGGGACCTCTGGGGCCTGTTTTAGTACCATGGTCAGCATCTGTTCTGCCTGGTTGGGGTTCTTTGCCACCTGTAGTTAAGTATTTTGAATATCTAGACTGAACATTTCAGTCGAAAAGTGAAACCACCCCCAGAAATCATCACCCCTCTTTTCTGCTTCATTCATCTCCTAGCACTTGTCCCTATTTTACATGCTCCATATTTTACTTATTATTTTATTGTCTTTCTCCCCCTCACAAGGGGTAATAATGCAATGAGGACGGGACTTTTGTCTTTTTCAATAACTGCTTATTTCAGTTATCTATTGAGTTGCCACATAAACAACCCTAAATTTTGTGGCATAAAATAACTATTTCATTATGCACACAGATTTTGTGGATTAGGAATTCAGACAGGGCCCAATAGGTATATCACTTTTCTATTGCTATGTAATAAATTGCCACACATTTAGCAGTGTAAAATATCATATATCTAATATCTCAGTTGGTCAAGGGTCTGGGCACAGTTTAACTGACTTCTCTGCTCAGGGTCTCACAATGTTGCAATCAGGGTGTTAGCCAAGCTGCATTTCTTGCTGGAGCTGAGGACCTTTTTCAAGCTCACATCGTTGTTGGCGGAATTCAGGCCCTTTAGGTTGTAGGACTGAGGTCCGTAATTTCTTGCCAGCTGTAAGCAGGGGCCCCTCTCAGCTTCCAGAGATTGCCAGTAGTTCATTGCCATGTGGCCCTTGCACAACATGGCAGCCTCCATGGCTGGCAAAAGAATCTCTCTCCTCAGGAAGGGCCAGTACCTCTTTTAAGGACTTTCACCTGATTAAGCCAGGCCCACCCAAAATAATCTTCCTATTTGTCAACCCAAACCATCTGATTTGAGCCTTAATGATATTTGCAAAATCCCTTCACCTTGCCATACAGCATAACCTAAGCATGGGAGTGATATCTTATCATAGTTATCATCCTCCCACCCCCCACTCAAAAGAGAAGGAATTACACAGGATATGAATGGGGGGTAAATTCTGGGGACAATCTTAGAATTTTGCTACACTAGAAGAAATGTCTTATCCCTGCTTCAGATGATGTCTTGGGGGTCCCGGATGGAAAAAATTGAATGACTGACGGCTGGAATAGTTTGTGAGCATATTCACTCAATTTTCTGGCCCCTGGTCAGAGAGGACTCAGAGGGTAGGCTCACTGGGACTGAAGACCAGAGGCCCCTACGTGTGGCCTCTCCATGTGACTTGGGCTTCTCATAGCATGGAAGTTGGTTCTGAGAGAAAGTGTCCCTAAATGGATCATCCCAAAGTGAATATGTCAAGAAATTAGGTGGAAGCAGCAGGACCTTTTAAGATCTCACCATGGAAGTCACATAGCATCATGTCCATGCCTCAAGCCTACACAGATTTCAGAGACATGGACCCTGCCTCTCAATGGGAGGATTGGCAATGAATCTATAGCCATTATTTTTAAAGAACTGCCACATTGTTATTTCTCTAGTAAGTATGCAATAATATTTGTGGCGTGAAAGATTTGTCTAATTCAGACTAGGATAGGATTATATCAAGGGAAACTATCTAGTGGAGACACATCTCAAATGATGAATGAGTTGAGTAGGCAAAAGTACAGGAAAAATATTTAGGCAGAGGGAACAGCACATGCAAAGTCGGAGAAACATGAAAGTACTGAGTACATTAGGGCAACTACTTCAGTATAGCTAGAGCATAGGGTGTGTGTGGAGGAGTGGAAGGTGATGAGCCTGGAGAGATGGGCAGGGGTCAGGTCATGGAGAAACTTATGGGTCATGCTGTGGAGTTTTCCTGGGATAGCTGGGAAGCCACTGAAGAGGGCCATGAGTTCAGGTAGGCATTTTAGAAAGGTTCTTATGTCTGCAATATACAGGATCAATTATAGGTAGAGAGCACAGCGATGAGGCTGCTATAGTAATTCAGGTAAGAGATGATAAGAATGAATTGTGGCCTTTGCATTGGAGATGGAGAAGAGAGGACAGCTTCCCACATGAGAGTCTCATTCAATAATTTTAGCATTTCTTTACTTTTTTTTTTTTTTGTCTTCATTGCAATCTGAATTCTTGTTCTTACTATTCATCACAGAGTATGATGCTCATCTGGAAAGCATGAGCCTTGAAACTCATTGGTATAAGTCAGGCATGGTGTACAGTGCGTCTGAGCAATACTCCCTATACAATCTTTACAGCTCAGCTTAGGGCTGGCTCCCTTGGTGATCAGTGTTGGTGATGAGATATAAATACATTGAGATGAAGCTACAACAGTCACCTTGGCTTGGGATACAGCAAGGAGATAGAATCTGATTCCTGCTTTGCTTGTGTTCAAAGCGGCATGACATATTTGTACAGCAGTGTTCTCTCTGGAGTGTCAAGTGCTTAATAAATATCACCTCTGCACATTTTTGCAAATCGAGCCAGTTGAATCCCCAGGTTTCCAGTCCTTTTTGCAGAATTTCTGAGATGAATAAGCCGCTTCTATTTCTTTTTCCCATTAGAAAATTATAAAAGGGCTGGTCTCCTTCAGGACTAGGACAAATTCTTGACTCCTTGCTGCTGATGGAGGGACAAGGACCATGACCCTTTTTATATTAATAATTGAGAAACCAGCCTAAGGGTGGGAGGAAGTCTTACTAGCTGACAAGTAGGGAAGCCCAGAAGAAAATTTGGATTACACAACATCCCATCTCAAACAACGAATGAACTTGTCATCTTTGGTATCTAAAACAAATATATTTTGTTTAATATGTGTTAAGGAAAATCTAGACACTAAGAATTCCCTCCATTCAGTTCAACTAATATTTATCAAGCACCTGGCATATGGCGAGCATTGTTCATGGTGAGTGATTGATAACGACAAAAATACCTACTCTAGTGATGATGCTGACATCCTAGTGAGAAGAGCAAATAATAAATAATAGTCATAATAAATAAATTTTAACTAAAATTATATGCATGTAGAAGTCATACATAAACTAATAGTATGTTAGAAGGTGATATGTTTTGTGGAAAAAATAAAGCATAAAGCTGAGTAAAGGAGTTTGGGAGGTCTACAGAGCATGGTTTGCAGTCTTAAATAGGGAGATCATGGTATGCTTCTTAAAGGATCTCATTTTTGCTGGGCGCAGTGGCTCACACCTGTAATCCCAGCACTTTGGGAGGCTGAGGTGGGCAGATCATGATGTCAGGAGTTTGAGAACAGCCTGACCAACATGGTGAAACCCCGTCTCTACTAAAAATATAAAAATTAGCCAGGCGTGGTGGCAGACACCCGTAACCCCAGCTGCTTGGGAGGTTGAGGCAGGAGGATACTTGAACCCAAAAGGTGGAGATTGCAGTGAGCCGAGATCATGCCACTGCACTCCAACTTGGTGACAGAGTGAGACTCCGTCTCAAAAAAAAAAAAAGATATCTTTTTTTTTTTTTTTTTTTTAAGAGGGAGTGTCGCTCTGTCACCAGGCTGGAGAGCAGTGGCACAAGCTCAGCTCACTGCAACCTCTGCCTCCTGGGTTCAAGCGACTCTCCTGCCTCAGCCTCCCAAGTAGCTGGGCCTACGGGCTTGAGCCACCACACCCGGCTAATTTTTGTATTTTTAGTAGAGACGGGGTTTCACTATGTTGGTCAGGCTGGTCTCAAACTCCTGACATCATGATCTGCCCACCTCAGCCTCCCAAAGTGCCGGGATTACAGGTGTGAGCCACCGCGGCCAGCCCTCATTTTTACTTTAAGCTCCATTCAGATGCATTTGAATGAAGGAATCTTTACTTCTTCTTCTTTTTTTTTTTTTTTTTTTTTTGAGACAGGGCCTCATTCTCATCACCCAGGCTGGAGTGCAGTGGCACAATCATGGCTCACTGCAGCCTTGACTTCCTAGGCTCAGGTGATTCTCCCACCTCAGCCTCCTGAGGAGCTGGAACCACAGGCATGTGCTACCACACTGTATTAGTTTGTTCTCATGTTGCTATGAAGAAATACCTGATACTGGGTATTATAAAGAAAAGAGGTTTAATTGACTCACAGTTCTGCATGGCTGGGGAGGCCTCAGGAAACTTACAATCATGGGAGAAGGCACCTCTTCACAGGGTGGCAGGAGAGAGAATGAGTGCTGAGCAAAGGGGGAAGTCCCTTATAAAACCATTAGATTTTGTGAGAACTCACTCACTATCACAAAAACAGCATGGGGGATACCACTCCCATGATTCAATTATCTCCACCTTGTCCCACCCTTGACACGTGGGGATTATTACAACTCAAGGTGAGATTTGGGTGGGGACACAGAGACAAACCATATCATGTGCCCAGCTAATTTTTGTATTTTTAGTAGAGACAGGGTTTCACCATATTGCCCAGGCTGCTCTTGAACTCCTGGACTCAAGTGATTCGCCAGCCTCAGCATCCCAAAGTGCTGGGATTACAGGTGTGATCCCAGCTTGGCCTGGAATCCTTACTTTTAAGCCACCTACATTGCTTAAGTTTTCTGAGCCTCACATATTTGTTGTATTATGGTGATGTTCTTATTTATACTTTGGGAAATATTGATCAATAAGACAGATGCAATCACTGCTCTCATGGTGCTTTCCAATCTAGCAGAAAGACAGACTTTAAACAGGAAACTCTCATAAGGTACAGTGGATGCTTGGAGAGGGAGAGCTTAGAGTGCTATGAGAGCAGATCATAAGGGATGTCTAACCAAATCGTGGCACCTGAGAAATGTCATTTAAGCTGAGGCCTGAAAAATAGCAGGTAAGGTGGGGTGAGCTAGGATGACAAAGAGTGTTCCAGGTAGAAGAAACAATTTGAGCAAAGGAGAGTTTGGGGCCTTTAATGATGTGACAAAGAGGATGAGGTAGATGTTGTCTGGAGAGGTAAGTAGAGGTTAAATCACACAGGGCCTGAAGCCATGTAAATTATCTGCACCATAAAGACAAAATATGATTCACAGCACATTGCATTGAGTAGGTGCTCAATAAATGATGGCAGTTAACCATATACATGATGACAGTAGTAATAATCAATTAGTTCCTAACCTTAAACCAATTGAAAGTTGGTGTCATTGTTTTATCTTCTGGGTAAGGTAAGCCTCATGGTGGTGCTAGCAGGCTGACTTGGGTTGGTGTTTAAGGGAAAGATAAAAAGATATTTTCTTTCTTGACTTCTCAGCCCAATATACACAATCCCTGGTAGGGTGATAAAGGAAAAGAATTTGAAATTGGAGACAGATCTGGCTTTCAGTGTTAAGTCTGACACTTCCTAACTCTGTGACCTAGCACAAGTCTTTCACCTCTGTAGACCTCAATGACTTTATCTGTAAAATGGGAATAATAATACTCTTCACTCTCAAAAGGCTGATGTGAGGGTCAAATGAAATGATATGTGGGAAATTTTATTGTAACTTCTGAAGTGCTACAGTTTACTTACTCTTGGGTATACTGATGGAAAAAGATCCTAAGAAAGGGTCTCCTCTTTGTATTTTCCCCAGATCAGGTCTTTTCTATTATAAGTGCAATATAGTTCAACATATATCTCAGGGCTGTGCTAATGCTTTCTTTGATTTGTAAAGGAAATATTTGTTTGAGGCCCCTCTTAATTACGGTGCTGCTCTAAAATTCAGTGTATGCTGAAAACAAATACAAAATCAGGAACGGGGTGGTTAAATCATGCAACATCCATTCACACTTCTCCACAAATAATGGGGGCCTGTTTAGGTGGCAATAGACCAGTCTAATATCCCCCATATTACTGTAATTATTAACTACTACTCCTAAAATCTATCGAGTTATCATTATTGTTATTATTATGAAACTCAATCCCATTTCCATGTCATAAAGATAAACCAAATCTCATTTCAATTAGTTACAGCAGGAGGGAATGAACTTTAAACAGACATTTAATTTCTGAAAAAAAATTAGGAAGTTCTTCATGGAAATGTTATGGCATTTTGAAACAGATTAATAGTTCAGTGTGAACACATCCACCCTGCAGCTAAATGATGGGTGTATGATGATGAGGAGACAGGTTAAATGAGCAAAACCAGTTGATACCACTGGTTTGGATCTAATCAAATAGTATTCATTTTATGACTCTTTAAAGCTATTCTTTTTTTTTTTTCATTTACTTTACAGATTGAATTATTGGTCTTACATTATGGATGTATTTTATTTATTAAGGGAAAGTAGTTGACTTTCAGAGTGATAATAAAATTTAACAAAATATTCCCAAACTAGATGCTGTGGAAAGACTCAAATATTTCCCCAAAAGGTCATCCTGCGAAACGACATCCCAAGATGTCGACCTGTAGTTTAGGCGGGGGTAGACGGTGTCTGGAGCTGATTCAGAAAGCTTGCCCATTCTTTTTTTTTCTCTTTTTTTATTAACATTCATTTCCAAGAGTGTGCCCACTTTTCAGCAGCTGAACATGACAAGGGGAAAAGGTTTCAATGATGAATTCTTGTGTGTGTCTGTAAATTTCATGCTTGTGAAGTTGGATTAATAGCAAGGGAGACTGAAGTCCTTTTGTTCTTGCACAAACAGCTACAAAGCAGAGAGCGACAGTGTGAGCGTCCCAGTCTAGTAAGGCCTGGAGGCATGACTGGAGGGACCTCACAGTCAATCTCTGGCCTCTCTTCTGAGGCCTAATTATGGCATTTGTTCCACTGGACCTTGATGGAAACCACGAAATGAATGTCAGCAAGACTTCACATTTCTTTCAGTACCCATGAAGGCTGGGTTTCAATGAAATCTAGATTTAAATACGTTGCCATGGAATCGCCATCCAAGGCCTTTACATACTTTCTAGTTCTCAGGGAAACAAAATATAAGCTAACCTGGCTGGTGCATGGTTACCGAACGATTGGTCTTTGGATCTCTGGAACACAATTCTTTGCTCCAAGGTACTGGAATTTTTGCTGGATGTATGATGGGTTTCAAAACTTCTGTTCCTGGAGAGGAGAGACCATCTCACCGTGCTACACTGTTGTAAAAACAACGTGTCCTTTTGGAGGGATCTGTTGTGCACAACTGAGATAAAGTTAATAAGGCCTTGACTTTGTAATCTAATATTTTTTAAAGGGGCTCGAAGTATTTCGTCTAATTGAGTTTAGTACATATTCTTTGTGTTCTACTAATTAGGTAGCCTAGTGGCTAGGCACGGTGGTTCCTAAATGAGAGCTTGTTTTCAATAACTCTTTCAGAAAAATGAGAAAAATAAATACAACTTAGCAAGCTTTTCTATAAAGCCAAATGTATTCTTCTACTTTAGGTATTAAAAATATCCTTTCTTTTATGAAGTGACACAAATGGTAGATGGTAGTTTTTTATTTTTATCTTATTTTATTTTTTAAACCACTTTATTGAGGTATGCTCGACATGTAAAAAGCTATACACATTTAATGTATGCAACTCAATATGTTCGGGGATGAGTGTATGTCTGTGAAACCATCACCACTATGAAGACCATAAACATATCCATCACCTTCCAACATTTCCTCTCACCCCCTGTATTATTATTATCCTTATTTTTTTGTGAGTTGTAAGAGCACTTAACATAAGATCTACTCTCTTAGCAAATTTCAAGTATACAATATGACATTGTTAGCTATAGGCACTATGCTGGGTAATTGGTTTTTTAAAAATGCCCTTTACCAAATACAAAAGATGGTACATTTAGGTTTATTCTCATATTTCTAAAAAAAAGTTTTGTTTTGTTTTTTTTAATATTTAGGTCAGCAAAATTCCCAAATCTGAAAACCCTGACTTAGAGCAAGGGCTTTGGGGTTAGAAAGATTGGCTTCTATAACTTACCAGCTATTTGACCATGGGCAAGATAATTACTTTTTCCAAGCCTTGATTTTTCTCATTTGTAAAGTGAAGATCAGAGTACCTATCTCAGAGATATTATGAACTAATATTATTCATAAAAGCCAAAAATTGGGAACAGTCTACATGTCCATTAACTGGTAACTGGATAAACAGGCTGTGGTATACCCATGCAATAAGTGAAACATTATTCAGGAATGAAAATAAATAAATTACTGATACATGCTACAGCATGGATGAACCTCAAAAACATTATGCTAAATGAAAGAAGTGAGATACACAAGACCAGACATTATATTATTCCATTTATATGAAATGTCCAGAAAAGACAAATCTATATATAGAGAAAGTATATTAGTGGTTGTCTGGAGCTGAGCATGAGAAGAGGGATTGACTGCAAATAGATATGAAAGATCTTTTTGGAATAATGAAATTGTTTTAAAGCAGGATCCTGGAGTATGGTTGCACAACTAACTGCATGCTTACTAAAACTTACTGAATGATGCACTTAAAATGGGCAAATTTTGGGTATATAAATTTTACCTTGGTAAATCCGTTTTAAAATATTTTTTTAAAGAATTGAAAGAAGAACTAATATCTGTGACACACCTAGCTCAGGGATAGTACATAGCATATGTGCAATGAAGAGAGCTAGACCTACGGGACTGTTAAGCCAACATTTCAGAGAACTCCTTCCACCATGTCTTGTTGGACTTCGCATGAGTGGGAAATTAATTTAAGCTACTGTGACTTCAGCATCTATATGTAACTACAGCTAGTATAGTTCCTACCTGCAAAAAAAAAAAAAAAAATGCAGGCTGGCTGGGGAGACAATACCATAAAATAATTAGATGTTGAAATAAGGCATGTTAGGATTAAATGTCAAAATGAGTCATACTATGGTGGCTGTTTGTCTGGAACTTCAGAAGAAGGTAAGGTCTCTATTTTCAGAGGGCAGGGTCCCTACACTGGATCTTGAAGGATGAGGAAAAAAATCAGACAGAAAACAATCAGACAGGAAGAGATAGAGGAATGTTCTGGGAAGGAAAAGTAGAAGAAGCACAGTCACAGAAAAATGTCAACCATGGCCACTCAGGGAGCTTCATGGGGAAGAGTTTGGCCTTGGGAGGTAGACAGACTTGGGTTCAAATTCTGGCTCCACCATTTGCAAACTGGGCAAGTAATTTAATCTCTGAAACCCAGTTTCATTAACTATAAAGTGATGATAATAATACCTTTCAGGATTAATGTTAGTATTAAGCGAGATATCCTACATAAATTTTTTAGTGCAATGCCAGCCTTATAGAAAATATTTAATAAACACAAATTTCCTTTCCTCTTATGCCCTCACGGAGGTGATATTTTAGTTATGGAAGAAACACATACTGGGAATTATTTTTTAAAAGATAATATCAGATAAAACCAAGCAATTGATAGGGTTAGACTTTTTTACTCACTTGAAGATCTAGTTCATCTCCCAGTGCATCCTGTATTTCTTCTTGACAATGTTCATGACAGTTTTTGAAAAATCAGGTCTTGGCTGGGCATAGTGGCTCATGCCTGTAATCCCAGCACTTTGGGAGGCTGAGGCGGGTGGATTGCCTGAGCTCAGGAGTTCAAGACCACCCTGGGCAACATGGTGAAACCCCGTCTCTACTAAAATACAAAAAATTAGCCGGGCATGGTGGTGCACGCCTGTAGTCCCAGCTACTCAGGAGGCTGAGACACAAGAATGGCTTGAGCCTGGGAGGCGGAGATTGCAGTGAGCTGAGATCACGCCACTGCACTGCAGCCTGGGCAACAGAGTGAGACTCAGTCTCCAAAACTAAAATAAAATAAAATGAAAAATCAGGTCTTATGATGTAATTTACATGTAACATACTACACCCATTTTAAGTATACAATTCAGAGTTTTGAAAAATTTATACATTGCCACAATCAAGATACAAAACATTTATGTCAAATATCAAAGTTCTTTCATACCCCTTTGCAGTTTATCCCTCCCTTTGACACCTGGCCACAGGCAATTCCATGTGTTTTCTGGGACTATTTGGTTAGTTTGCTCGTTCTAGAATTTCATATAAATGAAATCCCACTATGTGTATTCTTTTGTGCCTTGCTGCTTTTGCTCAGCATAACGTTGAGATATATCCATGTTGTATTTTAGTAGTCTGCCCATTTTATAGATAAGTAATATTCCACTGTATGGATATACTGCAATTTGTTTATCCATGTATTTGCTAATGGAAATATGGATTGCTTGCTTCAGTTTTTAGTTAAATGAATGAAACTTCTATAAGCATTTGAGTGCAGTCTTTGGTAAATATATAGTTTCATTTCTCTTGGGTAAATACCTAGAAGGGCAGTTGCTGTGTCATACAGTATGGTTAACTTTACAAGAAACTGCCAAACTTTTCTGAAGTGGTTGTACCATTTTACATTCTCACCAGCAGTATACAAGAGTTTCAGTTTTTCCACATTCTCATCCACACTAGGTCTTGTCCATCATTTATCCATTGTAATGCATGTGCAGTGGTATATCACAATTTTAATTTTCATTTTCCTGATGTCTAATGATGTTGGGCTTATTGGACATTTGTATATTTTCTTTTGTGAAATATCTGTTCAAGTCTTTTGTCTATTTAAAAATTTGGGGTGTGGGCTGGGCATGGTGGCTCATGCCTATAATTCCAGCATTTTGGAAGGCCGAAGCAGGTGGATCACTTGAGGTCAGGAGTTCGAGACCAGCCTGGCCAACATGGTGAAACCCCATCTCTACTAAAAATACAAAAATTAGCTTGTTGTGGTGGCAGGTGCCTGTAATTCTAGCTACTCGGGTGGTCTAGGCAGGAGAATGGCTTGATCCCAGGAGGTGGAGATTGCAGTGAGCCTTCGCTGCACTTCAACTTGGGTGACAGAGTAAGACTCTGTCAAAAAAAAAAAAAAAAAAGAAAAGAAAAAGAAACAAGAAAAAAGAAAAAATTGGGGGTGTGGTAGTTTTAATCATTTTTAAATGTGTGTCTTACATCCAAGACTATAGACTTTATGAGTTATTGCATCCCTAGGCTCTGCCACAATTTCTGGTAAATAATAGAGATTCAATATGTATTTGCTGAATGACTGACTTGGTTGATGTATGGTTTTATTAGAAGGAGTGAAGTAGCTCTGTTAATGCTAGTCTTCTGTTTATTTCTTTCGGAATCAGGAGAATCACCGAAAACTGTTAACTCTTCCTGGTGATTTAGTACTGAGTTCCTTGAGGTGGTCATCTGAAAACTCCAAGTTTGAAACAAGAAAGAGTATCATCATAATTATCAAACATTTATTAAATTCCCCCCATGTTCAAGGCACTATCCTAGGTGTTTGGGCATGAGACCTGATTGTTGTCCACAGGCAGCTTATGAATCTATCTGGAGATATTAGACACAGGGATCTATCTATACAAGGACCATACTCAGAAGTCAGATAATGAGGGAGTGATATAGGCAGTGGTTCCCAACTCATGAGTCTGGGAACTCCAGAGGAATGGAAGACAACTTCTTGCTTGGGGAATTGGGAAAGGAGGAGGTGGCATAGAAAATTAGTCTGGAGGACTGGGATGTTTTAGGATAGAAGAATAGTGAAGAGCACCACAGGCTGGAAGAGGAAATGAGATGGCTTGAGGAAAAGCAGAGGTAGAAAACGTCAGAGAATGGCCTATAGCCCAACTTGAAATAAGACTGGAGAGTTGGTTGGGCACTGTGGAAAGAACCTTCAATGTACCTGCCTTGCTTAGTTCCTGGGGAAATTTACTCTAGAATTGAAAAAGGCTTTTTGGAGGAAAACTCAAAACGCAAATTCTTTCTTTTTTTTTTCTAGTTAATAGTAAGTGGCAAAAACTCTATTCAGAACATAATTAAACAGATTAGCTCCCGTGCTCTGAACTCCCATAACACCTTGTATTTCAACATTCTCTATTTCAACATTCACTGTGTTTGTGATTTACATGGTTTGAGGCTTTTGCACCTGCTAGGTTATAAGCTAGATGAGGGCAGGAAATGTTGGTTTTGCTCATTGTTGTACTTCCAGGGCCTATGTTTGTCTAATGAACAAGTAAATAAATAATGAAATTTGTTTCTGAGATTTAGAATGTTTGCAATAAAATATTTGTGAATTTCTATAGCTGTTATAATAGTAAGCTAGCCAATTGATGGGAATGTTTAACTGATTTTTTTTAAGTTCTGGATTTTATTCCAGTTTGTATTTTTTAGCAAGAATCTTTTCATTCTGTAATAATAGAGCTATCATTGATAAGTCCAGTCACTCTGTGCCAAACATTGTGTTAAGATGTTTTCTATACAAGATGAGAAAACTGATGTCAAGAGAGACTGAATTATTTGCCCGTAGTTCATAGTAAGTGGCAGAGTTGGTGTGGATTCAGCAAAGTTCTGCTTTTCTCTGAGATTGCTGAGATTGGAGATGGGAGATATTTTAAGTTAGGTGGGATCAGCTGGGGTGCTAGCACGGATTGGTTACAGTGGATGTCCAGCCTAAATTTGTACCTTCTTGCTTTATAAATTTTGTACACCTTAAAAATTATATGTGAAATATCTGCTATTAAAAAAAAAGAAGACAGAATTCAAGGGGAATTAATGAGACATTTTCTCTATGCATTAATTATATTATAGGGACATGTGATTTTAGAAATTGTGTTGGGTATATCCCCTGAAGGCAATCTTTAGGCTAAAGTTTAAACACTCAGGTAACTTCCTTTCCATATTTTTAGCTGGCTTAAGGAGATATTTTTCCATGTTTTTTCTAGGTATTTTGCAGACAAAGTCTGTGTGCTTCCATGCGCACACATGTGCTGGCATGCTTCTTTAAAGCAAATAGTTTTGGTAGTGTAAAAACCATATTTGAAGTAAGCCATTGGATTTGCCACATACCCTATAAGCCTTTGAGCAAAATTCCTGAAATTCAGTTAGTGGGCATTCACTTAGAATTTTCTGAAGAACAATTTCTCTGTAAATTATTAACTTTTTATTGCCACATTTCCCAGATTCAATTAGATTAACATTTAGTGTCATTTCTCAAACAGAAATAATCATCCTAATTATGCTTTGAAGAAAGAGCTTGCATGTTATGTACCTTTCAGGCTTTTAATTTATCTTATTTATTTGGCAGGTATGTGTATGTGTGCTGGGGCTGAGAGAAGCTGGAAAGGATGACACTTGATGGGAATTGATAAGTTGAAAATCATTCAATATTGAGTTTATGGCATTTGGTTTTCTCTGCCGAGGGCATATCAGAGAGCTGATGAAATGTGCGGGCTAAAGAGGCTGAATTCCCTAAATGGCTTCTGAATACAACATTTATTTCTGGCCAGTAAAGTTTAGCAAACCATGTCCAGTGCTGTTGACAAGTAGCACAAACCGAGTGACAACAGCAAGCTTTTGATGTGTTGGCTAAGGTAGGCTTTGGAACTTACTGCTTTACTGCCTCCCCACAGTATGTGGCAAAGTCTAAAGGAGCAGCAATGGCCACACCAAACCCCCTTGCTATGGTAGCAGCTACTTCAAACATAGTTTCATGAATAGGAGCTCATTTGACCCTTGACCAGAACCAGGCTCTAAATTGGCAGACAGAGAATCGGAGTAATTTGTATCATTTCAATTAGTTACTCGCTGCATAACAGGGAGGTCATGACTTTCTGCCATGATTACTGCCCATGGCAACCAAGCTTGAATGTACCATCAGTTTCCAAATACTTTCACTTAATAAATGTAGGTTCATAAACAAGGCTCGATTGTTGGGGGTGCACAACAAAGTGAATTATCCACTCTGCAACTGAACGAGCGGAAGATGACATAACTTTGGCGGCAAGATCCTTTCAAATTTTTTTTTTTTTAAAGAGAAGCTGATAAATGGGGTTAATAACATTGGCTGAATGAGCAGTATTGATCTTTGGCTATGTAAAACAGCCAGGAGAGAAGCAAGTTTGTGTAAGAACACTGTTGTAGTTCTGAAAGCCGGCAGTTTTCTTTCACTGTTTGCTCTGTACAACCAAAATCCAAAAATCTTAAAATCAATGTTACCATTGTCAGGTCCAAACAGCACACCCTTCCACAGACAATGCAAAGAATTTCAAAATATAGATAGCTCCCTGATACATACAGATCTGATTGTAAGAAACATTGGGTTGTTTTCTTTCTTGAAAGAAAGGGCAGCTTGTTCCAGGGTGAAAACAATGGTGTGTCTAGATGCCTGTGAAACTTCATGAACCCAGTGCAATAATTCAAGCCTTTTATTTGAAAAATGTTTTGTATGTCTTCCTCCACATCTGCAAATACCTCCACTTTCCCTTGATGCCAGCCAAGAGTTGTTAGCAAGTCAATGTTTTCCACTTGAGGAAGAAAAAAAAAGTTCAGCACGTACATAAGTTTTGCTATTTGGCTTTTGTTTTTTGAATTAAAATAAAGGTTTCCTTCTTTCATGTCACAATCTATTAGCCACCAGGAAACCTGGTATCACAGTTCTCTCCCATTCACCCCTGCATTTGTAGCAGATTTGACGGTGTGTGGAAACCAACATGGGCACTGCTCTGTGACTGTGTCACCTACAATCAGCTTGTGCTGTGGCTCAGATTAATCATGACAGTAGGCAATATTTCCAACATTATTAGAAGAGAAACCTAATATTTTGGGACATCAGGGATCTCTGAGCTGTTGTCCATCAAACTAAGAACCTTCATTTCCTACTCCTTGGATGGATAACCTTAAGTTTTAACCACTTAATGGACAAAACTCTTCTTTAAGCAAAAATAAATAAATAATAATTTAAAATTAATAGAAAAAGGAGGATGTGGCTATTCTGTTATTTAAAGGTGTGTCTTGGGGTCATCCTCAAGAGATTTGATAGTCATGCTCTCCAGGAGCGGATGCTCATTCTTTCTCGAGATGTATCCACTCAGTGTCTTGGGTTTTCCTGAATTTTCATCCTTATGGTGCTTTGTTACTAAGTCTGTGAATGATTGTAAGATGATGATCTCTACACTACTGTTGAACTTTTATCTAATACAGCTTATATCATATAAACAAAATGAAGGTTTGCCAAGGAAGTCACATGAACAATTTACAGGAAGGAGATTTAGGGATTTAGATATTTGAAGGATGCTTATTAAAAAGCTACATTATTTAAATATGGATTAAAGACATGTATGTCGATGAACACAATTAAATTTGACAGTACTATTTAGAAAATGTATGGTATTTAGGTCCATATTTACCTGCTTGAGTGTACTTTTCCCCTTTTTTCTGACTTATATGAGTTTACATGAGCATGACTGAAAACTGCATACTCTACTGGTCTTCTTAAGCTCTGATGTTTCTTTGCAGTTGAAAAAAAAAGAGAATCTGATAAAAATGCGTATTCTGTAGGGACCATACTATCATTTACAGCTTCCTCAGTGGTCCCAAACTCTTTTGGATTAGACTTTTATTGAATATCTAATATATTCTAGGCACCAGGAACTTTAAAAATGTCTTCAGACATTCATACCAAGACAGTACTGTATGCTTTGATAATTTGGATCCTGTCGTATAATGTCCATTCCATTTGTTTAGCTCAAAAGTACAGGAAACCAGAGCAGCCAGAGATCCTTTCCGAACTTTTGGGTTCCTCTTTTAGTCCTTTCCCTCCTAGCCCCTAGAACAGAGTAAGTTCTCAATAAGCATGTGTGGAATGAATAATTCTCTGAGCTCATGTACAGGCAGTCTTACCAGAAAGAGACCAAAGTCTCCATACCTCTCCTTGCATTTCAGCAGGTTGTGGTGTTTGAAAGGCTTAACATTTTACAGGTACTATCCAATTAATGAGATCACACCCAGCTTTCTCTGGCAACCTCAGGAAAAGAACCTGATAAAGCTCAGGACTTTTTTCAGGACATTTCTTTCCTTTTTAGGCTTCGGCTGATCCCAGGTCTATCCATCATCATTTTATCTTTGAAAGTTGGTTCATTTGTCTTGTTCCCTTAGCTCTGTCACCTCAAGCTTCGAAGATTGGGTCCTGATTTCTTGCATGTGGTCTTTCATTGGCCTACTCCCTGCTGGTACCCACTCCATCATTCTTGCAGCTATTTGATCTTCTCAGTTTTCTACATGTCAGACTGTGCCCAGCCACCTGATGGTTTTTGGTTCCAGATTCCCCATTCTCTCTCTGGCTTGTCATTCCATTACTACGCCAAACTTCATTCTGTTTTTTATCCTTTTAATTAGAAACAAAAAATTTATTACATTTTTAAATTACAAAGCAGTGCTTCGTTATAGAAATTTTAGAAAAGGAAGAATAAGCACATTGAAAAATCAAAACATCTTCCACTGCAATCCCACCATCTAGAGAATATGACTGTTGCCATTTTGGAATAAGTTTCCAGTTTGTGGGTTTTTTTCTTCTATCTTCCCTCCTTCCATCCTTCTTTCCTTTCTTCCTTGTTTTCCTCCTTTTTTTCTTCTTCTCATAGATTTTTGGGTGATTTCAGACAGTTTAGAAAACTATTGGCTCCTTGGGCATTTTTTCTTCTCATCAAAAGCATTACTTTTAGTATTTTTCTTCAAAGATTATCTCCAAATGCTATAAAATTCCGTTTTCTTCTACTGCCTCTGTAATTTTCCTTCTCATTTCCTTCTCACAGTCTCAGGCCTGCATAAAATAACTCATGGTTTAATATAATGCATGTTCTCCATACCCTTTTTGGTTTGGCTTGCTTGGGTGTACTCTGTTATGAAGTTTTAATCTTGTAATAAGATTGTAATCTTCTCTGCTTTTCCACACTTGACTGTCACTTTTTTTCTTTCCTTTTTTTTTTTGATAGGAAAAAATATAGGGTATTTTGAGCCCTTATGCCTTATAAAACCCTATTATTGGTTTAGCTACCAAGGAACATGGGATATAATACCCAGATTACCCTTGTTGACTTTCTTATTAGTAAGGAGACTGTGTATGTCATCATGATGTCAGGCATTTTTCTATAAGGAACAGGCTGGTTTCACCCTATATGCCTCCTTGATTGTTCATTCATTCATTCATCCAGCAAAAATTTCTGGAGCATCTTCTCTGTCCAATAAAACATAATTAGCCACAAATGGAACCTGCATATATAATTTAAATTCTCCTAGTAGCCACATTATAAAAGGAAAAAGAAGCAGGTAAAATTGATTTTGATAATATATTTTATTTAACCCAAATTATTAAAAATATTATATATAATAAATATAAAAATTATTAATAAGATTTTTTTCCCAGCTGTCTTCAAAATCTGGTGTTTATTTTATGCATACAGCACAAATCTCAATTTGGACTAGTCCCATTTCAAGGGTTCGGTAACCATATGTGGCTGTGGCTACCGTATCAGACAACACTTTTTCAGAAACTTTTGCTGGGGATTCTATGAAGAGCATGGCAGATGTAGTCCTCAGTCACATGTAGTTTATACTTTGACAAGGAGAACAACCTTTATGTAAGTGATTGTTAATACAACAAATACAATAAAAGTAAACAACAAGCAAAAGCCAGGCAAAGGAAAGTGCAAGTCCAGTCTGTTACATGCCCAAACTATTCTGAAGGGGCAGGAGGACAAGAGACACAAGTTGTCTTTATTTCTTCCTCTCACTGGCTTTGAGATTAACTAATTGTGTGATCTCTTCTTTCTAGACTCAGATCTGAATTATTACCCACTGCTCCTAGACTCTGCAGAACCTACATTGAAACAAAACAAAACAATCTACATTTAGCCCCTCTGCCCCACTGCCTCCCATAATTATTATCTGAAGGTCTGTATCCCCTGCTGGATTGTAAATAATGTGAGGCTAGAGACTCTGTCCCATTAATCTGTTTCTGTCTCTTCAGCACCATCACAGTATAATAAGCCTTCACTTCATACTTTTAGAATAAATGAATGAATTGAAGATGTGAATGAAGAATGAATGAAGACTTCCCACTTAAATCTCTTGTTGGGATTACAGTTCATCTGACATTTTACATTGTCCTGTATGGTAAACTTCTCCCTGACTCCCCTTTTCTGTTTCCTCCTTTCCTTCTTTTCTGTAATTTCATAACTATTTAGCTAAGGTCTGATTTTTTTTTAAACTCAGCTGCCCAACTATCACTAGTCAGGCCTGATTCTTTTGTCCCAGGAATTGTGCGAGGCAGTGTGTATGCAAGATGAAAAAAGACACAGTCGCTGCCCTCAAAGAGCTTAGAGGCTTTTAATGTGTTACTATAAATAATACCAGCTAACATTTACTGGGTGCTTTCTTTGTGCCAGGCATTGTTTCATACTTTATTATGCATATTTTATCTTTTGTTGGGTATTATTTTATTCTCATTTTGCAGCTGAGGAAATTGAAGCCTAAAGAAGTTAAATAATTTGCTGAAAATTCCATAGCTAGTAAGTGTTGGAGTTGAGATTCAAACCCAGATTACAGCCTATATTCTAAACTAAACCACTGCACTAAAAAACCTCCTGAATCTTTAGAGTCCCTGAGATGACCTATTACACATTATGCGAAATTAGATAAAGTGTCATCCTTAAAATGAATAACTAGTTAGATATTAATATTTTAAAAATAATAAAGGGAAGTGAGATCTATCTCCTTTCTAAATTCCCTGAGGAATTATTTCTCAGGCCACTTACTTTATGCCCATTTCTATTATATATATAATATTTATATTTATACACATGAAATATAAAAGACATATACACAGCAGTTCTGAGACACTGAGTCACATGCCTGGTAGATGGTTGACAATTTTTCATTGATGAGGTTCATTCTTTTCAAAGCCACAGTTACCCTTGAAACCTCAACTGTAACCATGAAGATTCTACTAATTCAGTTATTTTGCTGATATCTTCCTGTCCTAAGGGTGTTTATCTTCCATTCATTCCCTCACCCAGCTTCTGATCGCTTCCCTCCTTCCCCCATGTTATTCTTTGTGTGTAAGGCTCCCTTAGGAATTTATAGAGCAAGACCGCACTCATTTTTCTCTCTTATTTTTTTAGGTAATAATTTTCCAATTCCTCTCTTCTCTTGTCCTTTTCATCCTTCTTCTCAAGATGTGAGTTTTATTTCCACAAATGTTTGATTCCTTTCCTGGGATTCCTTGTCCCTCTTCCATTCAAGAAAATACTTGTCATTTAATTCTGCAGAACAATGTTGCAATATGATTATTTTTTCTTTAGAAAACACTAAATAGAAACAAAATAATATGAAGTTCAAAATAATGATCTGACTTTTCGATATAAGTTTTTGAACAACTTGTCATCTCAAACTCATTTTTTTTCGTAAAACTGCGATAACTTATTTTCCAATTTGTCTTACCTTTGTGACTTTCTCGTTTCTGGAAGGTGGTATTCTACAGCGGTTAAGGGCATGGGGCTTGGTATCAGAAGATCTGGGTTCAAATCCAGTCTCCTACTTGCTCCTGGGCCATCTTTCTACTTGTGTTACCCTCTCATGCCTCAATTATAGCCATATGATACAAATATTATCATCTTTATTTTTATAGATGAGGTCATCTTTATTTTTATAGATGAGGTCATCTATAAAATGAGGTCACCTACAAAAATAAAGATGATAATATTTGTATTATATTGCTAAATTTTAGTACTTACTTGCTCTAAGTACTTCTCTGCTAACATTCAATCTTTATGACAATTCAATAAAGAAGGTATTATTATTAGTTACATTTTACAGATGCAGAGATAAGGCACAGAGAGGTTTTTTTTCAATTTGACACTATAGCACAAGCATTTTTCATGTTGACATAATTTGTAATGGCTTTGTAAACATATATTTTAATGGCTACATATTATTTCATTGTCTACTTATTCCTTAATTTACTTAGCTCTTGGTTTATCACTTGACACTTGAATTGTTTTGGATTTTTTTCTATTATAAATACATGTCATTGTGATGAACATATTTGGACATAAGGTTTTCCCATAATGCTGAAAATGTCTTTGTCAAAGTTTCAAAAAGAAGAATTAGAGTCCAAGGGCAAAAACACTTTTTTCAGGCTTTTGCAGCCTATTGCTAACAATTATTTTCTAAATGGTTGTTTAAGTTTACACTTCCATTGTCACAAGAGTGTCTGTTTTATTGCAGTCTCCCCAGGTCAAAGTCATCCCGTAAAGACCTAAAGAACAAAGGTTAAAAACCCTGTGCCGTGCATAGTGTCTTTCCTGCTACCTCAAAGAATGAGTGGCCTTTTCCACATTGTCAGCCAGCTTGCATTGACCTAATCATTCCTGCCAGCTTCATTCGTAAGCTACCAGATAATGGTCAGATGCAATTTAACCTCAATGGAAGAGTCTTGTTTTAAACGTTGATGTTAAAGATTATGCCTCCACTATCATGTGGACAATTAGGGCCTTTATTTGGCAAAGTCCAGCTAAATTGGTAGATTTTTAAAGACCAGGGTGTAATTCATAAAATAGAATGACTGTGAGTATTCTAATTGCATTCTTAACCTGAGATGTAATGAACATTTGCTGCTTTGGAACAGAGCAGAGATTGTGGCAAAGTGTCTCCGTGAGTTTCTCTTCTTTTCTTTCTTTCTTCTTTTTTTATTTGAAAAGATGATGTTAATTCATTAGGTCTACAAGTGTGGCTTCTGAGGGCAGAATTTATGTTCTTCATACTAGCTTTGTGGACTTGGACAAGCCATTAAACCTTGCCAAGCCTCTATTTTCTCATCTGTATAATGGGACTAATAATACCTGTCACTTAGGGCTTCTTGAAAAATAAAGATAATACTTTTGAATTCTTATGGTGGGTGCTCAACTCATGGTTTATTGCATGATTGAAATTCTGTTGCTTCTGTAAAATAATCATTAGGATTATTTTTTTCTTGAAGCCATTTTTGTCCAGACTAGATATTAGTTGATCTTTAGCTTTGAAATCCAAAGGGTTGTTAACTAGTCTGCTAAACAAAATATCTAGGTCTTTAATATCCCTGGAGCAATTGCTTATACCTCCAAAGAAAAAGCACAAATTAAACCAGGAAGAGTGCTCTCAGACTTCTGCTTACATTGCTTTAATAAAATAATTTTCATAATAGAAACACCTATTAGAGAAAAAAAAGTCACAGCCCAAGAAAGAAAACTTCATGGAACTCTGGTGTCTGAATCATGTGTAGGAGTGTGGCACTCTACTTCGACTTCTTGGCACTTTATCTAAAGCAAGTACAGGCTTTCAACAAAAAACATCCATCACCAAGATCTACCAGCAGCCACTTCTAACTTCATTTCATCGTTCGTTTCTTTTTCCCCTGCTCTTTAGTCAGAAAAGGTAAATCAAGAACAAATGTTCCAGGATGCAAGAGAATGGCCATGACCACAAAAACCACCACCACATAAACAGCAATCCTTTACATTTATTAAGTGCCTACAAGCTGCTGGGTCTACGTTTAAGCGCATTCCATATCTTGTCTTTACCAGCTGCTGAAAAATAATAGTAATTATTCCTAATTTACAGAGGATTAAACTGAGCCTCAGGCATTTAAGTGACTTACCCAAAGCAAGTGTATATGAGACCTGGAATTTAAGTCCCGATCTTACTGACTGATTTCTTGGGTCTCCCCCAGATCTCTGAGGGTAAAATTCTATGAATAATGTAACTGAAAAAAGAAAGTGTTACAGAAATCAACAGCAGGAGAACACCCTGTAGATTATCTACACTAACCAAAACTTTCTCTGTATAGTTAAGGAACTTTCCAGAGATCACACAGCTTACTCTGTGGCCAAGCGAAGACACAAGTGCCTATCATTTGCTGTTAACTTTTTAAAAACAAATTTATTACAAAAAATTTTAACCATATACAACAATAAAGCTAATACCATAATGAATGCCCTGTCACTCAATTTTATAATTACCTACACTCTTGTTGACGCCTTTTATTTTGCTTGTTCTCTTGTATCTCTTAAGTGGGAAGAATAACTTAAAGGTGATTGGAAATACTCAAGAATTCTTCCCTTTTAGTTTTAGATTTCAACAAAGTACCATTATGAGGACAGCTTAGGTTTATCTTGCTACTGACTAATATTCCATCTCCATTGATAATTTACCCTCCAAAACGAACTGAGGCAGAGGGAAGAGGTAACTTGGAGCAGGAATAATAATTAGTCTTCTAAGTTTAGTTTGTCACATTTGTATTTGATGTTCAATGGCTTGCTTTTTAGGATAAATTCTTTTTAGGCCCTTTACCCTGTTTGATCGATACTCCTCTACCCCATAAGGGAGGCATATTTTAGCAAATTTATTCAAACTAGAATGTTGGAAAGATCAAAGAAATGATGCCAGAATCCTAGCTTTTTATGAACAATGGTTCCCAAACATCCTTCTGCTTATAACTCTACTATTTTCTTTAATAGTAACATTTTTATTATTTCACATTTGCTAAGCACCAACAAGTAGCTAGGCACTGGTTAAAAACAAAGAAAATCTGTTTCAGCACGTAGGTGCTCCAGACCCAATTCTCATGCCCCCCTGCCCTCTCTGTATTATTTCTGTGCCCAGTATTTGTCTTTGAAGTTAAATGGAGCCCAACCCACAGAAGAGAACTTAGGGAAACGGACAGAGTTGAGCACAGACTGCCAGATTCTGGGAGGTCAGCTGTTTAGGAGTGTCTTAAAGTGGTCACTTGGCTCTCCTGAAGAGTCAAGGGGTAGCCACTCTGCCAAGAGGGCAGAAGAAGTAGTTAAACTGAGAGGGAGGAAGCTCGGGCAGTTCCTTTTAAAAATCAGTAAAGCTCTAGACCTAGAAATTTATCTCTGAAGAGTCAGATAGGAGGAGGGAAAGGGTCCATGCTTAAAATGCCAAAACGTAGCCCAGCAGATTGATTCTGTGCAGCCGGTATCAATCATGCAGATAGATTTTGCCACAAAATGGTCCAATGTACTTTTTTTTTCCTCCTCTGGCTTAAGCGTCCAGATGGTGCATGAACAGTGAAGAATGGGTGGGTATTTTAAGACATCTTAACTAAGGTGGGGAAGTCAAAGCTAACTGTGAATTTCCCAGTTCTCTTTCTCTATATGCATGAAATAAAATTCCTGTACTGAACTACCAAGAAGTATCTGGCCCAGTGGAATTTTGTATTGTGTTATCAAATCAAAGCTTAAGTATTCCTTTGAGAAAGAAAAGGTTTGAAACTAATTACTTTCCCTTGGTAAGGTCTGTTTTTTGTAGAAGCACATTTTAGGTGATTTTAATTTATTAATAATCTACCAAGATGTCTGGATTTGTTTTTGTGTTTTACAATTAAATTTTTAAAATCTTTTTAAAGTTATGAAAGCAATATGCGACCATTGAGGAAAATTTAGAAAATATACAAAGATACAAAGAAGAAATTAATCACCTATACTTCCACCTCCCGAAAGTAACCACTGATAGCATCTTGTTTTATTTCCTTCCAGTCTTTTTTCTGTAAATAAATAGTCATGCTATCATAATTTAGTTATTCATTTTCCTGTCATTGGAACTTTAATTTACCAAGTATAAAAGATACATAATTTAGGCCACATTTTTGAAAAATGTAGGCCAGAATTTATAGAATTGATTTTATAAGTTTAAAATATCAGTGGTGAAATTATAGGGTTCATTGTCCTAAGACATATTATAATTTCCTTTAATCAGCAACAATGACTAAAACATGTGATCTAAAATTGTTGCATTTGCTTACAAAAAGAAAACAGAGGAAACAAAGAGAAATTATATGTGCTTGCAGGCAATAAGAAGCCTTGTGTTAGTTAGCATTTAAAATTGTCAAAGATAGAAATTGAAAGTACAAAAGTTGAAGCATTGGTGACCACAGTGAGGCCTCCAGACATGAGTCAGCCATAAAAAATGCTCAAACTCATTTAAAAAGCTCTTTGTCATGGTCCAAAAAAACAACATTTTTAGTGTTTTCCTTTGACTTCACATCCCGCTATTGCAAGTACATGGCTAATTATTATCTGAATGATATCTATTATTCCTGTGTTCTTCTGGTTCTAACCGGATATGATCCAAATATGGCCACAAACACATTATAGTGTGCAGCAAAATCAAAAGAATAAGATAATTCTGTTTTTAAGGGTTAATGGTATTTTCACTCCTCCTCAGCTTGAATCACGGACAATTGCTCTACTGTTGTCTATTCTAGGCAGCTGTGCAGAATAGTAAAGATTTGGAGATCTTTGTAGGCAGGAGAAAAATTAAGCCTTTGTATACTTTGTATTCAGTATATTCTACCCAACACCCATGTGTAAGAGTTGGACTTGGGGAGTTGCAACAGGCTAAGGAAAGTTTGTGCAGATAAATAGAGTTATTTTAAATTCTGTGCCTACTAAGCTCTGAATCACAAAGTGCAACTGCAAGTCCTCTAGAAATAATATATAAGAAATCCTTTTCTAACTCTGCTCATTCTATTATGTGGGTTTCACTTATTATTTTTAAATAAAGAACTTATGAAAAAGAAGTCACTGAAAAGTTAGCAATTACCTCATCATTTTCCAGTTCTCAAACTGTTACTATTCTTGAGCCACTGAGAAGCAGAGTGGTCTTGTGAAAGAATATTATCCATATATGGGACAAAAAGCAAAAATATTAATATAGTTTTAACTTACTAAAAATGATTCCAAATAATTGGTTACTTGTGGCCACAAAATGAAAAGTTATGATGAAAAACATTGGTGCTTACATTTGGGTTGTGGTGTGTATCGTTATGTATGTTTATGTCTCTCGTGCTCAGTATAATAGCAGCTATTCTAACACAGCATAGCTGGCAAGAGTGCCCCAGAGTGATAAGGAGTTGGAATTTGAGGACAGGAAGTACCATTTGGGATCTAGGATTTTCTTCCATTTGTCATTTGGGAATTATTTCTAAGAAAGATTAAAAAATTCTGATGCCCTTTATTATCGCCCACTTGCAATTGTCGGGAAAGGCGTAATGATAATAGCTACCACTTTCTGAGCACTTAATATCACTCTTCTTTCAGTATCTCATTTAATCATCCCAGTGCTACATGTTAGTCAAAAGCTTAACATGGCTAAGAAGGCCCAACACAACTTTGGCCCTAATTACCCCTGGGGTCTTATCTCCCACTAGTCTGCCCTCAAAATACACCCTCCTTGCCATGCTGACCCCTTATTCCTCACACACAATGTACACACTCCAGTCTTGGGGATTTATACTTGCTATTCCCTCTACCTGAAATGTTCTTTCCCCAAATTTCTGAATGGCTTGCTCCCTCACTTCATTCGGATCTCTACTCGAACTTCAATTTATCAGTAAAGCCTTCCCTAATAATCACAAATAATATCACGCCCTTGTCACTCTCTGTCCCCCCACCCTACTTTTCTTCTTCATATCACTTAGCACCACTAACCGCATATATTTGTCATTGTCTCTAATCCCCTGTTAAAATGCTTCTTAAGCACAGGGACTATGTCTACTTCTTCTGCCCCTTTCCCTGCCCATGGATTTATCCCCAATGCCCAGAACAGTGCTTGTCACATATTAGACATCGATGATATTTGCCAAATGAATGAATGAAGAAAGAAACAGAACCTCATACTGGTTAAATAACTTGCCCAAGGATACACAGTAAAGTGGCAGAGCCAAGATTATTCTGAATCTAACAAGTGGCAGGCAGGAGGTGGCATTTGAACTGGGCTTCAAAATGTAGGTACAAAATATTTATAGTGTTCTGTTTTTGCTGAAATGATGTTGCCTACTTATAGCTTTCACATTACCATTCCTTTTTAATATTTTTATTCCACTCGAGAATACATTTTATTATATGGGGATGACCAGTCACATAATACCATGAGGACTCCTGCCGACTTGCTTGAATCATGTTTTTCCCGTCCATCCACTCAATGGGCAATGGCTCCTGGCCTAGTTCCTTTGTATCTGTGGCCCAGGTATAAAACGTGGTGTAAGAAGGGGACTCAGTGTGTTCTCACTGTTCACAGGCACAGTTCTTAGCCACATGTTCAAATCAGCTTCCTATTCTATGTGAAACACTTAGCCTGGTACCTGTTTCTGCTCCCCGTGGAAAGATCGTGGTCTTTAGAATCATACAGCCATTTAGATGCTGTGTGACCTTGGACAATTTATTTCACCTCTCTGAACCTCAGGTTCTTCATAAGAATAATGATGTATATCTCACAGAGTTGCAAATGGCACAATATACATAAAATACTTGGTATAATGCCTGGCATATAAATGGAAATTATTATTTTTTGTGATGAAGAGATCAATGATGAAGATGATGCCATTGTCTTAGATAATATTTGGGAAGCCACAGCTCCTGATATACCTGCTCTCTCCTTTGAATCATGTCCTAATTAGCATCTTTCCACTTCTCCCTTACTCCAGTGAAAGCTGCACAGGAAGTTCCTGCAGACAATGCACGCGGCCCAGGAAGGCTCGGCAGTGTGATTCTCAGACCTGAGAGAGTACGGCCCCTCTTCATCTATGATCATGCAGCTTGTATTGTGAGCCGTAGATGTTTTCTTTTTTGCTTCAAACAGCTCCATAAACAACTCCCGTATCTTTGATCTCTCTTTCAGCACCGTCTTAAATCCATCTGTTGTCAGGCCTTATGGCCATTATCACTCTCCCTTCTGTTCGCTTCTAAAGTGCACTGAAATCTGCAAGTGCTTTGTGAGCCCCTGGAGAACAGGAACTGCACCTTATCTGCCCCTAGCACAGAGCGCAGTGCCTGGCAGAGAGAAGATGCTCAGTATGTTTGCTGCTTCTAACGGGTGTCTGTGTTCTTGCTGAAACGTTCCTAGCCTCTTTCACGGCCCTGCTCTACCTACACATCTTTCTGTCATCTGATTTTTGTACAGTCATTTCACCTCAACTTGACTTTTTACCCTCATTTTCACTCCAGTAGGCTTACATTTCCTTTTTCTTTAAAATCTATGCACTCAGTTAAGTGCTTTAGCTGCTGAAAATATCTATATGGTCATTAACGTTCTTAAGAACCTTCTTGATAATGTATTTTGCCATGTTGCTTTCCTCTCTGACATCTTAAATAGGAAGCAGAGCTTTCCTACCTCTGAGCACTGCTTTTTTTTTAAATCACATTTAAAATTTCTACCTTTTTTAAAAATAGGAATTTGTACCTCCTTCACATATTCCTGGCAAATTTCCCAGGCTTTGAGAAATTAATTTTGGCCATTACCCTAGCAAGAAAGAGAACTATCTTTCACTTTATATTCATAATCTCTGTTTTTTTTTCTTGTATCTAAATCCTATTAATTCTACTAGCCCACTTCTACTTTTGTTTTAATAATAATAACTAACATTTGTGTAATGCTTTACAGTTTAAAAAGAATGTTTACATCCACTATTTCATTTGAGCCTAACAACTATCTGAGAATGGCACAGCAGGTACATTGTAATTCTAGTTTCACAGATGAGAAAAAAGTAACCACACCCCAGAGAGTTTAAGTGATTTATCTTGGGTCATATAGCATATAAGAATTAGAATCTTAGACCTGAACCAGTTTTCTGATTCCAAATCCTGTTTGTTTCCTATTGTTCTATGCCATATATATCTAGATGAGCTCTTACAGACACATTCTAAATGATTGACTTCAAAGGTCAGCTTGCTTATTTTCAATCTTGTTTGATTTTTTTTAAGTCATTGTTGAAATTCATCCAAATCCATCTGTATTAGTCAAAGTTCTAGAGAAACACAGAACCAATAGGAGATAGATAGATAAAAAGAGATTTATTATGAGGAATCAGCTCACATGATAATGGAGGCTAAGAAGTCCCATCATCTTCCCCTGCAAGCTGAAGACCCAGGAAAGCCAGTGGTGTTGTTCCAGGCCAAGCCTGAAGGCCTGAAAAGCAGAGGAACCAATGGCGTAACTCCCAGCCTGAGTATGAAGGCCTGAGAACCAGGATCACCAATGACGAAGAACAGAAGATGGATGTCCCAGCTTGAGAAGAAAGATCAAGTTCATTCTTTCTCTGTCTTTTTGCTCTACCCAGGCCCTCAATGGATTGGATGAAGTCCACCCACATTTGTGAGGGCTAATCTTCGTTACTCTGTCTACCAATTCATTGTTTTCTTCATTACTCATCAATAATGTCTTACCAGCTGTTTGGGCTTCCCTTAGCCAGCCCAGTCAAATTGATACATAAAATCAGCCATCACACCACCTCTTTTTTTTTTTTTGAGACGGAGTGTCACTCTGTCACCAGGCTGGAGTGCAGTGGCACGATCTCGGCTCACTGCAACCTCTGCTCCCTGGGTTCAAGCAATTCTCCTGTCTCAGCCTCCTGAGTAGCTGGAATTACAGGCATGCACCACCACGCCCAGCTAATTTTGGGTATTTTTAGTAGAGACGGGGTTTCACCATGTTGGCCAGGCTGGTCTCGAACTCCTGACTTCAGGTGATCCACCCTCCTTGGCCTCCCAAAAAGTGCTGGGATTATAAGTATGAGCCACTGCGCCTGGCCGTCCACACCACCTCTTAAAGTCATGGGGTTTGTTTGTTTGTTTGTTTGTTTTGTCTTTGCACCCACATCTTCACTTTTTCCCTTGGCTCAGCACTCAGCTGAGATAGCCCATCTTCCAGCAAAGTGTCCCAAACTCTTCAGATTGGATTAGGGCCCCTGCTTAGAGCACCCAGTGTACTCCCATACATCCCATACTGTCATGTGATTGTCCTTTTCCTTATCTGTGTCTCCAACTACTGGACTATACACAGTGTCAGGGCAGGGGCCAGTCCATCATTTTCACCTGTGTGAACTCAGAATTTCTCATGCTGTCTGGAGCATCATAGGTATTTAGCAAGCATTTATGGAAGGAATACATAATTAATGACAACAGAACTGGAAAGTTTCTCTCTGTAGCTAATCAGAGAGATTCCCAAAGGGGGTTTAAGGACGACTTGTTTCATGTGTTTAGGGAGGCTACATTCTGCAGGGTGCAAGTGGGGAACAGAGTGTGCAGTTATTCAAAGGGACACGTCATCACAACGCCACTTCTCTCAAAAGCAAAAAATAGCCCTGTGACATTTCTTATAAAGGAGAAAGAGTTTATTCAGCAATAAAATGTTTCTTTAATTGTTGATGACTGTACTTCTGGGGCTGGGCTTTTCATTGGCAATGATCTTATCCGTTTTTTAATGAAAAGCAGAGATGGTTAAAAAAAACACAAGTAAACTGACGAGTTTTATGGTGGTTTATGAAATTACACATCTCTCTGAAGCAATCTTATACATACTGACTTAACAGATGACTAGAAAATAGTGCATTCTTGAAGTTAACATTGATTTACTTAAATCTGAGCAGTTTTGTGTAGTCTGAGTTGATAGTGAGAACTTGAAGAACAAAAAGTGATGACACCATGTTTGCATGTTTCAATTTATCTAGTTAACCAAAGATAACATTATCCTTTTTTGTTTGTTTGTTTTTGTTTTTGATTTTAGATGGAATCTTGCTCTGTCACCCAGGCTGGAGTGTGGAGTACAGTGGCACGATCTCGGCTCACCGAAACCTCTGCCTTCTGGGTTCAAGCGATTCTTGTGCCCCAGCCTCCTAGGTAGCTGAGATTACAGGCACCTGCTATCACACCCAGCTAATTTTTTGTATTTTTAGTAGAGATGGGGTTTCACCATGTTGGCCAGGCTGGTCTCGAACCACTAAACTCAAGTGATCCACCTGCCTCGGCCCCCCAAAGTGCTGGGATTACAGGCGTGAGCAACTGTGCCCAGCCAGGTAACATTACCTTTAATTCTGTGTTTGTGTCTCTATAATGAAAGTTGCATTTAGATTTTTTTAAGTAATAAAATCCTATTTTCAGAGGTATATAACTCCATTACAAAGATCCCCATTGGCCCCCATAGTCTTTGCCTATGGGCACAAACCAACAAACCTCAGTCTAACCACTGGGTGAAATGAGAATGGAAAAGGAAAACAGTTGCTTCTAGTTATTGCTACCTTTTTTTAAGGCATCTTGAACCAAACAGTAGCCCGAGGGGGTGAATAACCTGAATATAAAATAGTACTATTGAGTTTTGTGTGTGGAATTATTGATTTCTTGATATTTTGAGTTTGGAAACTTCCTTCCTTTCACTCTTCTGTTAGAGCAAAATTCAAGCCTCTGCTCCCAGTTCTGTCTTCACTTACCTTTATTTCCTTTTCTCATTTGAACGCACTTGTTGTCTGGGATTGGAAATTCCTTGGACAACAGCCTGGGGTGACATCAGAAGTGAAAGAAAGAGCCAAGGTCTCTTCCGTGTGAGGATAAAGACCTGGCTTCTCACCGAGGATAAATTTTGGATTGAGTATGATACTAAGGCTGAAGAATATTATTCCAACTTTCCTAATGACTCCCTCTGTCCTTCCAGGACTGGGATTCCCAGATGCCACATCTTTTTTTGGAAAAGGACTTTGCTTTCCTCAGGTGTGAAGAATCTGGGCCTTCCCTCCTGCATTTAGAGAAAGGCTTTGCTGAGGCACCCAAATCACCTGAAGCTCCAAGCAGGAACTTCACAACCAGGAAGTTCCCAGAGAACTTCACTGGGTTCCTGAGTCAGCCTGGGCAGTTCTGAAACAAGCTTACATAGGACCTCAAGGGACATCTTGCAGTAGAGAACCATGAGGTTTGATTTCATTTTCCCCTGGGCTTGGCCTATGCTCTTCCTTCTGGACTCCCGTCTCCACAAACTCCATCTTTTTCTGACTGACTCGTACTGCTTCTCACAACTCTTCTCAAGCTTCGTCTTTTCTTGGAAGCCCTTCTTGCTTCCCCTTCACATCTGTGTCTCCAACACCATCACATTGCATTTGTTACTATGCCTGCCTCTCTCACAGACTGTGAGCAACCTGACATATACCACGGTGGCCAGCATATGGTAGGTATTCAGCAAATGGTTATTGAATGAATTATTGAAGAAATGAGATAAATTAGCTAAATTTGGGTTCGTTTACTAAGACACCAATACATTTGAATCTGTTGATTCCTTTAGCAAAAACAACGCTCTAAGCCAGTTGTTTCATTGAAGTCCTCAGCTGATTCAGTATAAATGGTCCCCTGTAGACACAGATCTCAAATTGAGCTCTCAGAGATCTCCATCTGGTGATGTAAGGTTCCTTAGAAAACTCATCCTTGCGACTCACTGCATCTTATAGGAGAAGACACTGTCAAGACGTAGTTAACTGGTCCTGAATGCACTTATCTGATGACCTGTTTTTAAAATAACAGCTTTCTAGCAAAAACAATAGCTGATATACCCTTTATTACTTTGGGGAAGATGAGGATTTAGGCAAATACACGAAACTGGTCTAAATAGTTGCTATTTAAAGGGTTAATGTTTTGTGTGATTGAGGATGGTCCTTTAAGTATAAGGTATTTATCAGTCTGCATAGAAAAGTCTAGACTCCTATAGCTCATTGCAAGTACTGGTTTATTTATTTGGATTTGTTTGACAAAGGAAGCCAAGAGAATTAATTGTTACCCTGAGTTTTCCAAAATTAGAGTCTATTTAGAATCCAACTGTTCTTTTTGAAACACAATGCAGAGCTTTTGTTGGTATTTTGTGAATGGCCTTGAGGAACCATAGATATGCTCTTTTTCAGATTATTAGGGATTATCAATGGAACTGTTTATACCGACAACTCGGAAAAGGAAGGCCTCTACAGTAACAAAGGAAAGAGCCTCACAGGTGCTACAAGGCTATAGGATGCATGCTATCTTTCCCCATGCATGACATTTTACATGTTTTATTTATAAACAGCTTCTTCCTCTAAATGAAAGTGCTGATGGAACATTAATGTCTAGCCCATAGTAGGGACTCAGAAGCATTTTGTTGACTTGAACAAACACTATGAATCATCAGTGTCGAGATAGGAATTTGAAAGGACTCTCACTGTGGTAACTTGCAGTATTAGCATCTCTTTGATATCTGTTAAGTTTATTGGCATTCATTGTTTAGTCATATTAATGATGAATGATAACTATAGCACATATTATCATACTTTCCAATTATAAAAATGTTTTTACAAACATTAGCTAATAACATCTGATAACCCTATGAAGTAGATGGATAGATTCTAAGATGAGGAAATGGAGGTTTAGAAAAATCAGATGACTTCTATAAGATCCGTCCTACATAATAACATCTTTAGTTCACAAGACTCATTTTTTTTTCTTAAACGTCAAAGCGAAACACCCACCATCTTTTGAGTAATACCTTTTATTGGACAAACTGTACAATATTGACAGAGAGGCTTCTCTGCTTACAGAAATCCTTTCCTCAGAGTCAATCCCTCACTGACCTAGAGGGGAATTTTCTATATCCCCAAAGCTTATCTGTCAATGTTCCACCATTAGTCCAATAAAAGGTATTGCTTGAAACTTGACTCTACATTTTATCTGACCAATAAAGGCAAGTAATTAAAAATATTGAGTTAGGAACCAAGACATATTGGGTATTGTGATGCTCTAGTAGTTACATTCCTGAAAGATAATTTACTGAGTCACTATTAAAATACAGTTTATTTGTGGGTTTTGTTTTTGGTTTTTGTTTGTTTGTTTGTTTGTTTTTAAGTTGGAGGTCTAGACTTTTCCAAAAACCAATCCAGATTTTCAGAGCCAGGTATATTTCAGCATGCCCACTTCCTGGCCCCCTTTACCATCAGGGGATTATGGCTGAGGCACTAAGCACCATGTGATGATGAAATAGGACCAAAAAGGAAGTGGGTTGAATCATCAAGTTGCCAAGACAGGGTGGCTCCCTGGAAAGGGAATGGCAGAAACATGGAAGGATCTTTAGTTCTGTTTTTCCCCTATCCTTGACTTAGCCAAAAGTGGGGTGACTTAGTCCATTTACCCACTTCACAAGGTTATTGTTGTTCAGAAACCAGAGTTCTGTGTATGTCCTCACTAGAGAAATGGGTTTCTCTAGTGAATAATATGGACAAACGTATTGCTAGTGCTGTGTTTGAAACCTTGTGGCCATCAACCATTTCTATCCTCAGTTCATACTGAGGATACAATATTCAGAATGTGCCATTTTCTGCTACAGGTGTATAAAGAATGATTAAGGAATGATTAATTATCACACAAAAATGTAAGCTCCATGGGGTTAGGGATTTTTTGACTTTTTTTTTTTTCTTGCTGCTGAATCCTAAGCACCCTGAACAGTTCCTGGCAGACAGTAGGCACTCAATAAATATTTGTTAAATGGATTAATGAATAACAATGGGTAGATCTGGAAAACAAGAAGGACGGGAAGGAATTTCAGGCAGAGAGTATCCAATTAACAAATTCGGGGCTGGGTGTCATGGCTCATGCCTGTAATCCCAGCACTTTGGAAGACAGATGTAGGCAGAAGGCTTCGAGCTCAGGAGTTCAAGATCAGCCTGGTTAACATGTCAAAACCCTGTCTCTACCAAAAATACAAAAATTAGCCGGGTGTGGTGGTGCACTCCAGTAGTCCCAGCTACTTGAGAGGCCGAGCCTAGAGGATCACTTAAGCTTGGGAAGCAGAGGTTGCAGTGAGCTGAGATAGCACCATTGTACTTCAGCATGGGCGACAGAGTGAGAACCTGTTTCAAAAACACCAAAACCAACCAAGCAAACAAAAAACAAATTTGGGGGTGGCGTGTGGGATGTTTTTTGGAGGAATGGTAAGGAATTTACTCTAGCCTAGTGAATAGAGAAGACTTTTATCAGGAAGCATTGCTTGTGATAGGTAAAAGGCCTCAGACAATAATAAAAACTCAAGTACAGCATTTATCCAACACGGCTGTACTCTGTATCAACTACTTGAAAGACTGGCAGGCCAAGTAGAGAATCCCTAACTTTAGTTTGTAAACTGAGGCTCCTATCCCTATCAAAAACCTAGGAAAAACCAAAGCACCAAAGTTGTATTGTTGTCATTATTAATTATTGCCAATTGAGGTGGCAGTGGCCATGCTTCTCATGAATAATGTTGCATTCTTAACACCCAGCAGTTGGTGTAAATATTTTTGAATGAATGGACGAATATGTGTCAGGATAAGTAAATCCACAGAGGGTCATTGTGAGCATTAAATTAGACAATATAGTTTACTCTTTAAAAAAATACTTAATTGACAAAAGTTGTAGAAAAGAGACAATCTGAGCAAAGTTCCTGCACAGTGCTGGGCATGGAGTTAGTGTTTGATCAATTTTTAGCTATAATCCTAATGATGATCCCGGTAGATAGCTATTATTACCACCATTTTGCAGATGAGAAAGTAAATCTCAGTGAGGTTGCTTGCCCAAGTTACACAGCTAGTTTGACCCTACATTTTGTGTGCTTTTCCCTATTCCTTGAAGTAAAGATGCCTCAAGATTTGAGTGTCACTTTTGTTGCATACAGAAGATATATGGGCCAAAAAATACCATATTATTCTGTTTCATAATAGTTATTGTTGGGCAAATTCTTGGAAATGTTTGTTTAGAAATAGCACAGAATCTAAATGAAATAAGAATTAGTTTATTGCTTTTGCTAGACAACATGATATCGTGGTTAAGAGGCTAAAATCTGAGGTTGGATAGGTTTGGGTTCGCACCCCAGCTACTCCACCTCATGAGCTCTATGACCTTAGCAAGTTACTTAACCTCTCTGAGTCTCAGATTTCTCCTCTATAAAATGGAAATTAGAAATAATAACTACCTAACAGGATGAAATAAGGCAATTATTCATTTATGAATAAATAAATGCATTTATGTGTTTAGTACAGTGCCTGGCACATGGTAAGCAGTCTACAGCACACTCACATATATCCCATTTTGGTTACAAAGAATTGGCTTTATAACTGGATTTGTTTCTTTTGGTCTGGCTTGATAGCAATTAAATTGGCATCATGGAAGCAGTAAGAAGTCAGTTTTGAAGTGGGCACTCCATTAAGACAAATGGCTTGGAAGGGATGCTCCCACTTCCCTTAATGCTATATTGTTTTGGTCTGTCTAGCCAGAGAGCAAACCAAACGGCAGTGTATTGATTTACGGTATAAAGATGCTATCTTTACAGGATGAAGGGCTAGAAACTTTATTTTCTTTTAATGAAAGTTCGGCTTCTGTAGACCATAGCCAAGTCGGCTAAGGGGAACAAAGAAAAATGTGAATTTTTTTTCCCACCTACAGATTTGATTGCTTTTAATCCCATAGGAGAACAGCATCAGAAGATATTATTAGAGCATTAGCCCAATAACCTTTTGAAAAGAGGGTGACCACTGTAAGCTTATGGCCTCAAACTCTTTTTTAAAAAACAGTAAATGATACCAAATGTGGCATAAATCTGTCTTGTAAGGAACTGGCAATTCCTAAGTTAGCTGAGGAAAATTCATTCAGTTTGTCATTTATTTTATAGAAAGGTACACTGTACTAAAATTACTTATAGTTATTGGTATTTTGAAGAGATATCAATTTGTTAATAAAGTGTCAGATAGTGTTATTTTCTTCAGTTGCATTCTTTCTCCTGGAAAATGTTTTTGGTAATTACCTATATTTAGAAAAAGGATAAGAATACAGATACAAACATAGTAATGAAAACCTAAAAATAATAACACTTTGGTTTTGAAGAACTATATTATTTCTCCTACTAATTTAAAATAGAGTTCAGGAATGTGGAAATCTGTTTTTAAAAAATTTTAACACTCAGCAGTTTATATATATAAATAGTATAAATGCTATACTATTTATAGCATAGTATACCTTCTCTGGACAGTTAATATGCATAAATATTAAAGCCAATTGACAGTTGTTTTAACACAATTTACATTTGAGATTTCAAAACATGGTTAAAACTAATAGAAAAAATTAGGTTCCACATTAAATTGTCTTTTAAGTGAGCTGTTTTGAAATGAAATTTTAGAACAGGCTTTTAATGAAAATAAAGAAATGGAAAATATACATGCTTAGTTCAAACAGATGATGGGGTTGAAAAGTCAAGATATAAGAAAAACGGGAAGATAGAAGAACTTTTGTGTATTATGGTTGGAGGTTTCAAAGAAAACTAAGCATCAAAATATTAGAACACACTAACAGAACCCCATTGTCACTAAAACTAATTAGTGTTCTGCTGTTTAATGCAAAAGCCTACATGCTGTCTTGACCTTTTTACACATCGTGTCTAAGGTTGTGCCATAAAACAGAGGGAAGCACAGAATGCCTCCAGATAGCCTCAGAGGTTTTCTTTTTTAAGTAGTTCAATTGATTGTAACAATGCAGGCTGTGTGTAGGACTTATTTAAAGGTGCTGTTTATTAGATCTTGATTACAAGGAGCCAGTGAATTAAAGTAATGTCATGCTAGGGAACAGTTTCCAGGGCAGAATGACTGCCATTTCTTTTTAATGTGATGCTGCATGGTTTAAAATACACTTACCATAGAATGCATGACTTTGAAAGTTAGCTCTCAGTAAACCCACATGACAGACAGAATGTGGAGAGGCGGATTCTCTGAAGAAGGTAAACTAAAGCAAGATTTTCATGGTGCAGCAATGCAATGCTAAGAAACAGTGATTGAAGAAGATAACCCAGCAGGAGAGTTCCTTGCAGACACATAAGAGCCTTTCATTGGAAAATCCCCAGGCAATTTGGAGGCTCTGACTCATGAGCATCTCTGCAAGGCGGTTGTGGTTTTGGTAGTTTAGCAAGTGTCGTTTTCTTCTGTTTTGTGTATGGCTTTGACTCAAAGTATTTTTGAAGATTTGTCATAAGAGAGGAAAAGATGTAGAACCTTCCAAGCCTCCTCAAGGCTTTCCTGGTGGAGTCCACATTCTTAAAACAGCTCACAAGGTTTAAGAAGCCCATTACCACAATGGTTAAGCACACAGACCTGGGCTCTGGTAGGTCTGGGGTTGTATGGGCTTTGCCATTTAGATAGCATGAGACGTTCGGTAAGTTATTAGCCTTCTCTAAACCTCTGTTTTTGCATCTGCGAAATGTGGATGATAATTGTACCAACCTTATGAGACTGTAGAGAGGATTTATTGATGTGATACATGTAAGATACTTAGCATGATGCTTAACAAATAGCATGCATTCAATAGATGGTAGCTAATAACATCAGTAATAATTACTTCTGTGTGCTTTGCCAGCGTTATCACCTGCCACTCTCATTGCTCAATCTACATTCTTATTTGTAGCCACATGAGCCACTTGCTGTTCCCAAAACACATCATGCATTTTATATATATTGTGGGTATATAATATGGGGTATATGTGAGCCTCCCCCACTCGACTTTGAGTTCCTTGAGGACAGAAGTCTTGTACCTGACACACAGCATATTTCCAGTGAGTGATAATTGAGATGAATCTTAGTTCAGGTGTCCTTTGTTGGCTTTCACAGAGCAGCATATCCCAAAATGGGTTCCAAGAAACATTAATCCCATAAGTATGTTTCTTAAAAAGGGGTTCTTGGTCAAATAAGTTTGAGGAAAGCCTCTGATTCCATCTTTTGCATAAGAGTTCAAACTGCCCATCAGAATATTAAAGAATCAGGAGTTTGTGGCCGGGTGCGGTGGCTCATGCCTGTAATCCCAGCACTTTGGGAGACTGAGGCAGGTGGATCACTTGAGGTCAGGAGTTCGAGACCAGCCTGGCCAACATGGTGAAGCCCCATCTCTACACACAAAAAAATTAGCTGGACATGGTGGTGGATGCCTGTAATCCCAGCTACTCAGGATGCTGAGGCAGGAGAATGCTTGAGCCTGGGAGGAAAAGGTTGCAGTGAGCCAGAGATCATGCCACTGCACTTCAGCCCCAGTGACAGAGCCAGACTCCATCTCAACAACAACAACAAAACATAATAATAAAATAAAAGCCTGTTTAACTTTATTCAACTCAGTGTTTTCTAAATTTTTTTGACCAGGAACCTCACTTCTCACTCTAGCCCCCTACCAATTAATATTCATTATAATCCCAATCAATAATTTAGGTATTGTCATTCTAAATGACTCAGAACTTTGTGAAATCATAAATTATGGCTTTAGCCATCATTACTTTATAGTAGAGTTTAATAAGATGTCCTTGGACAGGCTGTTTCTCAAGTAAACAACAACAACAAAAAGATGTCTTTGGGAAATTGAAGCGTGGCACTGAGGAATCCACCAACGATTGCCCAGGTCTGTAGCCCATGACTCAGTTTTGATCCTTTTTCCCCCATTTTCCCCACCTAGACAACTCACAAAGACCTATCAAATTGTCTTTTGTAATGTCTTTGGCACCTGTCCCTCTCTGTCTGTTCTCACTGCCACAGCTCTATTCTGTTCCAAACCCTCATCGCCTGACAACTATAACAGGATGCTAAGTAGTCATTGGTGTCTCTGTCTGCTTTGCAATCTGTTTACTGCTGCCAGGTAAATATTCTTCATACCACTTCCCTGAGCAGAAGACTTCAATAGCGTCCTGTCATCAGAACACTTGGTTTCCAACTTGTCTTTCAGGGGATGCTGTGGTTGGTAGGGAGAGCACTTATCAGGTAGGGCTCTGGAATCTTGACACCAGCTCCAACTAGGGCAGTTCTACTTGTATCTTTTTACATATTGACTATAAGATTTTGTTTCTAGAATGTAAGCTGAATTGCAAATAGAAATAGGAAGGCACCAGGCAAAGCTTGTTATCTTGGCACTTACATGTCTCCATAATCTAGTCTGAATTTTTTCTAATATTTTCTCATTGCTCTTTTTACCAAAGTTTACTCAGACCTGACTAATTTAATCATTATTTTTGGCAGTCCTTCTTTTTTAAATAATTTAATTTAATTTAATTTTAAGTCTGGGATACATGTGCAGGATGTGCAGGTTTGTTACAGAGGTAAAAGTGGCTTGGTGGTTTGCTGCACTTATCAACCCATCACCTAGGTATGAAGCCCAGCATACATTAGCTGTTGCCCTTCTTATACCTCATTTCTATTCCTTTGCTCAAGCTGTTTTAGTAATGAACACTGATGCTGTATCAGCCACTTATACTAAGCTCTTTGCATACATTTTCTCATCTATGATTAACAACTCTAAGAAGTAGGTGCTAATAATTATTCCCATTTTACAGACAAGGAATTGAGGCTTAGAGAAATTGAATAACGTGATCAGAGTTGCACAGTTGATAAATGGCAGAGCCAGGTTGTGAGCCCAGTATGTGCTGCCTCTTGCCAGATGTTTCTCACTTCTCCTATACAGTTATTGCCCTTCTTTCAAGTCTACCTTTTCCAAAAAATCTTCTCTGACTTCTATATCCCATGAAATTTCTTTCCATGAACTTCTTAACACTTACTATGTACTTCATCCCTGTAACAATCACCACATACACACGTATATATGCTATATTTTTAAAGGATGATGTTTTGTTTCTCCAGCTACTTTCTCTGAAGGCATAGAGGTGTTCGTGTTGTACCAAATCTTCCCTCCAGGCTTCCGCAGTTTTAGGTCCGTACTTTTCCAAGTACCATGGGTTACAGGTTGATATGAATGAATACTGAATCAGGAATCAGAGGACCTGAATTTTAGTTCTTACTTGCTGAAGGTAGGGGAAATAGAATGAGAGAGTGGGCTTGAGCCCAGCATTCAGTCCCTTTGAACCACAGATTCCTTACTTGTTATAAAAGGGGAAATGGCATGCTCCATACCTGTATGTGGTATTATTTTCAGGAACAAATAAGATCACACGTGTGAACGAATTTTTAAAATACTTGAATGCTGCACACATGCTAAGTATTGTTTTAACAGTGGTTGTCAATAGATAGGGGTTAGTGAAGTCAGGCAAAGAAGTTCTGGAGAAAAAGATGAGCTGGACCAGAACAAGGGGAGCTTAGCAGAGTTTGACAATCATGGGCATATCAGCAAGGCAAGAGATATATTTTATCAGTGCAACACTGTTATCCTTTAATTGATCATTTAATGCAGGCTGGAACTTTTTATACTCAGATTTAGCCTCCCAGGTCAGCAAGCCAGAGGCTAACCTAAATAGAGGATAACATTTGCAAATTTTAAAAATGTAGTGGCCAGAAACTTAAACATTTGTTAAATTAAAGAAAGGATATGCATGCCATGCCAAGTCTCTTTTTGTTGTCTGGAGAGTTATAACAATCCTCTCCTGGCAGTTAGTTTTAAGATCATTAAATGATCCTCATTTGCAATATATTTGCAGAAGATTACAGCCATCTAAATTGACCCTGAAGGAAGACTTATTTCATTAATGGGCTGTCCTGCGCTAATGCATAAAGCTAGAAAAATATATCTATTAAATTCTTAATGTGTAAATGATGTTTCTGGCTTTCTTCTTAATTACAAAGCAAAATGAGCCTGAAGTGCACTATGTCTAGGAAAAAATGATCAATTTAATCCATCTTTCAGGGGAAGGACTTTTTTAGTCGATTCCCAAATTCCAGCTAGAAAAACTCTTCCTAGGCAGCAGGCTCTGGACTTACTGCTTCCATCAGGGCTACAGCAAAATGTGCAGCCTGGCAAGCTCATGTTCATTTTTCTCTGGATTCCAATGAGCACAACAAAGAGGAAATTTGAGTTCTTAGAGATGTTTCCTCCTCCCATTCACACAGTAAACCCAGCTTCTGCTAACTTTTCCTTGAAGGATTACTCATGGGCTTTCTGTGCAAATGCCTAACAAGAATGTGCACAGATTTGAAAATGAATGATGTTGTGCTATTGCTAGCTTATCACATATATGCTGAATATTAATGCAGCTATAGAAAGAGATTTACTGTACATATGTATTTCCAGTGTATGCACAGAATCACCTAACTAAAATCATAATATAATATAATGATAACTAAGAGGACTCAAGAGCAGCTCCATTTATCTACTGTAAGGTTACTTGCAGTGGCAGGCAATATTTGTATGGGAAGTTTAGGGGTCTCTGCTCATAGTTAGTGATGATACTTTGATTTCCCAGGAGCTTTAACTGGTTAATGCTAGTAATTCTTTTCAGATCAAAACACATACAACAAAGTACCTTTTCTTCCCAATTTGGCATGTTGTCCCTTGAGAAGTAGCAGTTAAGGAGAGCCAGCTTATACCCGCCTATGCTGTTAGGAGGCCAATGGCTCCAAGCAACAAATTAATAGTTATTGGCAATAGGGAGATATAACACTTATATATATATTTGGTTTTGAGATTTTTAATTATGTCTTATGTGGTACTTTTTAGAAATAAAAAAATTGAAGTATCAGTATTCACATCTTAATAATAAATTCCAAAATTTCGCACATATCTGCCTCCTATCTCAGTTCTGAATTTATTATACACTTTCAAAAAGAAAGTTAAAATATATAAAAATGAAAAAGAACAGTCAAAATGATTTATTATGAATAGACTTTATGAATTTCAGGGTTTTTAAAAGGAAAATATGAAAACTTGAATTTCACAGAAAACTCTAAGTTTCCATCAAGTTCATGATTTTGTTCATTGTAAGCGTGACTTTTTCTGTTCTTGCAGCTTTCAGTATACATATATTACTGTTGGATATGGGTTGATAGATGTTCCTGTGAAAACCAAGGAAAAGGAGGGAAAAGCAATATCCCTTCTTAAAGTTTGTTGTTTTATGTTTTAATATTTTTATTTGAATGTGTTGTCCTTATCAAAGTTGAAAAGGAAATGCCTCCTTAAATAAATTAGCACATCTTTTTGTGTGCTATGCTCATTTGCAATAGAATAATGCCAAGATTAAATCTGGTCAGCAGGCCTTTGTGGATTGCCTGATATGTTTTTAGCATAGTGATTCAGAAAGGAAACGTTTTGAAAGAGGGGAAAAAAAGAAAGAAAATGAAACAAATTTTTATCTTGTGGACATTTTATAAGTTGAAAAATTTTGCATTATGAGTTTTTTTAGAATGATGAATAAAATGTTTAAGAGAAAGTGCTCATATATTGCCACTTGGCTTTTACTCCACCAAAATGATTTCTGAAAGCTGTGCAGTGGGAGGATTTTTATGTTAAATCATCTACACTATGAGATCATTATATTCCTATGCACTGAGGACAAGCAGGAGACTATAACTCTGATAAAAGACCAAGACACTTCTCTTCCAGGGCCATTGCCAAAAACAGGAATAAAAGCACCTGGAGAAATAGCATTGCAGAAGTTGAGGATCTCAGAGTAGCCAGATGTGCCAGGTGTTGTCTTTGATGATGGTGTTTCTAATCTGGTTGCAGAGCACTGGCATGTTTGGAAACTTATTTTGTTTAGAAATTTTGATTTTTAGAATTCAATTCAACAAATTTGCTCAGGGACGCACAGTTTTAACCACTAGTCTGCTAGGCTAAGGTCTTTAGCAGTTTTACTGTTACTTTGGGAGAAAGTCATTCCTCTACTTTAATCTCATGGTCTTGTGGAGATTTTTTTTAATTAAGTAAATTAATTTTTAAGTATAGTTAAGGTAGTGGTTCTCAACCACAGGCAATTTTTCTCCTTGGGGACATTTGGCAAAATGTCTCCTCAGGAGACAGTTTTGATTGCCACGGAGAAGGGGGATGCTGCTGTTACCTGGTGTGTAGAGGCCAGGGGTTTCTGCCTAACATCCTACAATGCACAGGACAGCCCCCCAAGCAGATAAGTACCCAGTCCAAAATGTCAATAGTGCTGAGGTTGAGAAACCCAGAGTTAATGTATTGTTGGCTGTAACATTACATGTATATTTAACATATATGTAATGCTACATTATGCATATGTTGAATATATAAATGCTAAAACTCAGTAATTTACTGCAGTGGGTGCTTGTGTTTTTGCTTATGTAAAGTCAAAACGTATGTCCTTGATCAATAGTTTCCTGCAAGCAGGGATTTAGAGACCCAGGCTCCTTTTACCTTGTGGCTCTGCAATCTGAATACATGGTTTCCAAATGTGCTGGGGAAAAAGCCTATGAAGAATTGCACTTGGGAGATTTGTATGAGCTAAGTTTACACCCATATTCATTTGCTGAACTCAGTGACATGGCTGTATTTAGCTACAGGAGACCTGGAAATTTTCGTTTTGCTACGTACCCGAGAGGAAGAGGAATTGAGTTTAGTGAACAGTTAACCATGTTCTGCCACACTTTGTATTTGTCTCTACAAAATGTTAACTTGTATTCAAATGAATATCCATGCTGTCATTTTCAAACCATTGAAAAATTGTGGTTTGGTTTTTAAATTGTCCTACCTAACTTGATGTTATTAGCATTTTGGTTATATTTACTAACATTTGTATAGCATGTTACAGCTTTTAAAACATTTTTGCATACATTATCTTTTCTGATCCTCGTGAGAACTGTTTAGGGTGAAAAGGAAATGACACTTACTGTGCACTTCTAACTTGCACTCAAGATCTATCCATGCTGTCTCATTTAATTCCTATGATATATTATCCTTATCTTGCATTAAAAAAAAGAGACTGAGAAAGGTTAAGAAACTTGGTAGAAATGCTAAAGGCTGTGCATGGGTACTCATTAGATAATATTGTCCTCCACCTTCAACTGAAGAACCCACACCTCAGACCCCCAGAGTTACATGACTATAAAGTAGCAAAGCCAGGACATGAACTCTGTGTTTCCCATTCTCTGTCCTGTGTTCTCTCCCTAACCCCACCTTGCAAATGTACTTTATTTCACCAACCAAGTCAGTAAATAAAGCATTAAATTTTCTCTTGTAAGAATCAGTCTTTCTATAATCTCATCCTAGAATCCCATTAATTTTTTTTTTATTCTTGACAACAATGTCAAAATTATTATACCCTCAGGGCTGACAACAACCCATGCATATTATTATTTAAGCTTGAGACATGCAGTATAGTGCAGATATCAGATAAACCTTGGTCCAAATGTTCAGTCCAATGCTTATTAAGTGGGTGGTGCTGGGCAAGTCACTTGATCTCTCTGAGCCTCAATTTCTTCATCTGTAAAATGAGGATAAAATGCCCATCTTTCAGAACAGCTGAGGATGAAATAAGATACATGCATAAGGTAATTCACACATGATGTGCTTGGTATATACAAGTGCCCAAGAAATGTTAATTCCTTTTTTCCCTTCTTTATTCACTATGGTGGACATTTGTGGGTTTTCAGCCTCACAGCATTCTCCTTTTGAATAAAGCCTCCCCCATAGCTATTTTGGGTATTACCTCTCACTGTGTAGAGTGCTGATGGGAATGTAAATCAAGATTCCCTTTTACCCCTTGGTTTGCCCATGACCTGGACTAGGGCAGTCAGTCTGCTTCTTGTAGGACTCTGAATCTTGAGCAGAGGGTTGTAAGAACAGAAAAAAAAAATGGTTGATGTTCATTCATTTGAGAGGCAGCCTGCTACAGAGACTTTTGGAGCTGCCCTTCTGTTCCAAACCTGCTTCCTTAGCCATGCAGTAGATTCTCTGTACATTGTACCTTTCCAATATATTCCTTTTCTGCTGAAATTAATCAGAATGAGTTTTTTTTTGCTTACAACCAAAGAACCTAACAAACTTGCTCATCTACATGGTGATTAATTTTTTAAATTCTTGACAACAATGTCAAAAGGTACTAATTGCAAAAGCTTGATAAAGACAAGATCTATTACCGCTGCAATTTTTCCTCAATCTAATGACCTGTTTAGGAGGACATTGAATTAGTGTGATTGGATTGTTTTTACACCATAATCTTGCAGAAATTGATAGATTTTTGATGACCATTCATTAATATTTATCCAAGTATGACTTTCCAGGACCTGTGCTAATTGATTAATGCAAAGAAAACTTAAACATAGTCCCTGACTTTAAGGGATTTCTAGCCAAACTAGTCTAGGTTTACCATGGACAGTTTTTCTATAATTAAGAGAGGGAAAATTTTATTTTTGGACCTGAATTTGTAGGTCCTAGGATTGTGTGGATTGTCAATCTCTCCTCCCAAAATTAATCCAATAATTGACCCTGGACAGCCATCTTAAACATATGGAGTGTTTTTGCCAGTGTAGAATGTGCAAGGATGAGAACCACCTGACAATTACTTCTTAGTTCTCCGTCTTGCTTTGGAGGGCCCAACAGGAAAAAGCTGACCTAGGGACCCAGGGAGATCTTTTACAGTAAAATTCCCCTAGGAGGCTCTGTTTTCAAACCACATGGGCTTCAAAACCAGTATGTTAGGGAGCTCTGGAATTGCTCCTGGAGGGGAGAAGGTTTCATGCAAATGAAATACCTTTTCCACACTTTGCTATTCCTGATTATTTAACTATCAGTCTTCCCACTAGCACTTACTTTCTGGGGCAAACAGCTGAAGCAAGAAGGTTGGAAAATATCTGTTAGTGCTGAGAAACAATACCTTCCTACCCAAGAATTCAGAGAGCAAACAAAACATATATTCCTATTTGCTGAGCTTATTCTATTTCTATTTTGAGTCTTTAGGGCACACTGTATAAAATTAGGGTAACCAAGGGGTATCTTCCCCTGCCTTGTCTAAATCCCAGAACCAAATTGTAAAGAAAGAAGTGCACTCCTTTAGGGCTGGTACAATCAACTCTCTGTTCATTGGCAAGGCTAAATTAGTGAATGATCCATTGAGATAATGATAGGAAGCCACTTTCTAAGCTGACATTTGATATGCAAAGATAACATAGTGATGCCTTAACAGACTAGAATTATTTTTCCAATTAGTCAAAAGTTTGTTGAGTGGCACATGGCACATGTATACATATGTAACAAACCTGCACGCTGTGAACATGTACCCTAGAACTTAAAGTATAATAAAAAAAAGTTTGTTGAGTGGCTACAATATGCAAGACATGTACGATGTCTAAGAAGACACCTGTGATTACTGTCAAGCTGATTAAAATATGGTTGAGGAGCAATTATCTACATATATGTTGTACACACAGACGTATACATTTGAAAAACAATTACTATTGAATTAAACATTAAACTATATCCTAACCACATTGACCTTTCTGTCCCAGAAGATGTCACATCCCTTTCCAACATAGAGTCTTCATAAATGCTAATCTTTATTCATTTATTCAATTTTTATTGCTTGATTACTTTGTGTCAGGCACACAAGATTCTGATTCTCATGGAACTTATTTTCTAGTTGGCAAAAAGAAACATAAACAAGTAAGCAAGTCATCAGGCACTGAGAAATGCTCTGAGTTAACCAGTACATTGAGATATGGTAGATGGTGACTGGTGGAGTAGGAGTGGGGCTGCATCCAATATGGTGGATGGGGTAGGCTTCTAGGAGCAGGACATGTCAAACTGAGATCTAGATGATGGAACCAGTTACGTAAAGAGCTGGGATAACAGCATTCCAAGCAGAGGGAATAACAAATGCAAAAGCCTCATAAGATAGGAACAAATTTGACGTATTTTAAAAATAGAATACTAGTGGAACTGAGAAGAGTGACTGAAGGGAGACTGGTAAGAGATGAGGTCACAAGGAAGCTAGGACCAAGTCACAGAGCCTTGCAGGCCATGATAGGGTTTGCTGCTCCTATGCCTGGAATGACCTGGCCCCTACTCTCTGCTTAAAGCTGGTGCCCTTCCTTTGCTTAAATGTCACCTGCTCATGGAAGTCTTCCTTTATGCCCTGTCTAGAATAATGTCATGTATTATTTGCTCTCTTAACATACTGTGCTTCTTTTTTGAAGCACTTAATACAATTGAAAGTAATTATTAGTGTAATTATTTGTTTGATACTTGTTATCCAAAGTAGACTGTCAGTCCCTTGGGGGTAGAGACTGGTTTATCTGGCTCACTGCAATGGGAAGAATTAAATGCATTTGGCAAACATTTATTAACTTTTACTATATGCCAGATATGGAGAAGATGCTCCATAAATATATTGATGCAATGAAAGAATGAATTAACACAGGTAAAGCAAGTGACTGGGAGGCAATGGCTAAAGCAACTATAAAACAACTGTACCTTAATTAGTTGTTTAATACATTGCCCACTGCCGCAGCCCACTTTGCCCATGAGGTTGTAGAAGGTTCCATAAGATGGCCAACGAGAGAATATGTCTTACTCAGAGCTGGAGTTGGTGAGCAGTGGTTCCATTCTTTTCTTGAAGGCTTTAATTACCTGTTCTCAGTTCTGAATGGGTGTTAGCTATTTCCTTTTCTAAGCTTTTTTCTTGTCAATCTTCTTTCCTCCTTTTCCTCTAAATCAGTAAGCAAGGTGTGGGGAGTGGCTGGTATGAAAGCATGAGAATGGGGATCATGGAGGGAGTTCATGTCAGCTCTTTATTTTTTTCTGTATGCCATGATTTGCACTATATTGTAGATAAAGGTTTATTAATTGTATCAACATTTTTACTATGTTATCAGATATGACATAGCTTTATATACCCAAGAGTCATGCTGAATAGCCAAGTGAATTAGGCTTAGAAAAAAATCGTGTCTCAATGTGGAGGCTGCTCATGTGGAAATGAACAGGATGTGTCATCCTTGCGATGGATCAAGAGGCCAAGGTGCTGAGAATAAGCACTGGACCAAGAATCCAAAGACCCGGTTTCAACCCCAGGCTTTGTCATGTAGTGGCTGTGTGTCTCTATGCAAGTTAAGTAAGTTATTGGACTAATTGTTTTTGTAATCTGTGAAAGAAGACAATGTCTAATTCATAGAATTGCTAAGAAGATTAAGTGTGCTGGCCTATGATAGTTCCTGGTCCATACTAAGTTCAGACATAAATGTTTGCTGAATGAATAGAATACTTCCCAATGCATTATACTTTTTCTGGTTGATCCTGAGCTAGAATTCTTTCCATTCATTCATTCATTCATTCATTCAACGTATACATATGTTTGCTTAAGAAGGTTCAGAAACTGGTTTCCAAGCCACATTTTGAGAAATATATTTTTGGATTGGAAAAGAATGAGCTTTTGAAATCACTGAAGCAGGCAACACAATATAGTAGATAATAACAACAACAACTACTACCAGTTATTGTGAGCATACCAAGTGTCAAGCACTGGGAAAATGTTTTCCCCATGTGATCTCATTTATTCCTATTACAGCATCAGAGAAGGTAAGTAAGTTCCCAAGGTGGTCCAGTTAGTACATTGAGGGCTAGGATTTTAACCTAATTTTCAGGACTCCAAAGACTGTGTTCTTAATAGTTCTAATAATAACCTTCATCATGGGATTGTTATTGGGTCCAAATGATATACACCATATATAGACATGTTTTATAAACACTAAAGCTCTGTATAAATGTCCATTTACTATCATTATCAGAAAGTGATTGACCTGATGACATTCCACAGGGTCAACTGTGCTTCTGGAGGTAACTGAATGCCAGCTCTGTGTATATCTAAAAATTCTGATTATTTTATGCATTTTTTTTTTTTTGGCCTCTGTTTTATTCGAAGAACTGTTTTCTTTTCTCTACACCTGATCTTTCCAAATTAGATCTGTCGACAGGGTGGCTGAATGGTGAGTGGCTCTCCTGTGTCTTTCTAGGGATGCCCCTGCAGAGCCATGCCGAGGATAACTGAGGGAATTATGGAGAGCTGGCCACACTCTGCTTCTATTTGTTTTGAGCCTGGGAAACAGCAGCTGTCCTAAAATCACCCTGATTCAGAATTCTTCCAAACCAGAACACAGCAGATTCACAAGAATCAAGTGATAAAACTCACCACATTCTCATTTCAGAGGGGAGGAAAGAATCCCAAATGTAAATTTCAGTTCTCTGTGTTCCAAGTACCCCCCCTTCCATTCCCTGCCAACATCTTATTGGCATTCGACTTAAAAATGCATTTTCATTTTACATAATGGATTAATCACACCATGGATTTTTTCCTAATTCATGTCCTTAGGACATATATAATATCTGTTATCTAAGAAAATGTTTATTTGTTTTGTTCTATTGCCCAATAAGCTTATTATAAGTTCAGGCTAGTGTGTGTGTGTGTGTGTGTGTGTGTGTGTGTGTGTGTGTTTACACAGAGAATGTACCACATTAAAACCAGGAAAAATTATCTTTTAAATTATTCCTTGATGTAGAGCAAATCAATCCAGTTTCTTATACCTACTGGAGAAGCACAAATGGTGCTGGAACATCTTCAGAGTGGTTTATGCCCTTGGCAGGTCAATCAGAGGGTAGCTGAAACTGAAGAAGTCATACGCCATGGTGCCAGCGGAAATGAAAATTATACCACTCATACTAACGAGTGCATTTCCAAAGGGACTATTTAGCGGTATTAGAAGTCTCTAAGCAGATGCCTCTGAACTTAAAATACACTTAATTCCTAAGAATTGTCTTGTAATTAATTTACCCAGATAGACTCAATGAGGAGAATGTAGGGCAAAGCACCACATTGCTCAGCAGTTTGCAAACTTCAGGGAACACTAAGATAAATAATTTGATTTTTTTAAACTTCTAAATTCATTTCCCTTATAACTGAGAAACAGGAATGGCATACAGTAAAGAAAAGCACTTTCTGATTCTATAATATAATCTCCTTAAAAAAATTCTTACTACTGTAACAGGAAGGATTCCATGGAGCTGACATCAAAAGAATATCACTCATGCTTTGGATATAGCTTTTATGCCTATTAACTTGTCTGTCTGTAAACATTTCATTGAACGTGGGAAGCTAGCTCCTGACTGTTTTAGTTATACACACAGTGCTGTACAGCAACAAACAGCTTTAACATACCTCCCATTAACACAGCTTGTATTTCATGAAGAACAGCCAGGTCTCATGTGACTGCTAACAGCTGTATTTTTCTAGTATTGAGGAATCTAATTTAAAAAGTGTTCAGATTTTTTCGAGGTTTTGGTAAAAATTTGATAAAACAGTTCTATCTCTGGAGGTTAAAGGTACAGTGGTGTGATCTTTGGATGGGCCACTATATCAATGGGGAGGTTCTTTTGTCAAGCCTTTTGGGTTTTTTTTTTTTTTTTCTAGCAGCTTAGACTTTGGACCCACTTGGATCAGAGTCCCAGTCTGGTTCTCTCTTTGACCTTAAGGAAACTTCTTAACCTATATAGGACTCAGTTTAATTACTTATTAAAATAAAATGATGATAATGATAACAATAGGTGGCATTTGAAGGATGGGGAGGTAATGTACATAATTTACCCTAAATAGTGCCTGGTACAGACTCTATAGGTAGTAGTTTATTATTACCATCTGCTTTTACACCAGGTCAGCTTACTCATTTATTCTATCCCTTAAAAGATATTTATCACACACTTCCTCTGTGCCCTGCAGTGTGCATGGCGTTTTTACATATCTCATATCAACCTTATGAGTAGGTTTCATGATCACCATTTCATAGATGCAAATACTGAAGCTCGAAAGGTTAAGGAATGTGCTCAAGGTCATATAGCTGGTAAGGAATGCAGCCAGAGTTGGCACCCACGTCCACCTTTAATAAACCCATATTCGTGTTTACTAGGCATGAAGCACCAAACTAGGCACTAGGGAGACTGAGATGAATGAGACATGCCTCCTCCACTTCCAAAAACATCACCTTCTATTTGGGGTTGAACAGAGCAGAGGGAGCACCAAATAAGCCAGACCATGACAAATTCTATCATTGTGGTATGAAAGAGATGTTCAGGATCATCACAGAGTATGTAACTAACGACGGGAGAAACTGGGAAGGAGGTCACACAGGAGGTGACTTTTGGAGCTGGATCTGGAAAAATGAATGAGATTTAACAGATAAAGAAGGCAATTCCTTGTAGAGGGAATCTGCTACACAAGGCATGAAGGCTTGGGGTATTTGAAGGATGTTGAGGAATCCTGAGTTTACATCCCCACCTCGTGTCCAGTGACACTGGGCTGGTCATTCTCCTTTCGTTTCTTTCCATCTTTCCTTCCTTTCCATCTTTCGTTCCTTTCCATCTTTCCTTCCTTCCTTCTTTTCTTTCTTTTTTTTTTATTATTATACTTTAAGTTTTAGGGTACATGTGCACATTGTGCAGGTTAGTTACATACGTATACATGTGCCATGCTGGTGCGCTGCACCCACTAACTCATCATCTAGCATTAGGTATATCTCTCCATGCTATCCCTCCCCCCTCCCCCATCCTTCTTTTCCTTCTTTCTTTCTTTCTTTCTTTTTCTCTTTCTTTCTTTCTTTCTTTGTTTCTTTCTTTCTTTCTTTCCTTCTTTCTTTCTTCTTTCTTTCTTTCTTTCTTTCTTTCTTTCTCAGTGTCTCACTGTGTCACCCAGGCTGGAGTGCAGTGGTGCAATCATGGCTCACTGCAGCCTCCAATTCCCAGGCTCAATGATCCTCCCACCTCAGCCTCCTAAGTAGCTGGAACTACAGGTGCACATCACCACACCCGGGTAACTTTTGTATTTTTTGGAGAGATGGGGTTTCCCCATGTTGCCCAGGCTGTTCTTGAACTCCTCAGCTCAAGTGATCCACCTGCCTTGGCTTCCCAAAGTGCTGGGATTACAGGCATGAGTCACTGCACCCAGCAGTTATCCACCTTTCTGCCCCTCCATCTGTTGGAATAAAAACACCGGGTGACTATGGAGATCAAAAGATGAGTGCATAGAAAGCATGTAGCACAGTACCTGGTACAATAAAACTGAGCTGCTGTTTTATACCTCGATGTCTTTGCTCATACTGTTCCCTCATGCCGTAGTGTATCACCACCTTCTGAGACCTCCCACCTCAGCTAACTTCTCACCCACTTACTTCCTCTCATTATGGCTCAGCAGAGGGCTAATATGCCCTGGAACGGTGCTTCTCACCTTTGGTGTATAAGCAAATCATCTGGGCATCCTGTTGCCCAGTGCAGATTCTGATTTGGCAGGTCTGGAGTGGGGCTGGCTTTCTCACAAGCCTCCAGCTGCTGCTGCTGCTGCTGGTTGCAGGACCACACTTGAAGGAGTAGGGCACTACACAGTGTTTCCCAGAGTGGCATCTGCATTTCTAGCAAGCTTCCAGTAATGCCAGATCTACTGGTCCACAGACTATACTTTGATGAGTGAGTCTAAAGCACCATATCAATGTCCATTTTTCAGAGTCCTTCAATGAGCAGAGCTTCACCTTTCTTTCCACTCTTTTCTTCTCCTTCACAGAATGATCCGTTCCAGCCAAACTGGACTCATTTGTGTTTTCCTGAGTGCACTGTCTGCACTGCTCTGGACAGCTGTACTTGAACCCTGACCTTCTCTGTGACCCACAGAGGCCTGTGCACACCTCCATCATGGCACTTACCACGCTGTGTTGAAATCCATATTTACATGTCTGTCTCCACTTCCAGACTATTAGTCTACTAACTATAAGTTACAATCTATACTTTAATAATGACCACGTTACATTTTTACTATCAGTGATGTAGCAAGAAGGTGGGGTGTTGGGAACGGTCATTGTCTTCATATCCTAGGGCTGCCATAACAAAGTCCAACAAACTGGATGGCTTAAAACAATAGAAATTCCATTGTCTCATAATTCTGGAGGCTAGAAGTTTGAAATCAAGGTGTTGACAGGGTTGGCTCCTTTGGAAGGCACTGAGGGAGAATCTGTTCCCTGCTGCTCTCTTAGCTTCAGATGGTTGCTGGCAATCTTTGACATTTCTTGGCTTATAGACGTCTTATTCCAGTCTCTGTCCCTGTCATCACATGGCATTTTCTCCTTGTCTGTGTCTATCTCTGTTTCTTTTCCTCTTCTTCATTTGGAGAAATAAGACACCATTAAAAAATAGAGACACCAGTCATTGGATTAAGGACCCTGTCTATGCCAGTATGACCCCATCTTAACTAATTACATTTGCAACAACCCTTTTTCCAAATAAGGCCACATTCCAAAGTCCGGGGAAGGATGCACATTTTGAGGGGGACACTATTCAACCCAGTATAGTTGTCATTTAGAATTGCTACTGTATGGTGATAATAAGAAGTAAACCAAGATGTGGTCAGGTTTTTACATTTTCTGCAGATGACGCTTGTACCTGGGGTGGACCATTCCCATTGTCCATCCCCATCCCTTGGTATAGCATTGCCTTACTAATTCTTATAATATATGTCATCATACTTATTTTATTTTCACTGGAATAGTACAGAATTTATTTCTGAAGGCAGGTACTATTTATTTTTAAATTTGCCATGGGACATCGTGGCTACCCAAGGAATGTTTTTTGAACTGAACTATTGCCCAAGAATGCCATATCAAAGTACAGTAAACTTTAATGACTATTTCTCTGCCAGAATTGTAAGAATTAGGCTGGGCACAGTGGGCTCACTTCTGTAAGCCTAGTATTTGGGAGGCCAAGGCGGAAGGATTGCTTGAGACCAGGAGTTCAAAACCAGCCTGGGAAACATAACAAGATCCCATCTCTACAAAAAAGCTAAAAAATAAAAAACAGTTTTTTAAAGAATTAATTCCTTAAATCTCTACTTCACACCCATAGTGAAGATTTTAAAAGTACAGTCAAACATCACTTAACAACAGGGGTATCTTCAGAGAAATGCCTTGTTAGGTAATTTTATCATTTTGTAAACATCATAGAGTGTACTTACACAAACCTAGATGGAGTAGCTCACTACACATCTAGGCTGTATGGCACAGCATATTGCTCCTAGGCTACAAACCTAGACAGCACATTACTGTACTGAATACTGTAGGCAACTGTAACACAATGGTAAATATTTGTGTATCTAAATATATCTCAACGTAGAAAAGATACAGTGAAATATGATATGAAAGATTAAAAATGATATATATGTATAGGGTGGCTCCCCTGTCCATGTGCAGTCTGTCATTGATTGTTACGTAGTGCATGACTGTAATTGGAGTCGTAATAGTTGATATTTTAAGGAGGTGTAGGATAATTCTATTTCAGTCTATGGAAAGATTAGGCTCTTCTAAAACCCAGAAGTATTTCCAACAATGTTTTAAATTCCAGTTTGTGCTCTTTTAAGGGAAATTTTTTTTTCATTAAGTAGCATAAAGAAAATTGAATCCTATTTAAAAAAGTGTGACACAACGTCTTTATACAATAGTAATAGTTATGTTTTTGTAACATAGAATTATAATATTTCAAAGTAGACATGGGAATGTGCAAAATAGAAATGGAGAATTTATTCTCCTCAGAAAAGCTCAGTTTACCTGTTTAAAGTGATATTGTCATTTTTTTTTTTTTTTGTAAATGTAGTTTGCCTGGTATCATTTGAGAAGTGGTCAAAGAAAATAAGAATTATTCATTCATTCATTCATTTAACAAATGTCTTATTGAATTTCTTACTATATGTCAGTATCTGTCCCATGTGCTTAGGATTTCTTCTTACTATTATACATAGTCATGTAATAGGTGCCAGCTGATGAATGTGCCAAATTAAGAAGCAAATCTCCATCCGGAGGAATTTAGAGTACAGAAAGTCAAACCCCAAGGAAACTGTCACTTTCAAAATATCATAATATTTTCAGTCTTTGTGTTTTCTTCTTTTGACTATCCATGACAGATCAGGTACGGCAGGGTAATTTGAAAGTTTGAGGGCATTTACAATGAGCAACCTATAAAGCTAATGACAAATTTGGAGCATTCTACACTGTGTGGAGTAACATATTAGATACTAGAGACAGTATACTGAACAGTTTATGTCTTATATTTAAATGCTTACATGTTTGTGCAAATGGCTGTTATGACCATATGTCTCATTATGTGGATATTATAAAAATATTTTTGTTAACAGGTTCAAAGTAACTTTGAAACTAGAACTGGTAGCCTTGTTATCAAAATTGGTCTGAAATTGTACTGTATATTTTATTCCATGTTGGAGATACAAATAATCAAGTGAGTATGCCAATTTTCTACTCTTTCCTATCTTTCTCATGTGTGTACTATGCATTGACATTTGCCCAAGTAATCTGATGTAGTGGGAAAAGCATAGACCCACAGTCAAGAGCTCTTGGTCCTAGACCTGGCTCTGCCCCTATCAAGCTGTGTGACCTTCGGAAAAACCCTGAAATTATCTGGATTTGCTCACCAGGAAATTGCACTAGTTGAATTTATGCGTACTGATATTGATAAGATAAGATGTTCTCTTTCCATCTCTTATAGATTTGTTGAATTACTCCACTTTCTATTTTTAAAATTTATTTTTATATACAAATACGGTTGACTTCATGATTTTCTGATGCCTATCTCATGTGATTAGAAAAGGTCTATAGGGAATCCTGCTTAATTAGCTATCTGGGGACAGAACCAAAAGGTAGTTCAATATTTTCTTTGGTAGATAGCTTTTTGGAATGGACAATATAGTCTAAGTATTTTTGCTTCCATCCCTACCTCCAAGAGGAAAATGGCTCAGACACAGTCTCTTTTTGCTTATGGGACTGAGCATTGCCACACTCAGATTAGTATCTGTTTTAGTGTACATAGAAATTACTTAGATTAACCTCAGTCTTCCTGTAAGTTTTCAAAATTAAATTTTGAGTGTATTACTTAAAATTCATAAGAATTTGTGTTATTTTTATTACCATGCAAAGCCTAGACTAAGAACTCTTCATCTTGGTGTCACAGTGCCCAGTATAGGGGTTGACATACGGGAAGCCAGGGCAGAATGAAACTGACGGATTTCCCCTGATTTCTAACACAGGCATACCTCCTTGTTTTATTGCATTTCAGTTTATTGTGCTTTGCAGACATTGTGGTTGTACAGATTGAACGTTTGTGGTAACCTTCCATCAAGCAGGTCTATGGGCTCCATTTTTTCAACAGCATGTGCTCACTTCATGTCACATTTACTAATTCTCACAACATATCAAACTTATTTACCATTATTACATTTGTTGCAGTGGTCTGTAAGCAGTGATCTTTGATGTTATTGTTGTCATTGTTTTGGAGCACACAAACCACGTCTATATAAGACAGATAATTTAATCCATAAATACGTGTGTTCTGACTGCTCCACCGACTTGGCCATTCCCCCCATCTCTCTCCCTCTCCTGAGGCCTCCCTATTCCCTAAGACACAACAATATTGAAATTAGGCCAATTAATAACTCTACAATGGCCTCTAAGCATTCAAGTGAAAGGAAGAGTCCTGCATCTCTCACGTTAAATCAAAAGGTAGATTAGAGTAAGCTTAGTGAGGAAGGCATGTTGAAAGCTGAGATAGGCCAAAAGCTAGGCCTCTTGAGCTAAACAGTTAGCCAAGTTCTGAATTTAAAAGAAGAGTTCTTGAAGGAAATTAAAAGTGCCACTGTAATGAACACAAGAGTGATAAGAAAGCAAGATAGCTTTATTGTTGATATGCAGAAAGCTTGAGTGGTTTGGATAGAAGATTAAACCAGCACAACCTTCTCTTAAGCTAAAGCCTAATCCAGAGCAAGATCCTAATTCTCTTCCATTCTATGAAGGCTGAGAGAGGTGAGGAAGCTGTAGAAGAAAATTTGGAAGCTAGCAGAGGTTGGTTCATGAGGTTTAAGGAAAGAAGCCATCTCTGTAACATAAAGCATAAGGTGAAGCAGCAAGTGCTGATGTAGAAGCTGCAGCACATTGTCCAGAAGATCTCACTAAGATCATTGATGATCTACACTAAACAACAGATTTTCAGTGTAGATGAAACAGCCTTCTATTAGAAGGAGATGCCATCTAGGACCATCATAGCTAGAGAGAAGTCAATGCCCGAATTCAAAGCTTCAAAGGACAGACTGACTCTCTTGGTAGGGACTAGTGTAGCTGGTGACTTTAAGTTGAAACCAATGCTCATTTACCATCCCAAAAATCCTAGGACCCTTAAGAATTACACTAAATCTACTCCGCCTATGCTCTTAGAAATGGAACAACAAAAACTGGATGATAACACGTCTGTTAACAGCATGGTTTATCGAATATTTTAAGCCCACTCTTGAGATCTACTGCTCAGAAACAAAGATTGCTTTCAAAAGATTACTGCTCATTGGCAATGCACCTGGTCACCCAAGAGCTCTGATGGCGATGTACTAGGAGATAAATGTGTTCATGTCTGCTAACACACCATCCATTCTGCAGCCCATGGATCAAGTAGTGATTTCCACCTTCAAGTCTTATGATTTCAGAAACACATTTCAAAAGGCTATTGCTATCATGGATACTGACTCATGTGATGGATCTGGCAAAGTAAATTGAAAACCTTCAGGAAAGAATTCACCATTCTAGAGGCCATGAGAACATTTGTGATTCACAAAAGGAGGTCAAAATATCAACATTAATAAGAGTTTGGAAGAAGTTGATTCTAGCCCTCCTGGATGACCTTGAGGGGTTCAAGACTTCAGTGGAGGAAGGAACTGCAGATGTGGCAGAAATAGCAAGAGAACTAGAATTAGAAGTGGAGGCTGAAGATATGACTGAATTGCTGCAATCTCATGATAAATCCTGAACAAACTAGGCATTGCTTCTTATGGATGAGCAAAGAAAGTGGTTTCTGAGATGGAATCCACTTCTAGTGAAGATGCTATACCATTGTTGAGAGGACAACAAAGGATAATATAAACATGACTTTTGCATGCATTGGGAAACCAAAAAATCCTGTGACTTGCTTTATTTCCATAGTTGCCTTATTGCGGTATTCTGGAACCAAGCCTGCAATATCTCTGAGGTATGCATATACAGCTCTATCTCATCTTGCAGCAGATGTGTTTCCTTGACATTTTTGTGTAGGTAGAAATGTTGTGTAGTGACTTATATTTTAAATATACTAGCCATTTGAGGCAAGTTTGCAGTGACTTATTTGGTGGAACAATCACTTAATCATGTGCCTGTTTAATAACCTTAGATGTGCCTTTAGGTACATCACATCCTGTGTAGTCTCAGCTTCTTTATCTCAGAGATGAAGGTTTGATTTTGATGGCTGTTGAGGTTCTTTCACTGCTAAAATTCTTTCATCAAAATTTAACTTTCCATATATTAGCACATGTTAAATTATACAGCTTCTGTAATTAACATCACAGTTTGTCTTAAAAGAATTTTGATTTCTGAGACTTTCAAGCACATATTTTGAAGTAATTATATGATAGTGATTATGAGCACATATTTTGGAGCTGAGCAGGTTTAAATGTTGACTCTGACATTTTCTAAAACCAAGCTGAGGCCAGGTATGGTTGCTCACACCTGTAATCTCCATGCTTTGGGAGGCCAAGGTAGGAGAATCATTGAGGGCAGGAGTTCGAGACCAGCCTGGGTAAGAGAGCAAGACCCTGTCTCTACAAAAAAAAAATTTGTTTAATTAGCAAGGCACTGTGGCATGCACTTGTATTCCTAGCTACTTGAGAGGCTGAAGCAGGAGGATCACTTGAGCTTAGGAATTTGAGGCTGCAGTGGGCTGTGATTGCCCCATTGCACTCAAGGCTTGGGAACAGAGTGAAACTCTATCTCTTTAAACAAACAAACAAACAAAACCACCGAGTTGACATACCTTTCTCAGAGTCACTTTTCTCATCTGTAAATGGAGATGATTATATCCACTTAATAGAGTTATTGTCAGGATTAAATGAGATAACATGTATAAGCACTTAGTGTGATGACCTGCACTGGTAACTATTTTTCTTATTATAATCACCCTGGGATTGAGTTCACTGTGAAGAAAAATACTATAAAAATATTTGTTCAATTTCAGATTGAAGGTAACGACTACAGGGAAAGCTTAAATAACTTTTCTTATTAAACTGTACTTCCAATTCACTAAAACCCTCTCATCTGCATGAGAAGGTGTCCACAGCGTTGAGAACAGCAGTTACCCATCAGGGTGGCACTTGCATTGATAAATCATCCCTCGCTGTTGCACTCTTCAAATTAGCAAATGAAATAGCATCATCTGGCAATGGGGCAATATTTATAAATTAAATTTATTGATACACATGGTCTTGGTTATTATTTTAATCTTCCTCTCTCTAGGTATTTTGTAAGAAAATATAAGTCTTGTGTTTACTTCTGTTTGTTAATGCTTTGATAAATCAGACATTTTTAGTATTCTATCAATGGCAAAAGTCTAATTGCCTTATTGTGTTCTGATTTATTTCTTTCCGTACTTTCTTTGCATCTGCAGCCCAACAAATGAGTCTCTAAAGAGGTATATGTTATGATACAGTGTCAGTGAAATTAATCCTGATCAATTTTAAAGTTCACATTTTTATTTGATGACTTTCAGGGGAATCACTAAAACTGAGATTGACTTGGTCTCTTCTTTTGTTGGTTAAATATTGTTGTTTGAAAGCAGTGGAGCCAGAGTGAAGAAAAGGGCTCTTCTTGTGCTCTTAACTCTGCTCCATTTCTGAAGAAAAGCTGCAGCAATTCCTCTTGTCTATGTATAAAGCGAGGCTAATTGGTCAAAAAAAAATCACACTGGTTCTACTAGGCTTATAACTTTGGCATTGCACAGAGGCAAGAAGCCTAATTCTATAAAAAATGAGAGAATATTGAGTGCTGTTGAAAACCTACCTCTCATCCTTTCAGTTTCTCCAAACAGTTTTATTTTTCACAATAATAAAATAGTCGTCTTACATCTGTATGGTGTTTCACAGCTAACACCTCATCTGATTGTCATGATTACTCAGGGAGGTAGGTGGGGTGGATTTTACCTTCCCCTCTGGGGGAAAACTGGGGCTTAGAGAGAGGAAAATATTTCGTCAAAATATTGATATAATATTTGAAATGAGGATTTCTGATGGTTATGTGTTCTTCACTTGGAAAATAAGAGTTTGCTCTCAAGTAAAGTAGAATATTGGAACTGCATAATGTTTAATAATAAAGATAATTTTAAATGAAATGCTAAATAATATTTAGTGCCTACTTTTTAATACAAGGGCATTCAAACCCTCATATAATTTTTCAAGTTTTAACACAAAATGGCATGACTTATAGTTGATTGCAAAAAATAAATGGCCTGGGAAGGAATTTCTCTTTTCTTCCACAATTGAATCTTGCCAAGATTTCTACACTGTTAAAATAAAATATTTTTGTGTATAACCTTTGTGCTGTTTACAACGATGTTTATCCTTCCGTGAATTACTTATGCTTTTCTTGTTTTTGTAATGACACTTTTCTTTGTTTTATATTCATTCATGTAAAATAATTCTGAAAAAAGGAAATAAAATCTGAATAATGTTTCCAGAAAAATCCGTAACATTGTATAGGAAAGCATCACATTCAAATACGTGTTGTTACTCAACATTGCAAAAGTATATTTAAGCACATTTGTAAATGTCTGGTTTGCCTACTAAACTTTATCTCATGTTAAGCTAAATAAATATGGAAGGTAAGTATCATTATTTAATTACACAGAAATTTGAAATGGATATTTCCAAAATAGTATCAATTTGGTGATGACCAACATTAATACTTGTAAAACTGGTGCCATTCACGGGGAAAAAATTAAAAAGCACACATATTTAGACTTCTCTCCTTTCAAATTCAAGGAGCTGCATAAATAAACGTTTGGATGACCACTATCAGAACATACTAATTATTTAGGACCCCGCTTCTCTGCAACTCTCCCTTTCAGCATAACTACCAAAATCAAATTTTGAGGAAACTCTGGCTAACTTTAAATCACACTGTTCATTGTTCAGTTCATTGTTCTTAGAACAAACGGATTTTATTTTTTGGCCTCTTCTTTTTTTATCGTTAATGTCAAGCAAACATTTATTTCAGGTGCAAAGCCTCAGGATATGTTAGTGAAAACAGTGGCTGGGCTGTTCTACCGCTTACTGCCCACTAAGTGGGTGGGAAAAGGGTGTTGTGACCCTCTTACCCTTCCCACCAGTCTCCCTAACAGCTTTGGCCTTCGGGTCAGCTCAATTTCCCCTCCACTGAGTGGCCATTACTGTGCCTGCCCAGTGATAAATGCTTTTTGTGAGAGACTGCATTGCCGGCAGCTAGCGCTAGGGAAGTCTGCCACCCAGGCAAGCTAACATGCTGGCCCGTGATGGGCCCGTTACCTAGCAACGTGCCTGGCCTCACCAAAATGAATAGACCCACAAACAAAAATGAAAAGGAGATAAAACGAGTCAAAGTACAAGGGGCGAGGAGGTTAATATTCCTCTATGGAATAACTTCGTCTTGGAGAATTGCATTTTAACCTTTTTTCAAAGCCGAAGGTGGAGACATATATTGGAAATTAAATTAGGCCACATTTGTATTTTTAAAAAATGTTTTCTTTTATGCAGAATTTGCTTTCCCTTTCTATCCACAATTTTCTAACTTTCTCTTAAAGTGGAGAAGAAGCAACATTAGAGGGGGCCGCAAGGTGGATATGTAAATATTTTACTTTTTCTACATCATCTTGCTGTGTGGCTTTGGGCAGGCGGTTTGGGTCCTCTGGTGCCCACTTTTCCTGTCAATAAAAGGGGATGGCAGAGGTAATTTATTAAGCACAATGAGAGGGTGAGGTGTAATGTTTTACGCCAAAGAAAGAGTTAACTCGTTTGCCTTAAAACTGAACACAACCAACTCTTTACAACTAAATCAAGATGGCACCTCTCAGATTAGTAAAAATTGTGCTCAATTAAATAAATGACTTTTAGCTTTGAGGTTTCAGGGTGGCTCCCAAATTATTAGGCTTTTAAAATATTGTGTGTGTGTGTGTGTGTGTGTGTGTGTGTGTAATTTTGAGTATCTACTATGTACCAGGTACTTTAGAAGGCCCTTTAAAAATATGTACTACTGTTATTAGGTAAGAATGAATGCTTGAGTCCAGATTCATTCAATCAAGTCATTTGACAAGTTTCTTTAGTACCCACCAATCCAAGGATTGGTGTCTTGATACTTCCCACATAGTATGAAGAAATATAAGCAGAAAAATAATTACAGAAATATAAGTGCATTGTTCATAAATCTTTCAAATTCCCTTTCAAGAATCCTCCCAATCACTGGCCTCGTTCAGGCCACCACCGCTCATCTGGATATTAGCTTAGCCTCCTATCTAATGTCCCTACCTCAAATCTTCTCACCTGTAGAACACTCTGACAAAGTTAACTGCAAAGCTATCTTAAGTCCCTTATTTAAAATCCTCATTTGGACCCTTATTGCCTAAACTCCTTACCATGACTCATAAAGCCCCTCTCAGTCTGTCCCATCTCTGACTTCCATGCATCGTGGGTCCTGCATTTGTCATGCACGGAGGTTCTCAGTTCCCCAGATACACCACCCTCAGACACATGCTGTTCCCCATGTCTAGAATGTGCTTCTTTGTTTCACCTTGGATCCAGAAAACTCCTCCTCCTTCCTTAAGATCCAGAAAACTACTCCTCCTCCTCCTTCCTTAAGATCCAGGTTGCATGCATCTTTCTGCCTTCAGGGAAAGTCCATCAATCCCTCCAACATACTCTTATGGCCCTTTCAGCATTGGTTATCGTCTCTCCTTGAGCAAGTCCTTTACCTTACCCATCCTTAGCTGTAAAATGGTATTAATAACAGTACCTACTTCATAGAGCCTTGTGAGGAGTATTAAGTTAATAACATAGAAAGGGCTTAAAACCGAGTGTGGCATTGTCATAAGCACCTAACAAATATCAGCTACGATTGCTCTTACATAATCTCAAATATAGTATTTGTGCCATAATCACTATTCACATATTTGCCCCACCCCTCAGACGATAAGATTCTCGATGGCAGGGAGTATGCCTGTTTGCTTTGCATCCTCTCTGCTGGACGTACTACTTGTCCTTCTAGTAGGTACCCAATAAAAGTTTGCTGTAGTGATGAATGCATGCATGCAAAATGTTTCTAGTGCTGCCTGGGTTAATGAGATATTTTGTTCGCCTTATGGTTTCATATCCCTTCTCTTTAAAACAAACTTTTCACACCTAGTAAACTTTCTTCGTGAGGCTTTTGGTTTTAGGATGCTCCCTAATACAAGTGTTCTTTTCTCCACCTTCTGCCTCAATTGCAAAACCATCATAAACTCCCCTTTATTACATGGGCTGAACTTGAACACTTGAATTCCAGAGTTGCCCGGAAAACCCCTGTAAAGTGATTCTGCTATTTTTTGTTTCATGGCTGTTAGATTTAGCTTCACTGTAGATTGCCTGTAAACTTTACAGGGTTTAATTTTTAAGCCAGCACTCTGACTTCTCACTTGCTTTTCTCTTGTGTTATAAGAAACAGAATCAATATTATATTTTAAAATAGAAATAATATGTTTATTTATATATCTGCTACAAAAACTCACGTTGAACACAAATCATTATTTTTAAAAGTAGTCACGAATTTGTAGCCTGACCATGAAATAAAATTCCAGGGACCAGGCACCTGCGGACTCTGCATTGCATTGATAGGTGGGTAGCATTAAAAAGAGGTCAGGTGAAGATAGAGCAGAGCACAGGTGTGGGTGTTGTTTCCAAACAAAGATAAATCACTTCCCAGTGGACACTCAATAGAAGATGAAACTTTTTGGTAAACCTAAGAGCCTGACAAGTCTGTTTTTATTTTCTTTTACCTTGAAGAGAAGTAGCTATACTTATGAAAAGAACAGGGGCTTTGGAGGAAAACCAACCTGGAAACAAGCTTTGTTTTGCCATTTAACAAGATCAGTTAAACTGGTCAAAGTGCTTAACCTTTCTAACCCTCAGTTTTCTTATCTGTAAAATGGGAATCTTTCTTACGGAACTTTTATGGGGATTAAGTGAGACATTAGGTATAAAACACCAAACACAATGAGTACACAATAGTTGCTCAATAACTATTAGCTCCCTCTCCATATTTCTTTTTCTTTTTTCTTTTTTTTTCCGTTCCTATCTGAAAAAACAAACCCCAGACAAACCATCCTAACCCTTTCCCTGAGGTTTTCCTTTTCTGTCACTAGCATACTGACCTGCAGGGATAGGACTCTTCTTTAGGGCTCCGGCCCTAAAATAATCCTTTTCTTTCAGCTCCCTCTGAGAGTCTTTTATCAAAAAGACTAAGGGACTCTTTCAGGATGGGAAGGACATAAAGAGGATCAGAAACATATAAATAGTTGGCTCACAAAGCAAGTTATTTAACTTGGGACTTGAACCCCAGCTGTTTCGTCCTCAAACCTGTGCTTACTACTCTACATCTACCCACAGAGACAGGAGATTATTTGGGGCCAGCAACATGGCACTGGGAAGGATCCTGGCCTTGGATCCAGATGGGTGAAACTTTAACTCCCTCCCAACCACAGTGAAGCCTTCCTGGCCTAACTGCCTAGTGCTGGGTATAGCAGTGACCAAGGTGGGCATGGCCCTTACATTCATGGAGCTCATGATCCCCTTGGTGTCCCTTGCCACCAGTGTCTTTATTCACAAAATGAGGATAATAGACCCACTTCACCCTTTTATGGAGAAAAGTGAAATAATTTTAAGAGACAATTGACTATGTCCTTTGTGTATTAAGGGCTTCATATACATTACCTTGTTTCATGCCCCCAATCACTTCAACATTTTACATATAAAGAAACTGAGGCCATTTGCCCAAGACAGCCAGGAGCCGACTCTGAACCAGGTCTGTCTGCTGCCAATGCCTGTGTTCCTGACACCGTGCTAACGGATAGGGAGCAGCCGGCGGACCACTGGGCACATATCACAAATGGTGCTCCAGGAACCGTTAGTCTCCCTCTCTTCTTTCCCTCTCCTTCCCTCCTCCTTCCATTCCTTTGTGCCTTTCTTCTCGTCCTCACTCTTAAATGCCCAGGTTGCAAAAACACAGAAAGGGGAGAGAGGGACAGTTGTCAAAGGGCAGGAAGAGAGACATGGTGCACCTCATAGTTCTAAGATAGCCCTGCAGCTAGTATCTATATTCAGTGTCTCCCTGAAATCAGTTTGGGTTCCCCAAACTTCAGCAGTTGAGAAGTTCCTATAATTATATTAGTGAGTTTTCAGTGGTTTTAATTTCTTTTCCTTTCTCAGTTTATGCTTTTTAATTTGTTTCCTTGTCCCTCACTCTTCTCCCCTGGTATGCACGCACCCAGGCCCATGATAATGAATGGACTTATACTAATTATAAGGTTGTGATTCCATCAAAGGGCTTGGATGCTGCTGCTGTTTCCTGGATGCAATGCTCCAGGGGTTTGTAACTCATTAGTGTCATGATGGAAATTTGGCCTGGCAATCACGATCTAATTGTTCTGGATGCTGTACACATGTTACTCTAGAGAAAAACAACTTCAGAATCGCTTGCTCTCTTTTCGTTATCACTGTTGATGTGTCTCCTAGGTCTGAGATTACTATCTACAGGTAAGTTTGAAAAATGTCTTAACAGCCTAGAATGAAAGTAACTTACATGCAGGATGTTCTTGAGAAGGAAGTACTTTGTGCCAAGGAATTATCTTTCATTAACCCTAATTGACTATTTCACAAGATTTCTGGGAACTGAATCAGTTACCACAACAAGAAAGTACAGACGTGAAGAGTTTAGGACTTGGAAACTATGCAACTGTACCTATAGGCAGGGACGTGGGTATCATCATTTAATGAGCGTCTTAGTTATATAACCACTACTTCATCCTTACAACAACAACCCTGCAGCTAGGTAGTATTAGCGTTGTTTTATAAGTGAGAGAAATGAAGCCCAGAAAGATTAAATGGCTTGCTGAAGACCACACATCTAGGTGGTGGGATTCAGGCTCAGATCTGGGCGACTCCAAAGCCATTGCTGGTCCATTGCACTGCATCTAGAGAGTAGAAAAATCACAACAGCTGGGCTAGACAAGCCATTCACATTGAGGGGAGAGCGAAAGTCTGGTAAGTGAGAACAAAATTGCTTCAGGGAATGAGGATGGGAGATCAGGAGGAGGTGTCCCAGGAGAAGACCATCAGAAACTTTGGTAGTAACCTCAGGACAGAGTGCAGAGGAGGTCTCACAAGAGCAAGACAGGGTGTTGGGGTCCTCAGCAGGTAATGAAGAATGATCTGGAATCACATTATGCCAGAGGTGCTAAGAGATGGCTAGTGAGGGCTCAAATACCAACAAAGCTGCCAGTGGCTAGGGAGAGTTGGAGGAAATAAAAGGCCCGTGATTTCTGCCTTCAAGGAATTCACAATGTGAATGGAAAAAAGTACACATGTACCTTGTGCTGTAAGAGATTACAATGTAAGGCCCTGTGGGAGAAGTGTCAAAATAGTAGTCAAGTCTAAGCATGGGGCGTTTACTTTCTCCTTCCCACTCAATTGCTCCCAGGAGACACAGCTGCACTTGAATGGTGCTAAGAAGCCCTTTGTGACCTACCTCCTCTCTCACCATCCCTTTCCCTCCATTTCACAGCCGCACTGAACTACTGTCTCTGTTATGCCATCTTATACTTCCAGAACTTGGTGCATGCAATCCCCTTCTTGGCACACCGTTTGCCTGGCTACAACCAGTCTCCAGGGCCTTGGTGTAGTCCTCAAATCCAGGAAGCTTCCCTGTCAGCTGGGGGTCTTTGCCTATCATAGTAGTCTGTGTTCCCCAGGTAAAATGCAAATTCTCTAAGGTCAGGTTTATGTAGTTCCCCATTGTATCACCACATCTGGTACAGTGGCCGGCACAGAGGTGGCACTCAAAAGTATTTGTCGAGGCCAGGTGTGGCGGCTCATGCCTTTAATCCTAGCACTTTGGGAGGCCGAGATTGGAGGTGGATCGCTTGAACCAAAGAGTTTGAGACCAGCCTCGGCAACATAGTGATATCCCATCTCTAGAAAAAACAGAAACAAAAAAATTGGGGGCATGGTGGCATATACCTGTAGTCCCAGCTACTCAGGAGGCTGAGGTGGGAGGACTGAGCCCAGGAGGTCAAGGCTGCAGTGAACCATGATCGTGTCACTGTACTCAAGTCTGGGCAATAGAGCAAAACCCTGTTTCAAAAAAGAAAAAAAACTTGTTGAATGAATCAATTATTCTTGGGCCAGTGCTTAATATAGTGCTGGGAACTATGTAAAGAGCTGTGCATTGTTCAAAATTCTCTACATGTGTTAACTCATTTAATCTTCATTCAACCCTAAGAGATGGGAACCATTATTATCCCCATTTTACAGATGAGGAAATGGAGACACAGAACCCAGGCAGTTTGTATTCTTATCCACTACACTATACTGCTCCAGCAAAGTCACGGGAATGAAGACACTGGACACATTGGAATTACTGTGTTATTTTTCTGGAGTCCTATTTCTTGAAGACATAGGATATATTGAGTAATATTTTATTGGTTTAGGTCCTTAGTGGGGTTGTTCATGTACACTTTGCCACAGGAAGCTCAAATTCAGGTGAAGTCCTGGGCTAATATCATCACTATCACTTTTAAACATGAAGGGTAACCAGAAGAGACTTCCAAAAATATGGAAGCTCCAAGGAGGCTGGTCGTCCTCTCTCTGGAGGGTCAAATGAAGAGACCTCATCTGACTGTGTGTAAGTTAACAAATGAGTTGGATGCATTGCTATTAAATATAATTCATAAGTAGCACCTGTTATAATTTACATCTTCAGAAAGTAACAACATATTAGCAAGTATGGTAATTGAGCCCCCAACACCTGCAGGTGAGAAAACACAGATGGAATCACTGCACTAACAGGAGATTTCATTACATGTGAACTAGTCCAAGGAGAGTGGGGGGGTTAAAATAACACTCTGCTCTTCAAGATAGTTCTGATCATGATGGCTGCAGAAACAAACATTCCAGCCAGCATGGTGACTCATGCCTGTAATCCCAGCACTTTGGGAGGCTGAGGCGGGTGGATCATCTGAGGTCCCAGGAGTTCGAGACCAGCCTGGCCAACGTGGCAAAACCCCATCTCTACTAAAAACACACACACAAAAAAATTAGCCAGGCGTGGTGGTCCACACCTGTCATCCCAGCTACGCGGAAGGCTGAGGCAAGAGAATCGCTTGAACCCGGGAGGCAGAGGTTGCAGTAAGCTGAGATCGCAAGATAATGCCACCGCACTCTAGCCTGGGCAACAAAGCAAGACTCTGTCTCAAAAAAAGAAAGAAACAAACAAACAAACAAACATCCCCAGCAAATGATCTCAGGCTGCTTCCAGATCTAACACTTCACTGCTGGCTTGATACCACGTCAGTAACATGAGATTTGCCCATGGAGCCCACACTAAAATTTATCCCTTAACAATGTGCTCTGCTTGGCTATTTTGTTACATTGAGCCACCAAAGCCTACCTAGCTGCCATGGGGAGCCAGCAGATACTAGTTGACACCCCATTCATATCCCTTGGCACTCACCTCCACGGTCTGAAGGTTGCTTATAGAAAGCACCTGTGACTCTGCCCGAGGGATTTTTCAGGTTGTACAAGCATGCCTGGCCTGTGGGGAAAACAAACCAGACATGCTGGAGGGTTCTTACCCGTGGGAGCAGGCCTCAACCAACAACAGATGGGAAGGTGGATAAATACCCTGATAATGCTGGTACATGGTCCATGTGGCTTCCCAGAGTTCTCCAGAGGGAACCTGGTAACTTGCTTAATAAAACGCTCCTTATGAGCTTCGCCCCCTTCCTTGTTCCCCTCCCCACTCCCTTACTAGTGTTCCCTGGGACCATCTTCCAAATAAACTGCTTGCACTTGAATGCTGTTCTCAAGGTCTGTTTATCGTGAAACCCAAACTAAGACAGCTAAGCCCTAGGCATATTGAGACAATTAAGACAGTCTGTGGCTTCAAGATGTTCACAATCTAGAAGATGAGAAAAGCAAAACAAATCAGTGATTATAAAAGTGTGAAAATTGTGATGGTAAAGGCATGCATAAGGAATAATGGAATATAGAAGAGAATCACAGAAGACTCACGGAGGGTGTAGGTGGGTGGTCAGAGAGAGCTTGCAAGAAGAGGCAAGATGTGTTAATTGCTTATTTCAATAAGAATCATGCTGTAAAACAGTTTAGTATTTGTAGAATAACTGAACTACTAAATAATTCGTGTATCTATACAGTTACAGAAACACTAAAAAAATAAAATTTTCACTGTCAGAAATTTACATCCTTAATAGTTTGTAGTCTGAGAAAATACTTCTAGGAGGTATGTGTGTTGGTGTATGTCATTCCTGGGTACCTGGGTTTCTATATGAGCATCTCCCCACACACAGTCTGCGCCTGCAGTCAGGAGTGAAGGTACACGGATGTTCATACTCTGAAAGCCTTTTGTATGTGTGCCTTTCCCAGTGCACTGCTGGTATTGGTTTATATGTTGTTCCCCAATCCCATCACATGTCTTTTGTTATGCTACCCATTTTTTTCCTTTGCTGACATAAAAATAATATTAATACAATATTGTTTATTTATTTGTGCTTACTGTTTCTAGATATGCTACTAGACTCTACACTCCACAAGGGCAGAGAGCTGTCAGTTTTGTTCACCATTATATACCCAGTACAGTGGTGCCTGGCATGCCGTGGGCATCAGTAAAAGTATTGAACGAATGTATTGTTGAATTATTGAAAGACTATGAGCTCTTTGTAGAGAAAGATAAGGCCTCAAGAATCATTGTATCACTCGTCCACAGCACATGGCCTGCACGTGGTAAACACCTTTGGAAGTTTATCAAATCATTTTATTTTAAATTCCAGTGATCAAGAATATTGTCAGTGACAGAAAGGACTTAGTGCAGAATTTTAGCGCCCTTGCCATTTTTCTTATTTTCTTGGTTGCCACTTTTCCTCAAATAGAAGATCCTTTCCCTAATCACAGTGATCATCACAGAGCTTCTATGTCAATCACTCTTCTTGTTTCTTTGGCTGTCTTGGGAGAATCCCAGAAGCTCTTTCAGTCACGTCATCAGAGCTTCAGAAGGGGGTTGGGACCAGAAGCCAAGTTGATGTGGACTAAAGCAGCCCCTGCCAGTGTCATGACCCAAATGAGAGCCTGGCCAGACTGCCCAGGGCTAGCTTCTCCATTCCTCTCACAAGTCCAGTTTTGACAGGTTGTCAGATTACTTTCAAAAAGGAGATAATCTTTCTCCAAAGGGTCAGTTGCTAAATATCCAAAAGAGAAGCCATACAAGCAGGATGGTTCCCAGATTTCCTGGAAGCCGCATACCCTGTGTCCACACCTGCTTTAACTCGGGTCCTCTCGTGGCAGGACTCCCACTGGAATAGAAGCTTTCTGAGAGGTTCTGATCGCCCTTAAGAAGCTCTGTGTGGCTGGAGGATCGAAAACTTTGGGCACAAGCTGGAAGGTCATTTACTGCAAACCACTATCTCCCAGCTAATCTGTAAGTAAACTCTCTAAGAATAGTCATGGCTTTGGTGATAAAGATTTTTGACATTTTATTTTAAGCCTATCCTGATGGTAAAATAATAATGATAACACCAACAATAATAATAATAATTACTATTTATTAAGCTCTATGTGCATTATCTCAATTCACAAAACATCCCCATGAGATAGGTACTATTGTTATTTGTATTCTACAAGTGAAAAAATGAAAGCTTAATTAGATCAAGTAACTTTTCCAAGCCACATGGCTAGAAAGTAGTGCATCCAGGATTTAAAGCCGAACACTCAATTCCAGAGTCCGTTGTTCTTGGGCCTACAAAAAGGACATGAAAGGGCAAAAATCCTCTGAAGATTAGAAAGCCATACCCTTCTACAGTTTGAGTCTCTAAAGGACAGAGCTTCACACAGGAGCCTCTTTGCTAACAGGTTTTATATGATGGATGAAGGATGTAACACTGCAAAGGTAGATGAGGAAGTAAAATCCTAACTGCTCATTGCTTATAAGGAAATCTATTAATGTATTTTATAACCTGATGGTAGATGAATGCAACACCCACACAGAGTAGAAACTGGAAGTCCAGTCTCTTGATAGTGGGTCATTCTTAGGGCTTCAAGTGGCAAAACTAATATTCCAAAATGTCTACCAGGGTCAGAATAAGTAACATCTTGTTCTTTACTTATATCAGTCACGTTAGACTATATTGTGCTGCAATAATGAATAAACCCCAAATCTCAGTAGCTTAAAACACTAAAGCTTCATTTCTTACTCATGCTGCCTGTTTGTCTTAGGGCTTCTGCTCCTGATTTTCTCACTCAGATTTGGACTGATGGAGCCTCCCTCACCTGGAATGTTGATGTTTGCTATATAGGGAAGAAAACTTGGCAAATCGCTCACTGGTTCTTCAAGGCTCCTGCCTGCAAGTGATACCTGTTACTTTTGTTCACAATTCATTTTTTAAAGCAAATCACATAGCCCCAATTAACTTTAATTGCCAGGGTGTGGGGGTAGAATTTGCTGAGAATGAGAAGAAATTGAAATATTGGTAAACATCTTGAATGTCTCCCACATCAAATCCTTAAATCATACTCAACATGCTTAACTAAGACCAGATAAAATTGTTCAGTTAAAATAAATCATGATTATTTCAAGCAGGTGTTCCCTTAATATACCACAGGTTTTACTCTAGCCATTGTTTTTCTGTTGATCATAGAGAATATGATCAACATATTCTCTTTATAGCCATGAGCTTTTGAGAGAAGTGAGTGGTCTTATTTGTCTTTGGCTACTCCAAACCTGGTACAGTGCTAGGAGCATGAATATTAGTCTTCCTGGGCTGTCATAACAAAATACCATACACTGGATGGCTTAAACAACAGAAATTTATGTTTCCACAGTTCTAGAGGTTAATAGCCCAACATCAAGGTGCCTATAAGGTCAGTTTTGGGTGAGGGCTTTCTTCCTGGCTTGCAGATGGCCACCTTCTTGCTGTGTCTTCACATGGCTTTTCCTCAGTGCCTGTGCACAGAGAGAAAGTGTGTATGAGCTCTCTGGTGGCTCTTCTTAAAAGGACACTAATTCTGTTGGATGAGGGCCCCACCCTTATAGCCTCATTTAACTTTAATTATTTCCTTACTCCAAACAGAGCCACACAAAGGTTAGGACTTCAATGTAGCAATTGAGAGGAGGCAGGGAAGGACATAAGCATTCAGTCCATAACAGCATGGTAGGCTTCAGTGTTTTCTGAATGAATGGATGAATGAATGATTCCACTTAACCAATAGTCTTCCTTTAGCATCTAGTCACTGGGCATTTGTCCTTTTTTTCATCTTCCTTTTCCCATGGGTGAGGCTGTCTTGCACCCCTTCTCCAGTTGTAAGGCCCATGCATCCTTTAGCATCCAGCTAACACAATGCTGTCTTGGGGAAACCCTTTCTTATCTACATGCTCTCCTGCACCCTCCAAAGCCTGAACTAGTTGCTCCCTCTTCTCTTCTGGAACACTGGATTCCTCCCTCCGTTAGTGTACTGATCACAAATAAGTATAATTTTTTACACACTAGACCATCTCCCACACTGTTCTGTGAGCCCCTAAAGAGCAGAGACTGGTAGTTGTGCAGTAGCTGGCACCAGCATGGGGCCTGACTCATCTGGGTGTTCAAAATGCTGAGATAAAATAAATAAATGGATTAATAGGTCTTCAGGATTGTATCTCTTTTTGACATGTTAGTCTTCTGTGTATGTGCATGTGTGTGTGCTCCTATATTTGATATTCAGTTCACCTATAAGACTGGGGCTGTCAGTAACAGCAGGAGGATCGGAACACTCATTATGCTTGTCATTAAAGCACATTCAAACTCAAAACATGGAGGCAGTCGGTCTTGTTCCCTCATCTTTGCTTGATTCATTCTCAGCTAAGATGCCCATCTGGCACCTGCAGGCTTGATGTTGTCTCTTCAGAATCTGAGCAGTCCTCCAGGTTGGCAGGAAACACACCTATTCAACACTGTATCTCCAGAGCTTGGCATGAGACTTGGCACACAGTAAGTGATTACTAAAGATTTGTTGAATGACTGAATTAACCTACCAAATCCCTACAAATATATATCTCCAAGCATCATTTTAAAAGACTCTAAGGCTTTAAAGAGGAGGCGATCATACTTTAAAGAGGAAGCATCATAGAAGCCTTGACTTGGAAGATACTCATGTCACCTATGATTGGCCCTGATTCTAAACTATGCTATTTCAAAATCTTTGAGACAATATGGTTATTTCTAACTCAAGAAGATCTCTGGGAATGGAGAGCCTGCAGTAGCATCGTTGGCATGAACTCAGGCTTTGGAGCGAGAGAGACCTGGGTTTGACTCTCTCACTAGCTGGGTGATCCCGAATAGGACACAATTCTCTGAGCCTCAATTTCCTCATTTTCAAATTTCATAGTTGTAGCGATAAAATAATGTAAAATAAAACTACTCAGTTAAAAAAAACTATTCTTATTAGTTAATTGCTTTACCCTTAGGTAGAACTAATCTTAATAGTCCTTCCATATTCACTTTTAAAATTCAATAACTATTTATTTATTTATTGAGGGTCTACTCTATGCCACAAAAATATATTCTAGGGAAAAAGGTGTTTTGTTTTGTTTTATTTTTAATAGCAGAGACTGAGAATGTCTTTGGTCAGTACGGATCTCATAGAATCCCTGAAGTACTTCACAACATCTTGTCTATGCACCTCCTAATAAAATGAAAACTCCTTCCTTCTTGGCTACCATAGAAATCTTGGTCCCATCTCCCCTGTCTATGATTCTTTTCCGTTCCCCTGTTATCTTGTGCATCCATCTTCTCATTCACCTCATTTATTCATTCATCAAACTTACTGAGAATCTACAATATGCCAGTACTGGGTGAGGTTCTAGGAATGCACGTTCAAATAGGATCCTTTGTGCCCTCAAGGGGCCACAGACTAGAGAGGATAAAAGGTAAGGCAACCATTATGATACAGTGCAACAAGTATCAAAAAGAAGGCAGGTGGAGGATACATTGGGAATACAGAAGAGTATCATCAAAGTGAAGCCCAGGTGGAAAGTGGAGGAGACGGCGGGAATGTCCAAGAGGACTTTTCTAGGAAGGAATGTCTAAATACACTGACTTCTGAAGGGTGAGTATGGTTTTGGCAGGCAAAGAAAGATGCTCTCGGTAGACAGGCAAGATGAAGAGCCAAAGATGACAAGTATGTTATTTTCAGTTGACTCATATAAAATCACTGATATTCAGCTGGTTTTGACCTATACAAATGGTAATTTTTCATATAGCCCTCCCAAATAGGTCAGTCTGGCTAGAGTATATGTATGCAGAGTGTGTGGTGTGCACATGTTGGTGAATGTACTCAGATGGCCACGGGTATTGAGGATGGGGAGGGAGGAGGGAAATAAATAAGGCTGGAGAAGCAGACAGAGATTCAATATAGAGCTCTCTGGTGCTCTATATACTTGTCCACGTTAGCGTATCCTTATTTAACTTCCAGCTCTTTGAGGTCTTGGTCTGGGTCTGCATCTATTGTAGAGCAGGCTCACAGTTCTGTGAAAGGAATGCATGTGTGGCTGGGGACGTGGTGTGGCCTCACCTCTGCCCAGGTGTGCAGAAGGAAGGACCGAGCAACTCTCTATCGCAGCAGAAACTCAGTCAACACCTACTGGTGGTGTGGAATGAAATTGTAGGGTTCTAGACCAATATAAAGCATGTGTGCAGGTATCCGGGCTCAATACGGGACGCAGGAGCCCGGGAAGAAGGCGGGGTAGCCATGGCAGCGGCTTTTCCTATCTGCTTCTGCAAAATCAGCTAATTCCCTCGCCTCCATCAGCGGGCCCTTGGCAGAGGCCGCGCGGGCTGGTAGCGCGGTCCTGGCAGCCGCAGTGTGGAGGTGAACCCCATGGCCTCTTCAGTCTATTTAGCAGGCTCTGAGATGTGTAAGTACATTATCTGCAAGGCTGGTAAAGAGCGCTTGGGGAGGATTTGTGGGTCTGTGGGAAGGACAAAGAAAAATGTTTTCTAATAAATTATTCACCATCTCACAATCCCTTTTGGGCAGATTGTTGCTCCGTTTGCCCTGGCTGCTCAGCGCCTCTTCCCTCGGCATTCAGATGCGCGGTTTCTCACCTCCAGAGAGCAGCAGAGATCTCGGGCAGGCTGCTGCGGCTAATGGTGGCAATTAATAACTTGTCATAATCCCGAGGATGAAAGGGAAGGCGCCCCATCAGCAGGCGGGTCATGGCACTGCTCAGAAGCAAATGAGGTGCAGGTGTGGCCTCCGCTAAGCGCTGTGCTTGCCACCCGGTGCGCCGCGGTGCCAAGCCCAAGACCCGGAGCGCCAGCGGCCCGGCTCCGCTCCCAGGGTGCGCACGGCCGGGCCTGGCCCCCTCCACGTTCGCCCGGCTAAAGGGGCGTCCCAGGAACGCGGCCGTAAATCAGAGCACACGGCACAGAACCTTCCAAACACTTAATTGCACTCTGTGAACATAGTTAACTCTGGCAGGCCCACTTCGCTTGGCTTTGTTTTTGTTTTTTTCCCCAGATGTGGTAAGAATTGCACACCTCAAATCTACCCCCTCCCCCACTCTTCCGCGTTATCCCCCTTTAGAAGAGAACGTGGTTAAGGAAGCAGCCAGTGTGCTGCGCCTGAGTTGGTCGGCTCTCAGTTCCCTGGTGGACTGGAGGACACAAAATCCTCGTTAGGGTTTTGTGAAACAGCCCAACAAGAGTCACTGATTTCCAGACAGCTCCAACCCAGTTGCCTTTTCTCTGGTTTCCATTCCTGTGGGTCAGTTCTGCTTGAAATGAACCAAGTTTACAAATCTCTTCTGGTTTGTACACTCCTATTATGCATACGAGGTGATGCATTTGTAACTGTCACACAAGTCAGGGTGATACAGCACTCTCATCTGACCCTATTCATTTAAATGGGTGCGTCTTGATGACATTGATTCATGTTATAAGTTATATCCATGCATTATAATCTTTATGTGTCACCTTACTGGTTATTTCTACTACAATGCAAGTGGGGTGGGGGAGACACAGCAAATGATGGTGTGAAGGATTTGAGAGTGCTTTGAGCAATATGAAGTCCATATAAACTCCAAAGCTTCCTAGATAAGTTTATTATGTGTCTGTATCTTGAGAGAGGGAAATTTACATGCAGAACGGTCCTGGGCAAGGTGTCTTTTGCTGTAAATATTCTGCTGACTAACTTATGAATATTTGGAGAATGTGTGCTTCAAATGCATATTGCACCAAACTAAAGGGGTAAGTAAACATGATTATGCATGCATGTAAGTCTTTATCAAGGTGCGGTTAATAATGTTTTAAAGCAGAACTATTTCTCATGAAAATAGCTGCTCTTAATAGCCTCTGTCTCTTTATTGTGCTTCTTACTGAAACATAAATCACTAATATGTTTTCAGCGGCAAAGTACTCTCTTTTTCCATTGTATTCACAGATTTAGTGGCATTTCAAATAGATAAACACAAGCAACATCTATCAACACTACAAAAAGGGCGCCTTAATCAAAGCTCCGGGTCCCGGGTCTCAGCATCTCCATTTACCTTGAGATAAATCCATTGGTGTGACCACCACTGCACCGGGTGACAAATCACCCCAGCCGGCCGAGCAGCGCAAGGGCTTATTGGCCTTCCTTTAAGTGGTCTTACCCTTCAATGAAAAGGATGGGGCTTGTCAAGCAGGACCAGATTAAAGTTAGACAAAAAGAAATGATCTGTTATTAGAAAACTCCGATTGAGAATCACAAAACAGGAAAGAAATATGAATAAAAATTTCCAGGGGGAAGACCATCTGATCCCAACAGAAATTAACTCCCATTATGAGCACAAGGTAATAGATGGCCTGCAGTTGGAACTAATGAGGATTTTAGATTAAGGAGGTGTGGGGCTCGGCTGGGGGTGTTAGCAGCTGCTCTGGGTATTCAAGTGAAAAGTTCAGAAATGGCCTGGGTTCCTGGCTTCCTGGACTGGGTGGTGGTGTTCAGGTGGGGCATGGAAATTACAAGCTCTTAGAAGCGAGGACTCACTCACGAAGGCTTGGATACTTCACAGAATGTTAACACTGGCAGGACCCTCTGGGGACAGGCTGATCTCCCCTTGTTTGAGAGAAGGGGACACTGAAGGCCAAATGAGGAGAGTGGCTTGCCCAGAGTCACTAATGGTAGGGCTGAAGTCAGAACTGAGACAATCTGTCTGCTTCCAGTTCATTATGACTCCATTATTTGCCCTAATCCTTGGAGATGATGTTGTTCTGCCCATGAATCTAAGGATCTCGATTATCTTCCAGTTAACTGGAAAGTGAGCAAGAGAGAATGGAGTCCCATGGTTAGTCAGTCTTCTTTGCATAGTCTTGAGTTAAAGCCTGCTGCTTATACAGACAACAGTATCTCATGCTTGTAGGTTCTTACTCTGTGCCAGGCATTGGCTCTGCATTCTCATTTAATCCACAGATAGCTACCGTCATCCTCATCCCCTTTTTACTGACAGAGATACTGATACTTAAAGAACTTAAGCAACCTGCCCAAGATTGAATAATAAATGGGAGAGCTTGTTTTTGTACCCAACCAGTCTATCCTGAGAGCTTATGCTCATAAACACTGGCTATATTGTTAGGCAAAGACCTGTGTTTCTTGTGAGAAATCTTGTGCAAACAAATAAAATGTAATAAGCAAAATATACATGATAACATATACACATAAGGGAGTGAAAAGTTGGATGCTAAGGGAAAAGCATGAGATTTCACTATCCAGATCCCTGATATAAATAAATAAAATATTCTGATTCCCTCCCAAGGAAAGGATTAGAAAACCAGACTACTAAGGGTTAGATGTGCAATTCCATGATTTTAAAAAAAAATGTATAGGCTATAGGAAGATACATAGCATGAGTATCATAAGAAAGATAGTACAGCATAGTACAGAGTGTGTTTAGAAGTCTATGGCCCTGGGTTCCAATACCAACTCTGTCGTTTCTAGCCCAAGCAATTTCCTCTCTTTCTCATTTTAGTTTCTTGTATATCTGAATCTTGAGCAAGTTACATAACTGATCCATGCCTCAGTTTCCTCATTTGCTAACCAAGGAAATAACTTCCCCCTCACAGGTTGATTATGAGGATTAAAAGAGATGATGAATGTCAAGGACTTAGCAGAGTTCCTAAAGGACCGTAAGCACTTGGCGGGCCCCCAGTCTCGGAGAGCTGAGAGGAACTCTCTGAAACAGCCCCACCTTGTTCCTTGTGCAGGATCATAGGAAGGGCTGACCTCAGTGAGGATGCTGATCTCAGAGATGCTGAATGGAGTGGCCTTGTCCATACTCTGCCCAATGTCTAGTGAACACATAGAAATGCAGTTAAAGCTGGGTGTGGTGGCTCATACCTGTAATCCTAGTACTTAGGGAGGCCAAGGTGGAGGGATCACTTGAGCCCAGGAGTTCAAGACCAGCTTATTCAATACAGTGAGACCCCATCTCTAAAAAAATTTAAAAATTGGCTGGACATGGTGGTGTATGCCTGTGATCCCAGCTCTTGGGGGACTGTGGTAGGAGGATCGCTTGAGCCCGGGAGGTTGAGGCTGCAGTGAGCCGTGCTTGTGCCACTGCACTCCAGCCTGGGTGACAGAGTGAGACCCTGTCTCAAAAAAACAGAAAAAAGAAAAAGCAGTGAAACTCCTGGGTGTTGAAACCTCCAGAAAGATAAACACTCAGATACTTAGAGATTGCCAAGTTTTTCACTGACTTATTTCAGGCCTCATGTTTGGTGGATATGGACAGAGATTCTTAAATCTGAAAGAAGGTGCACGAGAAAAAGAAATCATAGAGACACAGCTAAGGAAATTAAAAAATTTAAAAAAAGAATCTCATCTCCATATTTGAGAAAGCCAAACCAATATTTGCCTATCCAGTGAGTTAATAGGTTCTTTGGATATAGTGATACAATGAGATGCCACATGTATCAGCTGAGTCTATTGTATTTCCCTGGGGGCCAAATTTGAGAAAACAAGTTTGAAGCCAAAGTTGGCCATTGCTATATTTGGTCTGTAAGCATATTCTATAGTTATGATGGCATTTATGGAGGCTATTGTGTCAAGAGCTTGTTTTTTCTAATTATTTATGCAAAGAATCAATCTGGGTAAAAGAATGTTTTACATTCATTCTAACCTCAGAAATTTGTAGCTAATAACATCAGGGGAAGCATTCTATGCCAATTACTAATGCTTCCATTTATCAACACAACAGTAAGTGCATATTCTCTGTGTTTAACTGTATAACTCAATCAAGCTTAAAAGGAAAAATATATGAAACATTTCTAAGGTCTAAAATGGCTCAAGCATGTATTATGTTTTATTTTTATTTAAAGGCACTAGAATTGCAAGGCAATGGTGATAGATAATTACAGGCATGAGTTGATATATTTTGCATTTGTGTTTGTGTCTAAATACCTACTGCCTTCTTGATAAACTTCAATTAATATGCTTTCAAGTACTCCAAATGTAATTTTCTGATTAAACACAGACACAAGACACCACCAACTCATTAATTTTACATAGATTGAATGTTAGTGTTTGTTATGCAGTTTAATGTGAGAAGGAGGACATCCAAGAGTCATTTTGTATTTAATATGAACAGATATATATTTTTGATTCAGACTAAGCCAAATCCCCAGGACATAAACAAGGTGGTGACTGAACTCTATGACTTCAGAATTTGCACATTTAATGGGAAACAATTTCAAAGCCTTTGCCGGATTGGAAAGGCGGTTCCATTCTGCTTTTTCCGCAGAGCAAAATCTTTCTGAGAACAATGCTTATTATTGATAGGTTTAAAGCCCCTCAGGTGCTTGCCCATTGTGTGTATTGCTGTCACTCTGTCTTCTGAGCAGTGGGGAAGCAGTGATGGATAACATGGAGAATAATTCATGATTCCTGATTGAATGCAAAGCTATAATTCAGTCTTGGGGTTCTGCTGACGTCACAGTGCATGAGAACACAGCTCAAAGAAATAATTTTTAAAACCTAGGTAATCCTTGTCCTCAGGTTTGGAGGCAGTGGATCCGGACACACACGCCAGTCTTCCCTGAGTGGGTTTCAAGGAGAAAAGCACCAGAGGGAATAATCTCCTAGGTTAAGGTCTCCTGTGCCCCTAGGTAAGCAACTAGAGAAACTAGCGCAGAGCCTGCTGCTGGCTCCTGCTCAGTTTGCTCCTTGCTTCATTTTGTGGCAGGCAAGTAAAACCCTGAGATGTGGAAAATAGAACCCTCTCCTATCAGCCCCTCAAGATGTCCTCCAATCCAACGTGTCTAAAATTGCTCTGGTGAAAAATACTGCCCGAAGCCCTGTTAAAAATATAGCTCCCCAAGATTCTCATCCCTCGAGATTCAGATTCAGTGGGTCTGGAGTAGGGCCTGAGAATATATATATTCAATGAGTAATCCACGTTGATTCATTAGGAGAGTTTACAGACACCATGATTCATCTCTCTTGGTGTCTCAACTCAGAATTTCTTCTGCACTACCCATTGGATACAATATTCACTATTCAGGTGACAAGCACATTAGAAGCCAAACTTCACTATTACGCAATCCATCCATGTAACAAACCTGCACCCGTACCCCTTGAATCTATAAAAATTTTTTTAAAAATTAAAAAGAATTTCTTCTGCACTTGCCGGCTGCTTGATGCAATTTAGAAATCGATATAATATTGGTTTATGTTGCCCCTCAGCAACACAATAATGAGAATATTTTTGCAAAGGATTTAACACAGAGTAAGTCTCAGTAAATAAAAATTTCTCACCATCTTTTTTTTTTAGTTGCCTCATCTATCAGAAACTTCTCCTCCCAACATAAATACTAACAACTCAATAGCCAACACCAGGCTGCATATTTCCTCTGCAGGCCCTGAAATATTAAAGTAAGTATTTAAAATGATACATTGACTGAAACTGGCAGAGGTGGAATGTCCTGAGACCTGCAGATCTTTTTCCGTTCATGCTTCATCTACATCTGATGATATAGAAAAGAGTTATTCTCTTTTCAGGCTTACCCCACCCGGGGGAGACCTCCTATAATCCATTGAGCCTTCCAAAAAGAGAGAGGGAGAGGGAGAGAAAGGGGGAAGGGGAGGAGAAAGGGGGAAAGGGAAAGGGGTTGGGGAAGGGGATGAGGCTTAATATGTACTAGCCTCTCTTCTCAGACTTTTAAACATAGTAACTCATTTAATCTTCCCAATATCTTCAAACCCAAATTCCATTTTACAGGATGAAGAAACCAAAGTGCAGAGAAGTTTCAAAATTTGCCTAAGGACATAGCTAATGAATAGCAGGGCTAGGATTATGAACCGAGATATTCTGGGTCCACAGTCCCTGCCTGTAACCACTATTCAACTCTGCCTTTACTAGGAACATGGCAAGTTACTCATAGAATCCTAAAACTGTTACAGCTCCTTGAACATCATCTAAACTAATTTTACAAATAAAAAGACTGAGGCCAGAGAGAGGAAGTGATTGGCTGAAAGTAACCCAGCAGGATGGCTCTCCAACCCCAGATCCTGACTTCACCCACCTCTGCGTGAGCATGTTAGGGTCTGGAGCATCTCTGCTGGAGACTGGTCCTGCCTAGTGCAGGCCCCCTCTTGAAAATACACAGAATTCTGGATGTTGCATACATGGGAAATTGTGAACATGGAGCTCAGAGCTCAGCTTGCAAGAAAGAAGGGGATGTCCCAATGCCAGATACAGAGATAGTTGGAAATATGAGTGGGAAACTCCCAAGCAGATGCCAGGATAGCTGCAGGTAGGTATGAGGCCCAGATGGGGGCTCAAGGGGTAGGGGCTAGAATTAGTGTGGATGTTACTCTGTAATAGAGTATACAGCTGCAAATTCAAAAGATACAAACAGTATTGTTTCGTAGCAGTACCTATAGAGCTGTCTCATTCCTTTTAGTTACATAGTATTCCATTTTATGGATGTACCAACATTTAACCAGTCCCCTATTTGTGGAAGGCAGGTCGTTTGCATGTATGTTATTTCTCTTTCTATGATCTGTATCTATGGTATAAATTTTCAGAAGCTGAATTACTGGGTCAAAGGATAATGCATTTAAAATTTTGATCAATAAGGTTGTACTAATTCACATTCCCTCCAACAACCTTTGAAAGTGATTGTTTCCCACGTTCTGAACAAGCCAATGTTTTATCCAAATTTTTGTCTTTTTGCCAATCTCAAATATCTTTTTCATTTGTTGTTGTTGTTGTTGTTGTTTTTTGAGATGGAGTCTCGCCCTGTCACCCAGGCTGGAGTGCAATGGCACGATCTTGACCCACTGCAAGCTCCACCTCCCAGGTTCAAACAATTCTCCTGCCTCAGCCTCCCGAGTAGCTGGGACTACAGGCGTCTGCCACCACACCCAGCTAATTTTTGTATTTTTAGTAGAGATGGGGTTTCACCACGTTGGCCAGGCTGGTCTCGAACTCCTGATCTCGTGATCCGCACCCCTCCCCCCAGCCTCCCAGAATTGTATTTCTTTTATTACAAGGAGGTTGGATACTTTTTATTTATTTAAGAGCTTTTCATTTTCCCCTTTGTTTAAATTGGCTATCTCATTTGCTCATTTTACTATTGACTCTTTTGGTTTCTTTTTACACTATTGCTGAAGCACTTTATATATTAAATAAATTAGCCCCTTGATTGCAGCATGTAAGGCAAGAATGTTTGCCCAGTTTATTTCGTTTTTGACTTTGCTCAAAGTGTCTTTTTCTACAAATAACTTTTTTAAAGTTTTTGTGAGTTTAAATATGCCAACATTTTCTTGTCTGGCTTCTGAATTTTATGTCATACTTAAAGAATCCTTTCCACTGCAAGATTATATGGAAATAAATTCTCTCACGTTTATTCCACAGCTTTTGTGAATCACTAAAAACAGTCTTCGAGTTATCTGGAATTTATTTTAGTGCAAGATGTACAATGAATCATACTCATTTTTGAAAACCAATTGCCCCAACACCATTTGTTAAACTATCTGGAACCCATGTATATTACTCTACTAATGATGTACTCAAAAACTGGAAAAATGGTGACCACTATTAGTCGCTCCTAATTAGGTAAATCTTAAAAGAGAGAAAGAGGGAGGTGGGGCAGGGAGGGAAGGAGAGAGAAAGGGAGAGAAAGAAAGAGAAAAACAGAGATTTGGCCAGGGATCCAAATTTAGATTAGAAAATTGGAATAAAGGATACAATAAGCTTGCAATGAATTGATCCTGATTGACTTTTTCCTTTGACAATTAGATTCTACATCACCATGGTGATTCTGCTTTTCCGAGGAAAAGACAAAGAAAATCTGTTTGGTAGGTCTGGGATAAGATAATATTTTCATATATTAGCTGTATTTTTTTTTAGCTATTTCATTATTTTCCGTGATACCTCTTCCTCATCCAACCAGATTGTTAAGTAAGGTTGGCTGCAGAAGAAAAGAGGAAAAAAGGTTTTTTTAACTTGTGGTAAAATATTCATAACATAAAATTTACCATTTTACCCATTTTTAAGTGTACAGCTCTATGGCATTAAGTACTTTCACATTGTTGTGCAAAAGTTCTCCAGAACATGCTCATCTTCCCAAACCAAAACTGTGTAACCATTAAAGATGAACTCCCCATTCCCTTCCCCAACTGGCAGCCGCCATTCTACTGTCTGTCTTATGCATTTGACCACTCTAGGTACTTCGTGGAAGTGGAATCATATAATATTTGTCCTTTTATATGTGGCTCATTTAACTTAGCATAATGTTTTCAAGAGTCATCTATGTTGTAGCATCTGTCAGAGTTTTCTTCCTTTTTAAAGCTAAATAAATCCACTGTATGTATGGACCATATTTCGTTGTTCCATTCAGCCATCAATGAACATTTGATTTGCTTCTACCTTTTGGCTCTTGTGAATAATGCTATTGTGAACATGGGTGTACAAATAGCTGTTTGAGTCCTTGTGTTCACTTCTTCTGGGTATATGCCCAGAAGTGGAATTGCTGGACTATATGGTATAATTTTTTAAGGAATCACCATAGTAGCTTTTTGTTTGTTTGCTCGTTTTTTGAGATGGAATCTCACTCTGTCACCCAGGCTGGAGTGCAATGGTGCAATCTTGGCTCACTACAACCTACACCTCCTGGGTTCAAGCGATTCTCCTGCCTCAGCCTCCCAAGTTGCTGGGACTACAGGCATGTACCAACACACCTGGCTAATTTTTGTATTTTAGTAGAGAGGGGGTTTCGCCATGTTGCCCAGGCTGGTCTTGAACTCCTGGCCCTAAGTGATCCGCCCGCCTTGTCCTCCCAAAGTGCTGGGATTACCAGCATGAGCCACCGCGCCTGGCCAGGAATCACCATACTAGTTTTCACAGTGCTTGTAACATTTTACATTCCCACCAACAACGCACAAGCATTCCAATTTCTCCACATTATTGCCAGCACTTCTTATTTTCTGTTTTTGTTTTGTTGCTGCTGTTGTTTGGGATAATAGCCATCCTGAGATATGTGACATGACATCTCATTGTGGTTTTGATTTGTATTTTCCTCATTACTAGGGGTGCTAAGCATCTTTTCATGTATTTATTGGCCACCTATATATCTTCTCTGGAGGAAAAAAGTTGTTTGAATTTCAAAAGTTTAGTCTTTGGAGTAGCAAAATTCTTAGGGGTTGCAAAAGAGGGGTTGTGATAAAGGTAATTAGAATAAGCTGAGTTAGGCAAACTGGATGGACTAGAGGAGAGAGATTCCATGGTCAGGCAAGAGCATTCAACAAGGATGTGTGCCCTAGAGAATGGGCCTCTGCCCTGCCACCCACCTCCCCAAGGCAGAAACTCTGGAGGGAGGGGGAATGGAAACCCCAGATAGGTTTGGGGGGAATTCAAAAGCAGAGATAACCTGTGCTCAATTTGCCAGTAGTGGAGAGTTCAGACCTCAGATGACATGAAACAGTAGGTAGACTCAGCTGAATGGGCATCTGGCAGATAGATGGGAGATAACTACATAGAGGGCGCTACAAGAGAGCAGCAAAATGCCCTCTTCCTGCTCTGAGAAACAGTGGTCCTGCAGGAGGACCCTGCAGTGATCTGGATGGGTAGATGACCCGACAAGCGATGACATTTCAGTGAATGCTAGTATAGATAGGTGACTACCGAGAATATGACAGTCCCCTCTCCAGCTGCAGGGCCTTACTCCTACATAAACCCCTGGAACAAGAATGCAACCTCAAGGAAACACGAAGAGGAATTCTGTACTGTCCAAGATTAAGAGTTTGACCCCTGACAGATGGAGGATTGTAACAGAAATATACCTTATTAATGAAAACATAAAGGATCTATCATGCATGTTTGAGTTTGAAGGCTATGAGTCATATCTCCTAGAGGTCAAGTACAGAAGTCATTGCCACAGGCTGGAGAAGCAATTGGACTCTATGTCCAAGAGAGGAATAAGAGAATAGACACCAATGAAGTGGCTCACGGAGTAGCAAAAGTGGGTTAATAATGAAGATATTATTCCCCCATTTTAAAGTACTTTTAAGTTTCAAGGCGCCTTTGATTTGTTACCTGATTTGGTTGTCAACCTTGTGAGATGATAGAAAGAAGCAGGTTTTATTATCATCCCTATTTTACAAACGAAGACACTGAAGCAGGTTTTCTGTCTTGACACTACTGACATTTGGGGCCTAACAATTGTTTGTCAGGGGACCTGTCCTGTGCATTATGGGATGTTGGGCAGCATCCTTGGCCTCTACCCACTAGATACCAGTAGCACCCCCCAGTGGTGACAACAAAAATGTCTCTAGACATGACCAAATACCACACCTCGTATCCTGCATCCACCTACCTCCCCAAGTAGGGAACCACTGAACAAGAACAAGGATCAGGACTTGACCCCAGTATCCTGACTCCTAGTTCAGAGTGCATGGGAGAAATTCAGCGCCCCTTCCCCACCCCCAGGTCCAACCTGCCATTGCACCAACGTGCCCAAAACCACGTTAAAATGGTCTCCTAACATTTTATTGCTGAAAGGGACTAAGATTCATCCCTGCCTTTTCAATTTACATGTGAAAACACTGAGCTTCAGAAAGTTTCAGTTATTTGTTGAAGAACATGAAGCTGGTGTCGGAGGACGCTGGTACTTAAACCTGGGTATCCTATCTCGAATTCAGGGTTTGACATACTATCTCATTGCCGAGAGCCAACATTGGTTCAGAAATGCTCCAGAACAGACTTGGGAAGAAAAGCAGGATATTTCCTGGTTAGCTGTCCCTCTATAAAGGGCTATTTTTAGTAAAATGGGGGGAAATCAGCATTCAGCTCAATTGAAAATACATCTGGCATTAATTCATTGTTAATTGACCAGGATGAGTAAAAAGATGGCTACTTCCAAGGCCTCTCTAATGGAACTATTAGTGAATTTTCAGGTCAACTAACTCCTGTCACTGCCTGACAAGGGAAATGGCAATCATTTGCCAGTGTTAGCAAGGCTCTCACTGCCCTGGAAAATGGGAATCAGTCATCCTGGGCTGTCAGGTTCCCTATCTCCATGTGTAATGCCCCACCCCCCTCCCCTCCACCCCTGAGACCCTTACCTTCCCTTGAATGGCCTCAGGTTTGCCCTAAATGTGAGTAACTTTTGCCAGGTCTAAAGAGCTTTCATTGAAATCTGGAATGGTCCTTCACACAATGCTGTAGTTTGGCAAATACTATTATCACTCCCATTTACTAATGTGGAAACTAAACTCAGGCAGTTGCTTGACTTGTCAAAGTTCTCACAAATGGCAAGTGCCAAGGCAAGGTTTCAAACCTGGGAGTCCAGCAACAAATCCCATGCCATTTCTTCTGGTGGCTTTATTCTGCGCCATCATCTGCCCCTTGTCTCCTCACTTGGCTTGTTTTTCTCTTTTTTAGACAGAGTTTTGCTCTTGTTGCCCAGGCTGGAGTGCAGTGGCATGGTTTCAGCTCACCGCAACCTCCGCCTCCCAGGTTCAAGCGATTCTCCTGCCTCAGCCTCCCAAGTAGCTGGGATTACAGCACCCACCACCATGCCCGGCTAATTTTTGTATTTTTAGTAGAGATGGGGTTTCACCATGTTGGCCAGGCTGGTCTCAATCTCCTGACTTCATGATCCACATGCCTCGGCCTCCCAAAGTGCTGAGATTACAGGCATGAGCCACCACACTGGGCTGCCGCTTCTTTTTCCCTATACATTTTTCCTTCTTTCAAAGGCTAAAAGGCTGGAGAGTTGGGTGTTTGGATAAATGGGAAACCATTTCAATTACTACAACAAACTCAACAAATATTTATTGAGGATCTACTATGTTCCAGGAACTCTGTTAGGTGCTAAAGATGTATGATCCATAAGCTAGAGCCCCAAATCCTCAGTATGGCTTTTAAGGCCCACCATAATTTAGTCCTAACTTACCTTTCTAGCCTCATCTCGAGCCACTGCTTGTCATACAACCTACACTTCAACTGTACTAAAATAATGTTCACTCTTCAAACATGCCATGAGTGCCTACCCTCCCTATCTCTCTTTACATTCTCTTTCTCTCTGCATGTGCTGTTTTCTCTCTCTGGGATGTCCTTCTCCCGCCACTATCTGGTGAACTTCTATTCTTACATCAAGGCCCTTTCAGATGTCACCTCCTCTATAAAAGCTTCCCTGTTTTTCATGGCAAAGCTGGTCAGTTGCACCTCTTTTTTGCTATGATTATTTATTTATACTTCTATTATAAGGTGTTCAGACTGTATTGTAATTATTTATATCCATGTCTGAATCACATGCATTGTGATGGTTACTTTTATATGTCAACTTGACTGGGCTAGGGATACCCAGATAGCTGGTAAAACATGATTTCTGGGTGTGCCTGTGAGGGTGGTCCTGGAAGAGATTAGCATTTGGATTGGTAGACTCACTACATTGCCGTCCCCAATGTGCACGGGCATCATTCAACCCACTGGTAGCCTGAATAGAACAAAAGGTAGAGGAAGCCTGAATCTTCTATCTCTTTGAGCTGGGACGTCTCTCTTCTCCTGCCCTTGGACGTCATCAGCACTCCTGCTTCTCAGTCTTCAGACTCAGATCAGGCCTTATATCATCAGCTCCCCTAGTTTTCAGACCTCTGGACTTGGACTGAATTACACCAATAGCTTTCCTCGTTCTGCAGCTCACAGATGGCAGATTGTAGGATTTCTTGGCCTCCATAATTGAGTGCCAATTCCCCAAATAAATCCCCATACATATATATATGTATAAATATAAGTATAATATTAGTTCTGTTTCTCCAGAGAACCCTAATGCATGCATACTCCTTGAGGATAGGGATCATGGCTTAATCACGTGAGCAGTCCCTAGTCTAGAACATGGAGGCTGGCTGACAAATATTAGTTGGCTTAACCCCAAATCAGAAAGGCAAAAAGACACAGAAATGCTGTAGCCCAATGTTATTTAAAGCCAAAACCAACTTACAACTTATTACTTACCACTAGATACCAGGACTCAAACTTGTTACTGGTTCTTTACGTTTGATTAGTGAGTGCTTCTCCTTTTATTTAGCAAACCCTTTAAAGCAACTGCTTCTGTGATTAGCTTGAGTGGATTCCAGGGAAGAAAAAAGCAACTGATGATAATAACAATCACGTTCATCCTATCACTGCCAACCTTCAGCCAAGTTTCACCGCCAAAGCAAAGCAGGGAATTAAAGTAATTCTTTAGGTACTCCCAATAAACTTGGATTTGATATCACTAATAGCAAATGTTTGGGGGATATTTACACAATAATAAAAGCATTATATAGCAATTCTCAAAGCACTTTTGCAAATACTATTCCTCTCAATAATCATGAAAGGTCAGTATGATTATCCTCACATAACAGATAGGAAAGCTGAGGCTCAGAAATTTGTTCAAACTTACTAAGCTAGTAAGCAGCAGAAACGATATCGAAGATATAGGTCTTCCGACTCCAAATCTCATGTTCTTACCAGTACATCATGCTGTTCTTTGAGGGTATATAATATATTTTGTTTATTCCTGTGTCTTCCACAGCGCCCAGAATAGTGCACATAGTAGAGACTCAATTTTTGTTGAGTGAATGAATTTTTATATACAAGGCTAAAAATTTCTTTTTCTCATCTATGTTTAATTTATTTATCCATTTACTTTTATCCATTTCATTTATATCAAATTTACTGAGTTCCTGCAATTGCCTGACCTTGTGCTCAGCACTACAAATTCAAAGATGAATAAGACACTGTTATCTTTGTGCTTCTGGTGCCTGGCACATAGTGGGTGCTTAACAAATCCTTTTGCATTAATAATTATCTGCGGAAAGCTCAGGATCTAGTAGATGTGACTAAAGTAATATTGAACTGTGTTTTCCTTTTGTTCATCTAATCTTCACATCAATCTGTTATCCATATTTTTATGAATGGGAAATCTGAGGATCAGTTGGATTTAATACCACTGCCAGAGTACTGCTTGGATTTAAACCCAGGTTGCCTATTTTAAATACCAAGTTAATGTGCCTTTTAGAAGCAGCCAGGTTGTCATGGGAGGAGACCAGATCTGGAGTAAGAAAACAGGATGTGAATTCCAACCCGGCCACATACCAGCTGTATGGCCTTGGAAAAGTCAATAATCTCTCTAGGACTTAAGTTCTCCATGAAAAATGAGAATAGTAATACCTACACCAATGACCACACAGGGTTATGGTGAAGACCAAGTGAGTAAGAGCACAAGAAGAACTAAGTCAAGTCGTCAACTCTGGCCTCCTTCTCATGGGGTTGCATCTCACCTGGCCTCCCCTCCTGAATACCAGGACAGTGCCTGCTAACTAACACCTGGATCCATACAACTTAAATCTTCTTAACAATGACTGATTCTGTAAACTTAAGACCTTATAAGGAAAATAACAAAAATCAATAGGTAATTATCCATGACTCATTAGAACATGATAATTATCATTTCATTTACTCAACTTTAGGAAGTGTGTGGGTGTTTGTGAGCGCTTGCACATTCTATGGGTACAGTAGAAAGAGCATGAGTTTGGAGGCCAGATGGAATCTGCCTTTTTTATTTATTTTTACATTAATACAAATTTTTATTTATCATTCAAATGAAATAGTGTACAATTTCCCTCAAACTCCCCATTTCTTCATACTGCCTGCTTATCATTATTGAAACAATTTATCTTCATGTTGCTACCTTCATTTCATGAGCAAACTAGGGAGTAAAGAAGCTGGCCGGGCGCGGTGGCTCACGCCTGTAATCCCAGTACTTTGGGAGGCCGAGGCGGGTGGATCATGAGGTCAGGAGATCGAGACCATCCTGGCTAACAAGGTGAAACCCCGTCTCTACTAAAAATACAAAAAATTAGCCGGGCGCGGTGGCGGGCGCCTGTAGTCCCAGCTACTCGGGAGGCTGAGGCAGGAGAATGGCGTGAACCCGGGAGGCGGAGCTTGCAGTGAGCCGAGATTGCGCCACTGCAGTCCGCAGTCCGGCCTGGGCGACAGAGCGAGACTCCGTCTCAAAAAAAAAAAAAAAGAAAAAGAAAAAAGAAGCTGAACCAACTCCTATCTTTCTAGGATAGATTTGAATTGGTTTCTTCCTATTACTTCTCACTGCTTTTTTCTTTAGTATTTTATTTTAATTTTTGTGCATACATAGTAGGTGTATATATTTACAGGGTACATGAGATGTTTTGATACAGGCCTGTAATGAGAAATAATCACATCCTGTAAAATGGAGTGTCCCTCTCTTCAAGCGTTCATCCTTTGTGTTACAAACAATTTAACTATACTCTTGTAGTTATTTTAAAATGTGCAATTAAATTATTACTAACTACAGTCACCTTGTTTTGCAAACAAATACTGGTCTTATTCAGTCTATCTATTTTTTTGTACCCATTAACCATCCCTACCTCTACCCACCCTCCTCCACAACCCTTCCCAGCCTTTGGTAACCATCCTTTTACTTTCTGACTACATAAGTTCAATTGCTTTGATTTTTAGCTCCCACAAATAAGTGAGAACATGCAGTGTTTGTCTTTCTGTCCCTGGCTTATTTCACTTAACAATCCATCCATGTTGTTGGAAATGATAGGATCTCATTCTTTTTTATGACTGAACGGTACTCCATTGTGTATCTGTACCACATTTTCTTTATCCATTCATCTGTTGATGGACACTTAGGTTGCCTCTACATCTTGACTATTGTGAACAGTGCCGCAACAAACGTGGGAGTGCAGGTATCTCTTCAACGCACTGATTTCCTTTATTCTGGGTATATACTCAGCAGTGGGATTGCTGGATCGTACTGTAGTTCAATTTTTAGTTTTTTGAGAAACCTCCAGACTGTTCTCTATAGTGGTCATACTAATTTAAATTCCTACCAACAGTGTACTAAAGTTCCCTTTTCTTCACATCCTTGCCTGCATTTGTTATTGCCTGTCTTTTGGATAAAAGCCATTTTAACCGGGGTGAGATGATATCTCATTGTAGTTTTGATTTGCATTTCTCTGATGATCAATGATGTTGAGCACTTTTTCATATTGCTGTTTGCCATTTGTATGTCTTCTTTGGAGAAATATCTATTCAAATCTTTTGCCCATTTTTTGACCAGGTCATTAGATGTTTTCCTATAGAGTTGTTTGAGTTCCTTATATAACCTGGTTGTTAATCTCTTGCCAGATGGGTAGTTTAGTTTGCAAATATTTTCTCCCATTTCATGGGTTGTCTCTTCACTTTGTTGATTGTTTCCTTTGCCGTGCAGAGGTTTTTAACTTGATATGGGAACTGCCTTTAAATTCCAGTTCAGTCCCGCATTCATTAGCTGTGCGACTTTGGACACATTATTAAGTCACACTAAACCTTAATTTCCTCATCTGTAAGATTCAGAAAATAGGTTGTTATGAGAGTGAACTAAGACTAAAAGCTTCTTATGACCCTAGCTTATAGAAGTGCTCAGTAAATAGTAGCTTTTGCTATTGTCAATATTACTGTCTACAAATAATATGCATTCTGGTTCTGGTATTGACTGATCTCTCCTCAATAGAACACTATCCTGTCTAGATCCTCTCTTTTGTAATTGTGGTTACATGGTCTCTTCTAATTGCCTTTCTCTGTTTCACATAGGTAAGATTTGAAAATGTTGTCTCCTGGGTGGTGGATCCATACAATTATTTTAGATAACTTTCAAGTTGTCTGAAATTTTCCCAAGTTCAGAGTACAAATTTTTATAAATTATGTCCTGTAATTCTAATTCTTGCAGTACCCAATTTATTATTCTCTGATTTTTGTCAGTAATGGAAAACTAGAGTAAAACACTACTCCAAAAGAATATGACTCATTACCTCAAAGTTGTCACCTCTCAGTTATTTTTTAAGGTCCTGTTAGGCAACCCCCCATGGCAAAAGCATCCTGGGATTTTATTATTTAATGACCACTATTTATGGGCTACTCAATATCATATTAACAATGAAGAGTTATATAAATGTTAGCTATAGTAGGATTTAATGATTTACTAGGTTATGGACAAAAATCGGAAAATGATTTTTTTATAAATCATTATTAAGGTCCAAACTCCAATGAAATTTCAATAGTCTTGTTCACAGATAATATAGAAAAGAAGAACCTCCAAGATATGCATTCCATCTTCCCATGATTATGAGGATAATCTTTCTTTAATCATGCCTTCTTACTACTCAAAAACATTCAGCTATATTCCATTGCCTTGGGATTAGGCAAACTCATTATTCTGGAAGGGCTTTCACAATTTTTCCCAGTATTCCTTCCCAACCCCATTTCCTGCTACCCATTTTTCTCTTCCTTGCCCCACCCCATGTGACCCTTTTGATCCAACAGATGCTGCAGTGACTATTCATAAATTACCCCATGCACATTCCTGCTTCCTTGCCCTTGATTAAGCCATTCCTCTCTACCCTGCATCTTTCCAACTCTAGGCCTTCTTCACAAGCCAGCTCACTGTATCTCTTGCCACAGAGATCACTCTTGCCCCTCACCTCTGAAATTACCAGTGGTCAGTACCACTCATTGGCAGCTAATTTCTCAATCCTAGTAGATGACCGGTGTCTTCTCAAGGCTTTCTCACTTTACGATAATGATCAGTACCTTGCATGGAGCACCTACTGTGGGCTGGGCACTCTGCTGGGTGCTTTATGAACATCATGCTTGATCCTCACAGTCACTCTGTGTAGGAGGTTTCTCTTTTGTAGATGAATAATTGAAGGCATAAAATGGATTTGTAAGTTGCCCAAGGTCACACAGCTGATAAATGACAGAGTTGAGGTTGACACCCAGGTCTGATTGACTTCAGGGCCCAACCTCTTAACCATACATGAACTGTCTGCAATTTGTAGAAAAGGACCAAGAGGTCAGATGATGTGACCAAAGCTGATAAGTGACAGCCAGTCCTCACACCCAGCTCAGTCTAAGTCCAGGCAGCTTTTTAATATGCTGGATATATGATCGCCCGTTACCGTGTTTAACTTTTATTTTGTTATTTAACCTAATGCACAGAGATGTCAGTTTAAGGTCTCTGAAGACATTGATTAGGTAACTGAGAGGTTGCGCATCAGGCAAATGACCAACAGTGAGGGCATCAGCAATGGGGCTGATGATCTGTATAGTAGCTCAGGGTGGGAGACGATGGACTGATATGGGGTGCAATTACCATCTCCTTAGTAAACTGGGGAATCTTCGTGGACTTCCCTTTGGAAAGTGATTACCTAGGTATTGGAAAGGCCCGATTTTGTTTGATTGTTTAAGCAAAGGGCAGTCTTTGCCACGAATTTTTGTTCAGCTAATACCAAGGTTACTCTGTCTAGACTCTGGAACTGGCTAGGGTAGAAGGCCAAGGACAACCAGGGACTATTAAAGTAAAAAAACTGGAGTTCCAGGGAAAACATCAACATGTTCCTATTCTTTTCAGCAGAAGACCAGATGCTCAGTGGCAGGTATATGTAGAAGGTAAGCAATGGCAATATAACAGTAATAAACATTTTATGTGCCTGCAGCTACAGTAATGGGAAAACCTAATGTAAATGGCTTGCAATGCCCATGTGGGGTGTGCTATAGCTATGCCTTTCACATGTGTCTTGCATATGGCGCCCGTAAGTACAGTATAAAAGATGGAAATACAATAAAATCTCTTCACTTTCACTTTTCTGGGGGATTGGTGTGGGGATATCTTGCAAAGACTGGATACACGTAAATTGAGAGAAATTTGTAAATGACTTTGCACATAGTTAGTTGCAGTGTGGTAGCCTTAATAATAATCAGGCGTGGTGCTGGCACTGAATGGTAATAATACCTTACATTATACAGTGTTTATGAACATGCATTAGAGCACCAGCAGCATCTCTCTTCCAGGTTCCCATATGTCTGTCCACTGGCTAAAGTTATGCTCATCTAATTCTGGGGTGTAGTATACAGAGGCTCACTGATGCCTCACACCTACCCTGCATTCTTTAATAACTTTGATCTGTAATAAAGCTAGCATTTTAATCTCCACCTGCCTGACTCTTTTGCCTTTCTCAACTGGCTTAGAACTCAGGGAGAGGAGGGATCCTATTGATCTGACTTTCCAAAACCCCAGATATGAAGACTAATGACAATGTATGGTAAGCACCTTGTACAGTTCCTGGCACAATAGAGATCTGTTGTTAATTAAGGGTGATTTGCGGTGTAACAGATTTGCTTCTGCTTGTTTCTTCCTAAAGGTGGTGGTGCTAAGAGGACTCAGTAGTTCGGAAAAACCAAAGGCTCCAGGACCCCATAGAAACTGTTAGAAGGGGGCCAACATTGCCATCATGGGCTAATGACTGTCACTGAGAGCCACAGAAACTATGTAGTTGGGAAGGTGGAAATTGCTGTGATGTTGACTTTTGGTAGAAAGCTCAAAACAGAGAGGGGATTCAAGTCAGTTGCAGCCAGTTCCCCACGTCAGCATTTTTGAGCTCTCACTCTGCATCAGAATTATAAAGGGAGCATTTAAAAGATACCAATAACCTTGGGAGGCCAAGGCAAGCAGATCATGAGGTCAGGAGATGGAGACCATCCTGGCCAACGTGGTGAAACCCCATCCCTACTAAAAATACAAAAATTAGCCGGGGATGGTGGCACATGCCTGTCATCCCAGCTACTCAGGAGGCTGAGGCAGGATAATCGCTTGAACCAGGGAGTCAGAGGTTACAGTGAGCCGAGATCGTGCCACTGCACTCCAGCCTGGCGACAGAGCAAGTCCGTCTCAAAAAGATAAATAAATAAAAGATACCAATAACCAAAGACATACAATTTAAGTTAGAAAGAAAGAATAAGTTCAAGAGCTCTATTGCACATCATGGTGACTACAGTTGATAATGTGTATAATATTGTATATTTATAATAATATATATTATATATTATTATAATATATTATAATTATAATATACTATATATTATAATATATATAATATATATTATATATAATAATATATATAATATATATTATATATAATAATATATATAAGAATTTGTATAATATTGTATATTTAAAAGTTGCTAAGAGAGATTTGTTTGCACCACCAAAAAATGATATGAGGTAATACATATGCTAAATAGCTTGATTTAGCCATTCCACAATGTATACATATATCAAAACATCACATTGTACACCATAAACATATGTGATTTTCACTTGTCAGTTAAAAAACATAAATAATAAAAAAGATACCAATACTGAAGCTACATTCCTAGAGATTCTGATTTAACTGGGATGGGGCCGAGGCATCAGCATTTTTGAAAGCTCCCCAGGTGAGGTGAATGTGCAGCCAGGTTGAGAACCACTGCCCTTACACTGAGACGTGGTCGGGGTACTTCCCAATTTCTGGAACAAGGTTGCCTTGTTTATATCCCAGCTCTGCTACTTACTAACTCCCTGACTTCGAGAAAGATCATTAAGATTACTGTACCTCAATTGTCTTATCTGTAAAGTTACGATGAAAATAGTACTTGCTTCCTAGGGTGGACATGAGGATTAAATGCGTTTGAATATAGACAACATTTAGGACCTGACACGTGGTCAGACTCACGGTGTTTTCATTTGTAACCTGGAAACTGTCACCACAAGAGTCTGCACATACAAACCTTAAAGAAACCTTGTACATGTGTCTAATTTTTCTTCAAATAAAGAGTTCTGTGAACAGAATTTCTTATAATTTACTTATAAACAAGTAATTACCAAAATCAATTTTAAGAAAGGTGTTTGTTTTCCTATGGAATATTCACAAATGAAGAATTGTGCTCATTCATTTACTCACTCATCTATTTACTCACTTTCTCAAAACCATTCATTTGCCCCTTTGGTCTTTGGATAAGGGTCTGGGCTCTGGATCCAGACTGCCTGGGTTTGAATCTGGCTCTACCACTTCCAGCTGTGTGACCTTGGAGGAGCGATTTAACCTCTCTGTGCTTCAGTTTCCTTATCTGTAAGACAGGGGCCATAAGAGTACCTCTCGCGTATGTTGTTTGAGAGGCCTGAAGCATTTGGCTTATATACGGTGCTTAGAACAGTATCTGGCACATAGTGAGTGCTCACTAAATGCTAGTTATTATGATTATTTCTCTACTTCCCATCATACATCCTCCATCACCCTAACTCCCTCCCCACCACATACACACACACACACACACACACACACACACACGAATGTGAGCTCTGTGAGAGCAGGGATACTGTCAGTCCTGTTCAACACAGTATTCCCAGAATCTAAAACTGTGCCAGGAGGATATAGGCATTCAGAGAGTGTGGTCATTGAATTTATTCAGTCATCCACTCATGCCTTTTGCAAATATCTGAGTGCTTCTGATGTGCTAGGCACTTTGGTAGGCTGTCACATGTGGTATGTTGTAAAGAGGCCGGGGTTCCAAAACTGCCCTGGCCTCATGCCCCCCAGCAATTGATTCCCCTCTCTTGGCCTCAGTTCCCTTACCTACAGAACAAGGGAATGGCCCACATGAGCTCCTCTGTCCCCTCCATGGCCATCATTTTCCTGAAGACAGAGCTTGGCTCTCCATGGCCGTAGGAAAGCGATCCAATTCTTCAGTGAACCCTTGGCCTGCGAGTGTGGTGGCAAGGAGGCTGTTAGTTTAGCCGACAGTGTTTGGTGAGCTCACGCCATGGGGGAATGCTTTTCTAGACCATGACTAGCAAAGCTTTGCTCTACGCTTCAGGGATTTAGTTAACCTTTCAGAACTTCAAGCCTCTCTGGAGTTTGAGAATCTGTTGTTGTTCTTCAATGTGTGCTGCATTGGAGTGGCTCCAAGGCCCAGTAGGCATTTATCTTTATTTAATTATTTATCCAGAATGTTATGTTTTGGAATTGCCTTGGGAGTAGTAGTCATGACCAACTGACAGAATGCTTAATGAAAGCCTGTCAACACTGTACCTCCATGAGGCTGCTTGAATAAGTTAAAAATATATATATGACCCCCACTTACTGAGTACTTCTAAGCCTCCCCAAGTTTCTTGCTTACTTAATTTGGGTGGCATTAGCCCTCACACATTTGATGAAAAAAAAATCAACCATACATGCAAAAGGCAAAAAAGGGATAGAATTCATTCATTCCCTTCTTCCCCCAGATATTGCCTTTTTCTTAAAGAAGAGAAATACATTTGCCCCTGAGCCCCTAGATGTGAGGTCATCCCAGGACTTCTATCTCTGCCACAGTCAAGTAACAGAGTCACCCTAGACTTCTGAGCGTCTGGCTACAGTCCATGCCTATTGGCTCACGTGGTCTCCGCCAGTCCTGGAGCTTCCACCAGCTGACATGCCACCTTGAGCAAGTCGTTTTCACTCTGGGCTAGTCTTTTCTTCTACAGCTAAGGAGGTTGGCCCCTTTGGATTCTAACATTTCAGCATCACACCTCTGACTCTCTTGAGACCACCATGACTCCAGATTATTCCTGCTTCGATCTTGGATTTGATCTTCTTCCTGCCTTTGACCTAAAATAGGGGTGGGCAGGCTTTTTGGTAAAGATCCAGAGAGTAAATATTTCAGGCTTACGGTCATAGGGCCTCTGTTGCAATTACTTAACTCTGCCATTGTAGCAGAAAGCAACCATAGACAACACATAAATGAATGACTGTGGCTGTGTTCTAATACAACTTCATTCACAAAAACAGGCAACTGGCCTCTGGCTGTAGTTTACCTACTTCTGACCTCCCCAACATCCCCGTCCCCAACCCCCGTACACACAGGTCCCCGTGTATTCTGACCAGCCCTGCTGACTACGCTCTATCGTAATGATCAAGTAATTTCAAGATAGCGATTATTTGTCCCCTTCCAATGCGTAGCAGCCAAATGTATTGCTTTTGTTTTGTTTACTTACCCATATATTATCCACCCATCCTTTCTTCCATCCATTTCATTTAACATACATTTACTAATAATCTATCATAGCACAGACACCCCTGAGTTCTGGGAATACAGGAGGAAACGCTGTCCACATCTGGTGGGGAGCTCAGCTCAGTGCTGCTGGGGATTCTGGGTATCTTTGGAGAGAGATGTCCAAGGCCGGGTCAGATTGCTACCCCGTTTCTTTTTCTCCATTTTCAATATTTTCCCAGGACCCTAAGAAACATCTGCATTCTAATTGTGTCTCTTGATTCAGTTTGTAAGTATGGTCACTCTCTCTACCTCTCTCCCAGCTCTTTTAATTTGAGGAGGTATTTTTCTCCTTAGTTAAATAAGAGGTGCTCATATTCTCCATCTGCCCAAGAGAATGTTGCACAAAATAGCAGTAAAGGACTTCTCCTAGACTCTGAATGGAAGTAGATTACCTTTGGGATACCTCTGCCAACAAAGAGAACACTTCATTCTTAGAATTTCTATATACTCATATAGAATCCCAGCTGAGCCATCGGGACAAAGATGCCAAAATACTCAGGTTAGCTGAATCACTCCTTTAACAGGAGGATTTCACTAGCAAGAAAAAAAAAAGAAAATCAATATTCCTTTGTCTAGGCTAGGAAAAGTGCTAAAGCTACTTAGGCCATTAAAGAGCAATGGCTACAAATAAAAACCAATATCTCCCATCATTAGTAGTAAAGTTGCTGTTGAGTTTTATTTCTCTCATCAGGAGACACACATAAATTTTCAAATATGGCAAGCATGGAAAGTAAAGTGACTCCCAAATCTTGGGCACAGAAAATTGAGAGTGTTCTCACTTGAAATTATAATAAAAATTTCCAATAACATATATTTTCTCATTTTTTAGGAGAAAGGATTATTTGACTAATAATGGATGATAGCAGTGATGATCACAATGATGATTTCATCCAGAAAATGAATTATTTGAAGGAGGACATAACCAATTTCAGCCCACTGGAATCCCATTTATTACATAATGCATAATTGAGTGAATTGAGTGAATGAGTGGGCCCACCTGTTTCTCATTTTTTCTTTCATCTTTCCTTTCTCAAATGTTTATTAAGCCACTAGTGATGTTTTAAGCACTGAACTAGATTCTAGAAATAAAATTAGAGCAAAGACACCATCATTCTGCTTAAAATCCTTCAATGGCTGGCTTTTGCTTTTAGGCAGTTTAATGCCATCTGTCCCCTGCCCACCTCTCCAGCTGCATCTCTCCCAACTTCTCCTCTCATTCTCAGTATCACAGTCATCTGGGCCTTTCAGTGCCCCTCAACACGCCCCACATCCCTCTTCCCACAGGACACTTCACACGTGGTGTTTCCTATGCCAAACTTCCCTGTGTCAAACCCAGACTCACAACCTCAGAATACAACTGGCCATGCCTAACTCCTAGTCAACCTTAAGGTTACAGGTTAATTTTTTTTCTTCAAGGAGGCCTTCCCTGACCCCATGGACTTGGTTTGATCACCTTTTTATGTACTTTCAGGTCACTCACCACAACTTAATCCATTACCTGCGTAGTTTCTGTAATGACTTGTTTAGTACCTCCCTTCTGCTTTGAATCATAGTTTCATGAAGGCAGAGACTGGTTCACCACCATCCTACAGATCTCAACACCATGCTTAGCATGTGGTGGAGACAGCCCAGCACTTTGGCATGGGGAATGGGGACTCAAAGTGGACCCTGGGAAACCCTAAGGATAAATTTGATCCAGTTTCACGATTTTGCCTCTCATTAGTCTTGTAAAAAAAGCAGAGGATGATAATGATTACACATACAGACACGCGTGTGTGCATACATTTTTTCAGATAGACTTTATTTTTAAAAGTAGTTTTAGGTTCACAGCAAAATTGAGTGGAAAGTTCAGAGAGTTCCTATATAACTCTTGCCCCTAAAGCCCTGCCATCACACACGCAAACTTCTTCACTGTCATCATCTCGCACAGTGTGATACATTTATTACGATCAACAGACCAACAATGGCACATTATTAACGCCCAAAGTCCATAGTTTACATTAGGGTTCATTCTTATACATCCTGTGAGTATTAACAAATGTGTAATGACATGTATCCATTATTATAGCACCCTATAGAGCAGGGGTCCCCAACCTCCAGGCCATCCATGGCCTGTTAGGAACTGGGCTGCACAGCAGGAGGTGAGCAGCAGGTAAGCGAGCATCACCGCCTGAGCTGCCCCTCCTGTCAGATCAGTGGCAGCATTAGATTCTCACAGGAGTGCAAACCCTATTGTGAATTGCACAAGTGAGGGATCTAGGCTGCACGCTCCTTATAAGAATCTAACTAATGCCTAATGATCTGAGTTGGAAGTTTCATCCCAAAACCATCCTCCACACCCTGCCCATGGAAAAATTGTCTTCCACAAAACCAGTCCCTGGTGCCAAAAATGTTGGGGACCACTCCTATAAAGTAGCTTCAATACCCTAAAAATCTCTGTGCTCCACCTAGTCATCCCTTCCTTTCCACACCCCTAGCAACCACTCATCATTTTATTATCACCATAGTTATGCCTTTTCTAGAATGTCATGTAGTTGGAGTCCTACAGTCTGTATGCAGCCTTTTCTCACTGGCTTCTTTGACTTAGGAATATGCATTTTAGATTCCTCCCTATCTTTTCATGGCTTGATAGCTCATTTCTTTTTAGCACCAAATAATATTTAATTGACTGGATGTACCACAGGTTATCCATTCACTTACTAAAGGACATCTTGGTTGATGTTAAGTTTTTGGCATTTATAAATATCCATGCGCAAGTTTTTATGTGGATGTAAGTTTTCAACTCATTTGGGTAAATGCTAAAGAGCACAATTGTTGGGTCAAATGCTAAGAGTATGTTTAGTTTGGTAAGAAACTGCCAAACTGTCTTATAAAGTGGCTCTACCATTTTACAGTCCCATCAGCAATGAATGGGAGTTCCTGTTGCTGTACATTCTCTCAGCATTTGGTATTGTCAGTGTTTTGAATTTTGATCATTCTGATAGGGGTGGAGTGGTATCTCATTGTTTTGATTTGCAATTCTCTAATAACATATGATGTCGAATATCTTTTTATATGCTTGTCATCTGTACATCTTCTTTGGTGAGGTGTCTGTGTACGTCTTTAGCTCATTTTTTCATTGGGTTGCTCATTTTCTGAGTTTTAAGAGTTCATTGTATATTTTGGGTAACAGTCTTTTATCAGCTATGTCTTTTGTAAATATTTTCTCCCAGTCTGTGGCTTGCTATTTTTCATTTAAATTAGAAGTCTATAACTTTTCCTGATTGTAGTCTTATATTCTTTAGATTCTTACAGCCTTCTTTGGTTTTCTCATTCCAGAGTTAGGAGAAGATTTCTGAACCTTTCCCTTCTCCCCACACCTGCCTATGTTTTGTGGCAGAGTTAACTTTCATAAGTTGTCAAGCTGCAGGAAGCTTTATTTGTCTTTTACACCCAGAGGATGAAACTCTAGCTGTTATTTTGTGCCAATAACACCTAAAGACAAGTTTCCAAAAATTTCTGAGGCCATATATTGTAAGCAGCTTGCCTGTAACATATAGCTTTTAAACTGAATTACAGTTTCACTTCAGCCTCAGCAATGAAATAAAACTATACAACAACAAAAATAAAGTCTATTAAAGGGACACAGGAGATCTCACACATGCCATTTCTTACAAACATAATAACTGAATTATTAGGAAAATAACTATTGAATAATTAGGACAAGATGCTAACTCAAGGTCCTCACCACCCAGCTGGGGCCCATTCTCTTTACTCAGTGTGTGCAAAATCAGCCTCAAGTTCCAACCAGGTTATGCATTTTGGAAATGATGACCTCCAAGTACAAACATCGTTTGTTTGTTTGTTTTCCTGTGGTTTTCTGTCCCCTGTCAGTCTGACCGAGCTCTCATTTCTGGGCCACAGTTTTACATTAGTATTTTGACTCCTTTTGACTTACTTGGCAGCCTTCCCCCCACACCATCCTGATGTGAAAATGTTCAACTTCGATGTCATATTTTTTGCTGTCTATTTTCAAAGTTTGTTTTCACAGATTACATTCTTAACCCAATTGTCTGTATCTTTCTCATATGAACTGCTTCAGAGTAGAATATGGTGAAATGAATGTTTTGTCTGGTGAAAACTTTTCTAAGTTTCTGTTTCCTTTTCTGTTAAATGTAAAAAAGTACTAGTTTCTACCTTAGGGTTGTTGTGAGGTTGAGTGAGATAATGCGACATTAACAAGTGGCTGGTAGCAAGAGTTCTATAAATGATGGTGATAACAGTGATGATGATGAAGATATAGGATCTTAAGGGCTGTTTATTTTAACTGTATAGCAGATTCCTGACCATGGTAGAGCATTATTGCAATCTTCCTTAGTGCAGTGGGAGCTGCTACAGGCAGATAGTTGCTCATATGGGAACAGCTTATGCAAGCTGGGACTGTGCCAGGACCCCTTGGATGCTTTTCTAGGTGAATCAAATTTACAAAGGAACTTCTCACTTAGACTGCAGCAACACAGGTGACAAGAGAGTACAGTACTTTGGGGTCAATGGAATCAAGTATTTCAAATCAGAACTGCCCTAGAGAACCTGGGCTTATGACTTCAGCATGTATTTCTATTGAAGGAGGCTTTATTTTCCTCCCATAGGATTCCTTTTGTTAACATTGCTTTCTGATTACAGTGGTAATAGATAGTCATTGTGGAGACCTTGGAAATTACAGAAAAAAAAAACTGGAAAATAAACGTCATCCAAATTCTCATTACCCAGAGATAAATGCTATTAAGGATTTTGATGACTTGACTTGTACATATATATATACACACACATATAGTATGTACACATATACATATATGTATACATATATATGTACATATATGTATGCATACATGTATACATATGTACACATATATGTATGCATATATGTACACATATATGTATGCATATATGTACATATGTACATATATGTATATATGCATACATATACGTATGTACATATATGTATACATATACATATATACATATATATACATATATATGTATACATGTATATGTTTGGAGAGAGAGAGAGACTGAGAGATTTTTTTTCCTTCTCAGTTATTTGACTCTGCTAATAGAACCTGAATTTTTTTCAGGAGTTGGTTCAAGATTCCTTGATCTCAGGGAAAGTTGGGGTTGGCACCTGATGGAGAGAGGTGGCCATGTGTGTTAGTCCGTTCTAATGCAGCTATGAAGAAATACCCGAAACTGGGTAATTTATTTAAAAAAGAGGTTTCATTGACTCACAGTTCCACAGGGCTGGGGAGGCCTCAGGAAACTTACTATCATGGCAGAAGGGGAAGCAAACACATCCTTCTTCATACGACAGCAGCAAGGAGAAGTGCAGAGCGGAGGTAAGGAAAAATTCTCTTATAAGACCATCAGATCTCATGAGAACTCACTCACTATTATGAGAACAGGATGGGGGAAACCACCCCCATGATTCAATTATCTACACCAGGTCCCTTCCATGACACGTGGGGATTATGGGAACTACAGTTCGAGATGAGATTTTGGTGGGGACACAGCCAAGCCATACCACTATGTGATCCAGATTTGGCCAATTCAGTGAAAAGGGAATTACAAGGAGATTTTTGACCCTTCCAAAGGGGAAGGGGAAAAAAGGAGAATATTTTATATTACCAAATGAATTTTTAAAAGCCTCTGAGGTGCTTCTTAGCAGGTAGCTGTTTCAAGGCTCTTTGTACTTCAGGATGTCTAGAAGAGATTCATTATTATTTTTTTTTTTTTTTTTGAGACGGAGTCTCGCTCTGTCGCCCAGGCTGGAGTGCAGTGGCGCCATCTCGGCTCACTGCAAGCTCCGCCTCCCGGGTTCACGCCATTCTCCTGCCTCAGCCTCCCGAGTAGCCGGGACTACATGCGCCCGCCACCACGCCCGGCTAAATTTTTTTTGTATTTTTAGTAGAGACGGGGTTTCACCGTGTTAGCCAGGATGGTCTCAATCTCCTGACCTTGTGATCCGCCCGCCTCACCTCCCAGAGTGCTGGGATTACAGGCGTGAGCCACCGCGCCCGGCCGAGACTCATTATTTTTAAATGGAACTTTATTCACTCCACGAACACGCAGGGTACAAATCCTGTCTTCAAAAAGTTGAAACCCAGTAATAAAAGTTGACAGAATTCAAGGCAGAATGAAGCAAGATCCATCTTAAAGACCCAACCATGCTCTAAGGATCTGGCTGGGAGGACAGAGGAGATCAGACCAATGGGGGCAGGGAGCTGGTGGGTGGAGCTGGGGCCTTAGATGGGAAAATCCTTAAGAGTAATTCAGATTCTGATAGGCAGGTTGGGTGGGGGTAATAGGGCATACCCAGCTGAGGAAACAGCTTGAAGAAAGACAGGGGTTATGAAAGCCAAGGCCACGTGTTTCAGCGTGTCACCATTGCCAGGGTCACAGCTTCCATTTATTAAGGACTTACTTTGTGCCATGCATTGTGTTAAGCACGGTCATGTAGCATCTCATTTAATCCTCCTGACCTGTGAGGTCAGACCTGTAGGACATCTGAGGCTCCATGTCTATAAATCATCTGTTGAGGTCACACAGAGAGGACATGAAAGTCTGGGGTCAGAACCCAGGTCTTTCCGTCTCCCTAGCCTGAGGTCTCAAGGATCATAGTTCACAGTGGTGCTTGGATGGAGGGTGGGGAAGCTTCTTGAATTTCTCACTGAGGAGTTTGAGATTTGACTCATAGTGTTACCGGGCCCCACCGCCTACCCAAAGTTAGCCTTGGAGTCAGGGGTTTCCTCACTATAGTCCCTTCGGTGGTCACCAGAAAGATGTTACAGAAAAGGGGTCCAGATCCAGACCCCAAGAGAGGGTTCCTGGATCTTGTGCAAACTTCTGGGAGAGTCCATAGTGCAAAGCAAAGGCAAGTTTATTAGGAAAGAAAAGGAATAAAGAATGGCTACTCCACAGATAGAGTAGCCCTGAGGGCTCCTGGTTGCCCATTTTTATGGTTATTTCTTGATTATATGCTAAATAAGGGGTGGATTATTCATGTCTCCCCTTTTTTGACCATATAGGATGACTTCCTGATGTTACCATGATTCGTAAACTGTCATGGCACTGGGAAGAGTGTAGCAGTGAGGACGACCAGAGGTTGCTCTCGTAGCCATCTCTGTTTTGATAGGTTTTGGCCGGCTTCTTTACTGCAGCCTGTTTTATCAGCAAGGCCTTTATCACCTGTATCTTGTGCTGACCTCCTATCTCATTCTGTGACTTACAGTGCCGAACCATCTGATAATGCAGCCTAGTAAGTTCAGCCTCATTTTACCTAGCTCCTGTTCAAGACGGAGTTGCTCTGGTTCAAATGTCTCTGACAGTAGCACCCCAAGGAAGTCCTAGATGATGTACAGACCCCGGACTCCTACAGCATTTGCTTAGGCCCACATCCTCCAAACTGAGAGGGAGTCCAAGGGAACAACCTGGGCACAGGGACAGAGTTTTGAAGAGGAGAGCTGAAAAAAACAGAAACAAAACCCAAACCCTCCAAATTTCCTGCTCAAAAGACCCAGCTCAGTGGCTTTTTGTTCTTTTTCCTCCTAAGTGTGAGAAAAGAAAAGAACCTTTATCTGAGGGATCCTTTTAATGATCAGAGAGGCATTAAAATGAGACAGCAAACACATTCTACCTCCCTACTTTTGAGCTCTGTGTTCATCTCTTGAAACGGCTTGCTATTGTCACAGATAGCTATAAATTAACCTACTGAAGTCACACTGAACCCTGTAACCCACACCCTATAGCCTAAAGGTGTATAGCCAATCACTAATCAATGTTACTTTTGTAAACCAATGAGAATTTCTGACAAACAACTTTGTATCACCCCACTCCCGGTCCCCTTTTCTTTGCCTTTACAAATCCACTTGTCACTGCTGCTAATTGCAGTGCGTATTCAGGGCAACTTGAATCTATGCTCTTGGGTTGCAGCCCTCAAGCTTGGCCCAAATAAACTCTCTACTTAGATTAATTTTACCTCAGCTTCTTCCTTTTAGGTCAAAAAATGTTACAACTATAGCTTTTGCCAGTTGTAACAAGCTATAGTTATACAACTATAGCTTTTGCCAGTTCCATACAGAATGCATGGAAGAAAAGGGAGAAAGATTTGTAGAGGCATAGGGCAGGATAGGAGAGGGAGGGAGGAAGAAAACACCGATGCTAGAAGCAAAACTAAAGAAGAAGAGAAAAATAAAATGACTGTGACAAAAGGCAGCATTAACATCCCAAGGAACTCCTAGAAGATGCACAGACCTTAGACTCCTATAGCATTCGCTCAGGCCCACATCCCCCCAGACCGAGAGGGAGTCCAGGGGAACAATTGAGCCATCCACTTAGCATAACTTATTTTAACTCCTGGCTCAATGCCAGGCTTGTACCTCTGAACTCACTGTGTGTACTCACAGTGCAGTGAAACTGCTCTGCATCCGGGATAACAAAGCAACTGTTAATGGGAGTAATTAAGAGCCTTGGGGGTGATTTATACCTTTTGTTACTGTTCAAGAAGAGGTAACCAAAGACAACAATTATTAGTAACACAGGTGATCCTTAACCCACGCAGGGAAGGCTGTGAAAACTAGCTCCGGCTCTTGCTTCTGGGCCGAGAGTTCACAGAAAAAGAACCAAGCAGGATCCACAGGCAAGAGAACTGGGAGACGGTGCCCACAGGGTTGACTCAGCTTAGGAAATATGAAAATCTTCAGCCTCTTTAATGAAACTAAAATATTGACAAAACTCTGGAGGAAGAGACGATGACAGCCCTCCAGTGCTGATCTTCCTGAGAAACACTTCACTTTATTGGCTGGATTTAAAAAAAAATCTTTAAACCTCTGTTTCCATTAATGTTAAAAAGGTAATGACGGAGGGAGCATTGTGTAAGTCGATAGCAATAGCTGGTTGGTGCTGAAGGTGAAGAGGGACCCAAGTCCTGAACCTCAGCTTCAAGAAGTCAAACAATGCCAAGGAGGGAAAGGTCAGAGCATGTGAGAAAATCTGTTGCTCTACATGGAAGAACTCGAAGCACATGTGAGAGGACAGCCCTCCCTGCATGCTGGATCTAGGCCTCCCCCTTCACCTGTATGCCTTGTTCTCAGCCTTCCATGCAGCTGCTCTAGGCTCTGGCTGGCTTGTGACAGCAGCTTCCCAGCCAACTGCCCAACAAGATGATCCTAATTGAGTTATTGGATTGGTACCTTGCCCCAGATTCACTCTAATTTTTTTTTTTTGAGAAAGATATAATTTACATACCATTAAATCCACCATTTTGAAGTGTAGAATTCAGCGGCTTTTAGTTTATTCACAAAGTTGTGTGACCATCACCATTATTGAATTCCAGAACATTTTCACCACCCCTCAAAAGGAATACTATCCCTATGAACTTGCCCATTCTGGACATTTCGTGTAGATGGAGTCATATGCCATGTGGCCTTTGGAGTCTGGATAATGTTTCAATGTTAATCCATGTTGTAGCATGCATCAGTACCTCATCCCTTTATGTGGCTGGATAATATTTTATTGTATGAACATATCACATTTTGTTGATTCATTCATTTGGGTTGTTTCCACTCTGACTATTATGAATAACGCTGCTATGTGTATTCATGTACAAGTTTTTGTGTTAATGTATATTTTCAATTCTTTTTGGGTATTTACCTAGGAGTGGAATTGCTGGGCTATATGGTAACTCTATGTATAACTTTTTGAGGAATCATTAAACTGATTTCCACAATGGCTGCACTATTTTATTTTATTTATTTATTTATTTGAGACTGAGTTTCACTCTTATTGCCCAGGCTGGAGTGCAGTGGCGTGATCTCAGCTCACTTCAACTTCCACCTCCCAAGTTCAAGCGATTCTCTTTCTTCATCCTCCTGAGTAGCTGGGATTACAAGTGCTCCCCACCACACCCAGCTATTTTTTGTATTTTTAGTAGAGACGGGGTTTTGCCATGTTGGCTAGGCTGGTCTCGAACTCCTGACCTCAGGTGATCCACCCACCTCAGCCTCCCAAAGTGTTGGGATTACAGGTGTGAGCCACCATGCCCGGATGCACTATTTTATTAATACATTTCCACCAGCAATGTATGAGGGTTCCAATTTCTAGCCATTCTTGTGGGTGTGAAATGATATCTCTTGGTGGTTTTGATTTGCATTTCCCTAAGAACTCATAATGTTTAGCATCTTTTCATGCACCTATTGGCCATTTACGCATCTTATTTGTAGAACTCTCTATTCAAATCTTTTGCTCATTTTTAATAGGGTTGTCTTCTGATTATTGAATCATAAGGATTCTTTATATAGCCTGAATACTAGATCCTTATCAGATATATGATTTGCAAATATTTTCTCCCATTCTATGAGTTGTCCTTTTAAGTACTTGATAGTGTCTTTTGACATAAAAGTTTTTAATTTGATGAAGTCCAATTATCCAGTTTTTGTTTGCTTGTGTGTTTGGTGCCATGTTTAAGAAACTGTTGCCTAGCTCAGGGTCACAAAGATTTATACTTATGTTTCCCTTCTGAAAGTTTTATACTTTCATTTTGGTCTTTGCTATATCTTGAGTTAATTTTTGTATTGTATATGGTGTGAGGTAAGAGTCCAAATTCATTCTTTTTTCATTTATTCTTTTTCATTCTAGAAAACCAGAACATCCAGCTTCCCAGCATTATTTGGACAAAAGACTATTCTTTCTCCATTGAATTTTTTTAGCATGCTTGTCAAAAATCAATTGACCATAGATGTATAGATTTATTTCTGGACTCTCGATTCGATTCCATGGATCTATATGTCTGCCCTCATGCCAGTACCACTTCTTCTATGTTCATCCTTCTTGTGTTAGTGTTGTTTCATCTTTCATGATTTTACATGCCATATTAAAAACACTGAACTTGGAATTAAGGAGTTCTTTCATGGCTAGCAACATTTGAACTGCTGTTTTCAGGTTCCTTTCCCCCCAATTATTAGAAATTAGGAAATATAGACAAAAATGAAAGAAAATAATTTAAAAACCACCCCAACTCACCACTCTGAAGCCACCAGCCTCCCCTCCCCAACCCCACCGCCAGAATTGAGAGCTACCATTTTCTGGGTCAAAGGGTAAATGAAGTTTAAGACTTTGGGTAAATATTGCCAAACTTACCTTCAGAAAGGTTGTGCCATCTTGTGGACCATTAGATGTTTAGAGAATGTAGAAATAGTGATTGGATAGACACTAGAAAACCAGTTTTAGATATGGTAAGTTTTGAGTTCATTTTTATTGCACATACTTCATTGGAGGCAGCATAAGAGGCAAGCAGGGTCATTTGAAGACCCTAGGCCCTAGACAATCTTATTTTGAAGGCTCCAGCCACATCAAACCAAACACATTAGAATGCATTCACATGCAAAAATCACACACATTTTTTTTCTGGCCATATAGAATTTGAAAGGACTTTTAAAATCGTAAGTCTGCTAAGAATTATTTAATTTTCCTTGTGATTTGTATTGTTGACTTGTTCCACTAAACCAATTGACCAGCATTACATTTTGTAAACATTTAATTAAACGTACAGTTGTCCCTTGGTACCCATCAGGATTGGTTCCAGCAACTCTCGAAGATACCAAAATCCACAAATTCTCAAGTCCCTGATATAAATGTGTAGTATTTGCATATAACTTAACAATCATTTTTCGTATACTTCAAACTGTCTCTACATTACTTATAATACTTAGTACAATGTAAATGCTCTGTAAATAGTTGTTATACTATATTGTTTTGTAAAATTTGTATTTTTTTATTGTATTGTTTTAAAAAAATTTCCAAATACTTTATTTTATTTTTAATTTATTTTAGAGACAGGGTCTTGCTCTGTCACCCAGGCTGGAGTGCAGTGGCACGATCATAGCTCACTGTAACTTCAAACTCTCAGACTCAAGCAATCTTCCTGCTTTAGCTTCCCAAAGTACTGGGATTACAGGTATGTGCCACCATGCCTGGTTAATTTTTTAAATTTTTTTGTAGAGACAGCATTTCTCTGTGTCGCTCAGGCTGGCCTCTAACTCCTGGTCTTGAACTCATGGCCTCAAGTAATCCTCCTGCCTCACCTCTCAAAGTGCTGGGATTACAGACGTGAGCCACTGCACCCAGTCAGTTTTTAAATATTTCAATCAGCAGTTGGTGGAATCCGTGATTGTGGAATCCATGATATGGAAAGCTGATTATACTAATTTTTATTGTGTAATGTTCTTCCTCCACCCCCCACCCACCCCGTTTTAAAAAATTGTAAATTCACATGCAGTTTTTGTTTTGTTTTGTTTTGTTTTGTTTTTTTGAGACAGAGTCTCGCTCTGTCGCCCAGGCTGGAGTGCAGCGGCGCGATCTCGGCTCACTGCAAGCTCCACCTCCCGAGTTCACGCCATTCTCCTGCCTCAGCCTCTCGAGTAGCTGGGACTACAGGCGCCCGCCACCACGCCCGGCTAATTTTTTTTTTTTTGTATTTTTAGTAGAGAAAGGGTTTCACCGTGTTAGGCAGGATGGTCTCGATTTCTTGACCTCGTGATCCGCCCGCCTCGACCTCCCAAAGTGCTGGGATTACAGGCTTGAGCCACCGCGTCCAGCCTCACTTGGCAGTTTTAAGAAGGAATACTTGACCCAGTTTCCTCCAGTTTTAACATTTTGCAAAACTATAGTACAATGTAGAAACCAGGATAGTGACATTGATACCATCTGTTTTATTCAGATTTCTCATCTTACTTGTGTGTATGTGCATGTAAGTTCTATACAATTGTATCACCTATATGGGTTCCAACATAGTCAAGATACTGAACAGTTAAACATCACAAGAATCTCTCATGTTGCCCTTTTGCAATGTTCTTTTAATATTTTGAGGAGAGTAATTTTTTTAGGTGTCAAATATTTTTCCTAGAAAGCCACAATTCCTATGCACTGTGACTCTAGTGCTTACAGGATAAAACTGCCCTGATCTCTTGAAAATTTTTGCAACCTACTCATCTGACAAAGGGCTAATATCCAGAATCTACAATGAACTCAAACAAATTTACAAGAAAAAAAACATACAACCCCATCAAATAGTGGGCGAAGGATATGAACAGACACTTCTCAAAAGAAGACATTTATGCAGCCAAAAAAACACATGAAAAAATGCTCACCATCACTGGCCATCAGAGAAATGCAAATCAAAACCACAATGAGATACCATCTCACACCAGTTAGAATGGCAATCATTAAAAAGTCAGGAAACAACAGGTGCTGGAGAGGATGTGGAGAAATAGGAACACTTTTACACTGTTGGTGGGACTGTAAACTAGTTCAACCATTGTGGGAGTCAGTGTGGCAATTCCTCAGGGATCTAGAACTAGAAATACCATTTGACCCAGCCATCCCATTACTGGGTATATATCCAAAGGATTATAAATCATGCTGCTATAAAGACACATGCACACGTATGTTTATAGCGGCACTATTCGCAATAGCAAAGACTTGGAACCAACCCAAATGTCCATCAATGATAGACTGGATTAAGAAAATGTGGCACATATACACCATGGAATACTATGCAGCCATAAAAAATGATGAGTTCATGTCCTTTGTAGGGACATGGATGAAGCTGGAAACCATCATTCTCAGCAAACTATCGCAAGGGCATAAAACCAAACACCGCATGTTCTCACTCATAGGTGGGAATTGAACAATGAGAACACATGGACACAGGGCAGGGAACACCACACACTGGGGCCTGTTGTGGTGTGGGGGGAGCAGGGAGGGATAGCATTAGGAGATATACCTAATGCTAAATGACGAGTTAATGGGTGCAGCACACTAACATGGCACATGTATAAATATGTAACAAACCTGCACGTTGTGCACATGTACCCTAAAACTTAAAGTATAATAATAACAAAATTAAAAAAAATAAAAATAAAAACTGCCCTGATCTCAACGTAGGGTTGGTGGTCATTTGCATATGGGTAGAAGTGATAAGAGCAGGTTCCAAGGGAACCAGTTTCACAGACTTAGAGACAGTATAGCACAGCTGTAAAGGGTGCTAGTCCTAGAATTGAATTGCCTGGCTTCAAAAGTCCAACACCAACAATTCTTAATAGTGTGACTTCATGCCAGCCTCTGAAGCTCCCTGAAGTCTCAGTTTCCCCAACTGAGAAGGGCTAAGAATATTGCTTATCATAAGATGGTTGTGAGTTTGAATGAGATAAGCTGCTTAGATCAGAATTAGGCACAGAGTAGTTGCTCAGTGTGTTAGAAGCTATTTATGTTAGATCTGCTTGGGGAAGGAGGTTGGGACAGAAAGATGTGGAAGAGCACAGAAGAGATTCAACAGGTCTGATAAAAATCAGGAAGCAGAGGAGGAGACTCCTCTGCAAAGTTGTACGGAAAAAAAAATTGTACAGGGTCTGACAGCCCTAGAGAGGAGTATTGTTAGCTCCAAATAGCCACCACTCTGTGCATGGGGAAGAACTGGACTGGCACTGGGACAAAACACATTAAAAATTTGCCTCGATGCTCTTAAATCTCCAGGAGCCAGAGCCCATCATTCTGAACCCAGAGAGAGCAGCTTGGGGTAAGGAAGGGGGTCCCTGCTGAGGTCCATATTAATGCTGCGGCAGGAACTGTTCTGAAGGGATCCCTCAATAAAATTGAAAACGGATGGGGCCGTAGCCGGAGCTCATTTTGCAGAGATGACAGGATCAGTAGAGTTTAGGATTGCCAACAGGTTCTGAGTGAAACGCTGAAGTCTATTGAAACCTGATTAACAGCTACTCCGGGGGCTGAAATAAGCCACCTGACTGACCGGTGGCGAAAAATCCCTTCCAACATCAGCCTAGTGCTCAATATCATAGGGGGCCACAGACAAGTTGAAAAATGAGTTAACAACTTTGAACCTGCTGTAAAACTCTTATCAAAGCATCTAGGAAGCACCTTGCAAAGTGAATTTGCACAATGCTTTGCAGGTCATTCTACAGGTATGGTTTTAATCAATTTAATGAGTGTTTACTGGGCAATTAGAAGACCTGGGTTCAAGATCTGGCTCTGCCACCAATGAGCAGTGCTGCCTGGACAAATCCCTCTGCTTGTGTGGGCCTCAGTTTCCTCAATCCTTCAAACTCTGAGAACACAATGACTCTGTAACTGATTCCCAGTTACAGAGGAAATATATATATAGTGACTAGTCTTCTGGTCACTGAGCACACCTCAGAGGACGTTTTCAATCACTGGAGATTCCCATATATTAAAACAAAATTAAGCTGGGCATCATGGCTCACACCTACAATCTCAGCACTTTGGGAGGTCGAGGCAGAAAGATTGCTTGAGGCCAGGAGTTTAAGACCAGCCTGGGCAGCATAGTGAGACCACTACCCCACCACATTCCTGCACCACACACCCCCTCTGTCATCTCTACAAAAAATTTCAAAATTAACTAGACATGGTGGTGCATGCCTGTAGTCCCAGCTACTTCAGAGGCTGGGGCAGGAAAACCTCTTGATCCCAGGAGTTCGAGGCTGCAGTGAGCTATGACAATGCCACTACACTCTAGCCTGGGTGACAGAGGGAGACAACATCCCTAAAAATTAAAAATTAAAATAAAATTGTTGTATATTGCAATAGTTTTACTGACATATGAGTGTGTTTACTGATAAATTAATAAGTCTAATGCACAAGATACAACTATTTGAGCTTTTTGGAGATAATGTTAAAGTTTAAATTGAGGCTTTTTATAAATGTGAGGCCTGAGAAAAAGAACCCTGTGGGGGTTATGAAATGGCACTGTGGGATTTATGAGAATGACAAGACATGATGCCCTACTCTCAAGCAGTTTTCCGACCTACTGGAAGATATATACATACATACCTGGGACAGAAAACAACATATGGCGTGAGTTTATTTAATGTCAGATTGGCATCCATGCCATAAGGACTAGAGCAGAGAGGAAAACCAGCCTGATCAGTAGGTCTGGGACCACTGTTGGAGGAAGAGGGGGTTGAACTGAGCCCTATAGAAGGAGTGGTTTTTTTTTATATACTTTTTATTCTTAACTTCTGATTATGAAAATAATACAAGTATTTCATAAGTCTTCATGTTACAAGGAATGGGAAACTCAATTTAAATTTTGCTTGAAAAATAAAGAGAATTTATTAACTCATGTAATTGGAGAATCCAGAGATAAGATGTGTTTTGATTCAGAGAATCAATGATATCAATAGGGAAAAGATTTCTTTCTTTCTCTGCCTTCCAAGGTATCAGCTTCATCCTAGGGCAGGCTCATTATAGGATCACTAGACAGCTATCAATACCTCCTAAGATAAGTGCTTCCTCATTCATAACAAGTGAGAATGTTCTCTTTTGTTCCAGCATTCCAAGCAAGAGTCCAGAGATTCACTCTGATTGCAATGGTTTAAGTCATGTGTCCACCCCTGAAATAATCTCTGGGGCCACCAGGAATGAAACAAGCTGATTGGGTCTGTCTCTGCTATAAACTCCACCCTCATAGTGATAGTGGTTGTAAGAAACATGGAACCAATGTCTCTGGAAAACATGGACTCCCAAATGGAAACCAGGCACAGCTAGGATGGAGGCATAGATTCTGCAAAGGCAATCTTAGATGTCCTTTATAATATGTTTAATAATAAAATAATACAGAACATATTCTTTGACATAACATAACATAATAATATGTTTAATAATCAAAATTTTAGGAAATACAGAGAATTTTTTAAAAATAAAAACCTTCCATAACCCTAATACTCAGAGATACTCAGCATTAGCACTGTAGCAGATTTCTTCCCAGTCTTTTTTCTGAAAGAAATAACACTGTGCTAAATGTTTTACATGCGCCATGTCATTTACTCTTAACATAGCAACCCAAGAGGTAGGCGTTATTACTGTCCTCATTTGGTTACATTTTACAAAGCTATAGTATAACATCACAGCCAGGAATTGACGTTGATACCATCCACCGTCTTCACATTTTACTCGTATTCATTTGTGTGTGCATTTTAAGTTTTATACAACTTTATACCTGTGTAGGTTCTGACACAGTTCAGGTACTGAATAGCTCCAACGTCACAAAGATCACTGATATTACCTTTTTGCAAAGTTTTTTCAATATATTTTTAAGGAGAGTAATTTTTTTAGGTCTAAAATACTTTTCATAGGAAGCTGCAAGTTCATTCTACAGATGAAAAAACTGAGGTTCAAAGAAGTTATATAATTTCTTCAAGGTTAGATGCTAGTAATTATTGGAGATTGTATTTGAACTGAACTAAGACTGTCTCTGGAACTTAAGCTCTTAATCACTATGGCATCTTTTTTTATATAAAATTGGTATAGTGAGAGAGGAGAAAGGAAGAAACCAGTCAGGCAGGCAGGCAGGGTAAGTCCTTGGTTGAATTCTTTCAAACAAAAGAGCAGCCTGCAGGCACAGATAAGGGAACCCACATAGGAGGGCTTGCCTAAGACATGTCAACAGCCACACAGAAAAGAAAGGCTACACAAGTGACTTGCCCAGATGGGCCCACATGAAAAATTTCATCCCTTCACACACACGCAGTAAGGGAAGTAAAACAATATGGAGTAACTCAAGCTAAGGGCCTGCATGCGCACTTAGGAGGACAGGCTGGAGCTACCAGAAATTCACACCTTAAGTGAATAAGATGCCCAACCCTCATTGTTTTTTTCATAAAAGCCTTTGCACTCAACTGTAAAAATGACAACCCTCTTCCGGGCCCCCTCTTCATGGCAGAGAGCTTTCTTCTTTTGCTTATTTTTTATTTTTTATTTTTTTTGAGATGGAGTCTCGCTCTGTCGCCCAGGCTGGAGTGCAGTGGCATGATCTCGGCTCACTGCAAGCTCTGCCTCCCGGGTTCATGCCATTCTCCTGTCTCAACCTCCCGAGTAGCTGGGACTACAGGCGCCCACAACCATGCCCGGCTAGCTTTTTGTATTTTTAGTAGAGACGGGGTTTCGCTGTGTTCGCCAGGATGGTCTCGATCTCCTGACTTCTTTCGCTTATTAAACTTTCACTCCAACCTCACCCTTTGTGTCCATGCTCCTTAGTTCTCTTGGTTGTAAGACAAAGAACTCCAGGTAGTACCTCACAAGGAGCACTGCTATGTTGTGGTGCATTGGTGAGACTGTAACAATAGCATATATTTTGTTTTATTATGCTGGTTTTGTCCACTTACTGTTACACTGTGAGCTGTTTATAGCCCTTAATTGATCACTTTCAACTAGTCACTTAGATGAGGTTTCCTAAAATGCAGATGAACTCGTGTGTAGGCGATTTCTTGGGGAGCAACACTTTTGAGGGAGCGAAGGAGGCAGGAGTGACAGAGAGGAAAGTTAAACTGCAACAGAGGCCCCAGCCAGCAAATGCCACCAGAGCTCTGCAGCTGAGATGACCAACTCTGAAGTCGTCACTTCTTGAGGCAAGAGGGCTGGGCCTTCACACCCAGCATCCACCAGTGGGGCAAGACGTTGGGTGGGGTGACTCCCTTCCACTGAGGGCAATTCCTGAAGAAGGGCTCATCAACTGGGAGAATGCTGGCTTCTCCACTGAAAGAGGTAATCTAGACAGTGCAGCCCAGCATCCACTACAGCCAGGCATTTTAAAGAGGGGAGAATATTTCTAGAAAGACAGGGAATAGGAATTCTCCTATTTCTCCTTGCTGTATACCTTCTACAAGGCTTTCTATGCAGCTGCTGAAATATTTTTTCAACCACCATTTCAAACTTTTCCTCTTTCCAAAAACTTAGTTCTGGAGTCTAGAAGTCCAAAATCCAGGTGTTAATAGAGTTTGTTCCTTCTGAAAGTTGTGAGGGAAAAATCCGTTCCATGCCTCCCCTTGGCTTTCAGTGGTTTGCTGGCAACCCTTGGCATTCCTTGGCTTCTGCTGCATCACCCCGGTCTCTGCCTTCATCTTCACACGGCTTTCTCCCTGGATGAGTGTGTAAACCAACAATAAAATTCTAAGGCTCCCAAGCATCTGAATGGACCCCTCCTCTCGGCCAAAGGTGTTCCCTGAAAGTCTAGTTCAGGCCACGATGGAACATCAACATAGACCTTAAGTCTGATAAGAAATATTTAGTCTCTTCTCTCTAAAGCCTGCCACTTGGAGGCTTCATCTGCCTGATAAAACCTAGGTCTCCACAACCCCTTATCATAACCCAGACATTCTTTTCTACTCACAATAACTCAGCCAATTGCCAATCAGAAAATGTTTAAATCTACCTATGACCTGGAAGCCCCTGCGACCTCGAGTTATCCCACCCATCCAGATTGAATCAATGTAAATCTTATATTTTGTTTAACATATTATGCCTTCCTAAAATGTATAAAAGCAAGCCGTACCCAGACCACGTTGGGCACATTTCAGGACCTCCTGAGGCTGTGTCATGGGCGCGTCCTTAACCTTGGCAAAATAAACTTTCTAAATTGACTGAGACCTGTCTCAGATATTTTGGGTTCACAAGTATCTGTGCCTAAATTTCTCCCATTTATAAGGACACCAGTCATATTGGATTAGAAGCCCACCCTATCTCAGTATGACTTCATCTTAATAAATTCCATCTGCAACAACCCTATTTCCAAATAAGATCACATTTGGAAGTACTCTGGTTAGGACTTCAGTATGTGAATTTGGAGAGGAGCACAATTCAACTCATTACATACTCATTATATGGAGTAGTAAATATAAAATGCTGCATGTAAAATACTCAAAAAGCATCTGGCCCATTGTGAAAACTCACTGCAAGTTAACTATCTTTATCATTGTTATTCATCAAACCTATAATGGGTGCGTTATCTGTGCCAGGCAGTGTGCTGGGTGTTAGAAACACTAAGATGAATCAGATGTGGTCCTTGACCCAAAGGATGCCCAGCCTAACTGGAACCACAAGCATAAATAAAGAATTATAATCCTCAAGTTCTTTATAGCTAGATCAGTATTCCCAGCTTACTAAGCCAATTTGTACATCGAATGGCATCTGGGGTCAAAATAAATATCTTAGATGCCACCAGAGAATGAAGAAAGTTTATTGTTCAGAGGAAAGAAGTTTTCCTTTTTTCCTGGCTTCTTTATATCTTTGGGGGAAAAAAATTCCAAGTGTCATGGTCAAACACTACTCTGATTTCTTGTGCAAAGTTTAAGGTGACCTTTACCCTTCCTAATATATCATTGTGATGAAGCCAAAATTTTCCGAGATTCTCAAGACTGGCAGAAAAATAACCTCAGAAACTGGTCCCAAATTGGTAACTGAAGATAAGTTGGAGGGCAGTTCCTTCCTCAAGTGTTGCCATATATCTTACTTCATTGCATGTTGATAGTGTATTAAAATTGAAATAAAAATAAAATATTATCTGTGCCATTAAACCTGACCAATTCTCACTTCACTAATCTCCAAACCCTGATTCTTGCTAAAAGATGGACTGTCTTAACCCACTCTTGGCAAAGATGTACAGCAAAAGAGAGACCTGAGAGGTGGAACCTTCATCTTTTTGAAAAAAATATCCTGTCATCATTCAATATTTATGGAGCACACACACGGTGTGAAGCACTGCATCACCAGATGTCCTTTGCTTCCAGAAAGACATTGGTGACAGGGGAGACATTAAATAAACTGAGGGTTTCATGAGGACAGAGTTTGGGGGTGGGGGGTTGCTTCAGGCAGGACCTTGGTCATGAATCTTGTTTACACATCCGGTGGACCACCCCTGGGAAGCATGGCCCCCCAACCACAGACTTCCTGTCTCTGATTGTCCAGCCTAACAGCTACAGGCACCAGAGTTCCTCACTGGAGACAGTCCCAAGGTGAGGTGAGGTCCTCAATGGGAGAAGAGGGATGGGATCTAGGAGTGAAGCTGAGGGAGGGGATGGAGCAGAATGCCACCCCTAGATTGTGTTAGGTGTGTCCTGGAGGGTAAGGGAGGCCGTGATCAAGCCAGTGCTTTGCCCACCAAGCCAGGTTCAGTGGGTGTCTCCTGCTTCTGCTAGGAGGAGGGAGGGGGCCATTTTCAAATTTGCACAAAGCACCTTGTGGGCTATTGGTGCCCTAGGGCAGAGGGGTATTTTAGTCAGTTCCTGCTGCTATAACAAAATAACTTAGACCGGTTACTTTTTCAACAATAGAGCTTTACTTTTCACAGTTCTAGAGGCTGGGAAGTCCAAAATCAAGGCACCAGCAGGTGTCTGTGAGGGCTGCTGTCTCTTTGCAAGATGAAAGATGTGGCATTGTTGCTGTGTCTTCACAAAGCAGAAGGGATGAAAGCTCTCTGAAGCCTCTTTTGTAAGGACATGAATCCCATTCATAAGGGACAGGCTTCCCTATCCAATACCACCACATTGGTGATCAGGTTCCAACACAAAGTTTGGAGAAACACAAACATTCAAACCACAGCAAGGAGTAAGCTGTGACCTAGAACCAAAAAGTCCTACATTTCAGTCTTAATTCTTCCACTCACTCACATCACTTTCCTAGTCATGTAGCTTCTCTGGGTCTCAGTTTTCTTTTCCCCTCAGTAAAATGGGGTAGTACAGTCTGCCCTGCCTGCCCCACAAGGTTGAGCTGAAGGTCAGTATTTAAAATTGGATGAGGAGAAAACCTCTTTGCAGTCTCTGAAGAGCTTGGTTCTATTCTCTCTTCTCCACAGTCTCCTCAGGCATTGCTGGTGGGGTGTGCTGTCCTCTGCATAACTATGTCCTTCATTCTTCCCTGCTCACCTGCACCCCAGCTGGCACCTTGGATTGGGCAGGGACTTCCCTCAGATGCTCATCATGCATCTTAATGGGCAGGATATCCCATTTTTCAAGTTAACTGTGCACCATTCATTGACTGTCTAGCAGCGTGCACTGGAAACTCAGGATGGGGTGCTTCATCCCCACCATCCTGAGCCTCATCTGCCCTCCTGCACTGCAGATCAGCAGGTCACCTGGCTTCACCTCCACAGCCACCTGAGTGAAGACAGGCAGCAGCCACACTGGGCTGGATGTGTGAATCCTGGGGGAACAACTTCTGGGAGCTCTTGACCTTTCTGCACCCAGGGCAGTTCTGATGAGATGTGACTCCATGTAAACGACCTCAGCGATTACTGTGGTCACTGGTGGGAGGCACAGAGGAGGGCTAGAGGGCTGGACAGGGAGTGGAAGAGAAGTTCCCTCACCAAAGACAAGGAAGCACATTCCAAGCAAAGCAACAGTGTGCGCAGAAACACAGAGAACAGGAAAGGATGCGGCTGGTTCCAGAAATGCTGCAAGGTTCTCTGTGACAGGGCGGATAGTGTGGCAGAGTCCTCGGAAACAAGGCCATGGAGGTTGGAGCTGGCCTGGGAGGAGCCTGGAATGCTATGCTAAGGAGTCTGCACTCAGTTCTGCAGGGGCTGAGGAACCATCTCAGGTTTCCTCTAGCAGAAAAAGGGCATGATCAGAGGTGTGTTTCTCAAAGACACTCTGGTGGCATTATGGAGGGGAAAATTTGGAAGAAAGGGGTAGGAAGAATCTGCACATAGAGACCGTTAGGAAGCTGTTGTAATAGGTCAGTTTAGAGATGCTAAGAGCCCGCCACAGCACAGGGACAGTGTGGAGGGCACTGAAGGGGGTTTTGCTCAGAAGTTGTCCAGAGTAGTGATGAAGAACGTGGCTCCAGAGCTGGTCTGCCTGGGGTTGAGTCCTGGCTTTACTGTTCACCATCCTGTGGCTTTGGGCAAATTACTCACCTCTTCAGTGCCTCAGTTTCTCCACATGGTGGGAGGTTAATAATGGTACTCCACCTCATACGGTTGTTGAAAACCTTCAAAGTAGTTCTTGGAACAGACTGTCAAAATGTTAGCTCTTATTAGGAGACTGTATTAGTCAGGGTCTCTAGAGGACAGAACTAATAGGATAGATGTATATATAAAGGGGAGTTTATTAAGGAGTGCTGACTCACACGATCACAATGTGAGGTCCCACAATAGACCACCTGGAAGCTGAGGAGCAAGGAAGCCAGTCTGAGTCCCAAAACCTCAAAAGTAGGGAAGCCGACAGTGCAGCCTTCAGTCTGTGGTCGAAGGTCCAAGAGTCCCAAAGCTGAAGAACTTGGAGTCCAATGCTCGACGGCAGGAAGCACCCAGCATGAGAGAAAGATGGAGGCCAGAAGACTTAATCAGTCTAGTCCTTCCACATTCCTCTGCCTGCTTTTATCTTAGCCATGCTGGCAGCTGACTAGATGGGTGGACACCCAGATTGAGGGTGGGTCTGTCTCTCCTAGTCCCCTGACTCAAATGTTAATCTCCTTTGGCAACACCCTCACAGACACATCCAGGAACAATACTTTGCATCCTTCAATCCAATCAAGTTGACACTCAGTATTAACCATCACAGAGAAAAAAACAGACAGGATTTGGTGCCTGGTTAGAAGTAGGGAAAGAGCAGCTCCCCAGTGTTGCCAATGCTATTGTGGCTGTGAATCATCTGCCGCCTCCTCCTCCTCCTCCTCCTCCTCCGCCAGCTCCTGGGGGCATGCAGGCTGCTGTACTGGTCAGGAGCTTACATTCTGAGATCAGATTCACCTACTCTCTCGCTGGCCTTGAGCAAGTTTTTAAATCTCCTGTCTTAGTCTCTACATCTGTAAAATGGGGATAACACTAATATCCACCTCACAAGATTGTTTGAGGATTAAGTGAGATGATATGAGGAATAACCAGCATATGGGGAGTGTTCGATAGGATTATTCAATCTTATTTGTATTATTACTCACCAAAGTTGGAACTATAGGAGAAGAAGCAGTATTGGGTGACAAAGCAGAGGAAATACAGTTAGGTGTAGGTTGTGCAGAGAGCTAGAACTCAGGAGGGGAACTCAGGAGAGATGGAGGATGGAGGACTTACATGAGGAAGACAAAAAATATTATGCCTCCAATAAAGGTCTGATCAACCTTGAAGTCTGAGCAACACATTAAAGAAAATGGAAAATTAACAGGGAAGGGAAATTCGGTGAAGTTGCTTTATTCTGGCTTGGCTGAATCCAGATATAAATTTTAAACATTTTTGCTGAAAATTGTTCTAAAATGTATTACACATTTCCTTGCAACTTGATATTTGGCATATCTATTCACTTACTCTTTCAACATTTCTTGATCGAGGACTTAATGTTAAGCTCTGTGCTAGCTCTTCAGGGTTACAGATAGAAAGTAGATCAAGTCCTTGCCTTATGAGAAGCTTACTTCTAATTTTTCAGTTTCATAAACTTTGAATAGGAAGCATGCTTATATTTAAAGTTTGGGGGTACATACTGGACTATCTACTTAAAATTCTAAAGTGGGACTCCTTCCTGAAAGAGGATCTACTTTAAATGTTTTTGTAGTAGATTGCAAAGTAGAAAAGGAGACTTCAATTTTTTTTTTTTTTTTTTTTTTTTAAGAGACGGAGTCTCTCTCTGTCACTCAGGCTGGAGTGCAATCATAGCTCACTGCAGCCTCCAACTCCTGGGCAAAAGCCATCCACCTGATTCAGCCTCCCAGTAGCTGAGACTACAGGCAGGCGTCACCACGCCTGGGTAATTTTTTAAATTTTTTTATAGAGATGGGAGCCTCACTATCTTGCCCAGGCTGGTCTTAAACTCCTGGGCTCAAGCAGTCCTTCCACCTTGGCCTCTCAAAGTGCTGGACTTATAGGCATGAACTACTGTGCCCAGACAGACTTTAATTTTTATAATTATGTAAAATATACAGAAAACTACAGAACGTTCCTATTACCCAGACGAGAAATCTAACATTTAGCCATATTTTCAAGCACTTATTTTAAGTTAAAAAAAAAAAAGTTGATACAACTGAAACTTCCTGTGTTAACCTACATATGAAATAATATTTTTCAAACAGAATTTAAAGTTAATTCAGTATTGTTCTCCTCCTGAATAAGACAAGGATTTAGCATACTTAAAAAACTTGTTGGTCAGGCATGATGGCTCATGCTTGTAATCCCAGTACTTTGGGAGGCCAAGGCAGGAGGATCACTTGAGGTCAGGAGTTCTAGACGAGCCTGGCCAACATGGTGAAACCCTGTCTTTACTAAAAATACAAAATTTAGCCAGGCATGATAGTGCACACCTGTAATCCCAGCGACTCGAGAGGCTGAGGCAGGGGAATTGCTTGAACCTGGGAGGCAGAGGTTGTAGTGAGCCAAGATCACACCACTGTACTCCAGCCTGGGCAACAGAGTGAGACCCTTGTTGGACTTCTCTCCATTTTTAAGTTGTTTTTTTTATTATGTAGAGATTTTATTTTACTTTTTATATAATGTAAGCTTTTGAAAAGTAAATTAACTAAATTTCCCACTTGCCTGCTCACGATTGTTTCTTGTGTCCCACACCTCTGTGGATTTTCAATGGGTCTCCAGATGGTAAACTTCCTTAGAATTGCATTGCTGAAATGTCTTGATTTCACACTCATTCTTGAATGATGGTTTAGCTGGGTATAAGATTCTAGATTCATTTTTACCCCCCTCCCTTCAGCGCTTTTAAGTCATTATTTCATTTTGTGGCCACAGAAAAACCTACTGACATGCTAGCAGTCATTGTTTGGAAGATAATCAGTCTCCTCTGTCTGGTAAATATTAGGCTTTTTATTTTTAAAAATCTCTTTGGTTCTGTAGTTTCTTTATGATGTGTCTAGATGTGATATTTAGAACACGGTATTTTTTTTATTATACGTTAAGTTTTAGGGTACATGTGCACACCGTGCAGGTTTGTTACATATGTACACATGTGCCATGTTGGCGTGCTGCACCCAGTAACTCGTCATTTAACATTAGGTATATCTCCTAATGCTATCCCTCCCCCCTCCCCCCACCCCACAACAGGCCCCAGTGTGTGATGTTCCCCTTCCTGTGTCCACGTAGAACAAGGTTTTAATCTAAGTGGGCAAGTCCCAACCGGAATACTTTGTAAACATTGTGAGAATGTGCAAATGGCAGCAGACTTGGAATTTAGGGTTATGTGGGAGAAACATTATTGACACTTGAGAAAAGTACTTCAGAGAGGACAACTAAGCATTTATCAACAAAGGAACAATTTACTAGTTAAATGAATAATTAATTAGATTTGGGGGCATATAATATGTACCAATCACTGAAAGTCAGACCCAATCTGGCAATTTGGGGGTCCTATCTATCTACCCAACTCCCACACCACGTTCTAGGCACCCCAGAAATGGACTCTGTCCTTGTTGAGAATTTCCCTCCAGATCTGATGCTCTGTCTTCCCAGTCATCCTTGTCTCCCCTTCAGTGATGACTTGAGTCTCCTCTGGTCCACACCCCTCCAGTCAACCCAGCCTTAAGACCTCCTGTCTCAACTCTGCCCAGTTCTTCTGGGGAACTGAACATTAATAGAGAAAATATGGCAGTAATTTAGAAGAATAAGAATACATTAATGAATTCCTAAAAGGTGTCAGCTGATTCAAAAGGTAAAAACTCATGATGGGAACAAACCACACACTCCCCTCCACTCCCTCCCCACACACCCATGAGCAATGTTTATAAATCAAGCTTTCCCCTAACATGCCATGGCTGACTTCCTGAAGGAGCATATCAAATTACACAAAAGGTCAGTGAATGTGAAATACTGTACTGACCGTTATGGAATCATTCTTAATCTTCTTCATCACCTAAAACATTGAAGGAAAAATATATATTTAAATAATGTGGAGTAACTAATGAGAGTTTTTGGGTTATTCTGCTGAAGTCAGGAGATTTTTTTTAATCCTAAATACTTGACACTTACTAGAAATTCCATGCAATTACCCAAGACATCCGTCTTGAATTTTTTATGGACAGCTAGCTTTAGGAGGAAGAAAAAATGTCAAAATGTGAAAGTATTTGTAAAGTGGCACTGGTCAATAAGAAAAGGAAAGAGGGAGAGAGAGAGAGAAGAAGAAGAAAGAAAAGAAAAAAATAGAAAAGAATGAAAAAGGAAAGAAAGAGAGAGAGAAAAAGAAAGAAAAGAAAGAAAGAGAAGAAAGAAAGGGGAAAGAAGAAAGAAAGGGAAAGGAAGGAAAAGAAAGAAAGGAAGGAAGAAAAAAGGAAGGAAGGAAGAAAAGAAGGAAAGGAAAGGAGGAATGAGGAAGAAAAAAGGAAACACAGAATGACTTTGTCTCTTTTTCCCATTCCTGCGTGACTTTCTCATCTCATCTGTTCTTTTATAAGTTGTCACACCAGGTAGGGCCAGACACAAGTTGTCTAATCTGAGGCTGCAGAAGAGACTTAAATAGATGTAACCCTCACAGCAAGATGTGCCAAGTCCAGGAAATGAGACAGGATGAGAGATGCAGATTTTTATTATTTATTTTTTGAAAAGCTGTAAGGTAGAAACATTTTGAGAGGATCAAGTATACTTTCGAGAAATGAAAAGTCCAATTTCGTTAGGCCACGGAGTCAAGGAAGACGTGAGCCTCATGAGGAAATCCTCAGAAATAGAAGGGCCTGGACTTTGGCTCAGCCACCTGGGTGCAGCTGCCTGCTGCATGCATCAATATTTAAGCAAGGGAAATGATCTGTTCTGCCTTCTGGGGATGGCCCTCTTTCCTCCCTATCTGATCTGATTGGAGTGGGATGCAGAAGGAGCAGCGGCTGGCAGTTTGGTTTCGATGGGGGATGGAGCACTGTGAGCGTCAGGTGCCCTGTGGTCTGCTCCCCAAGAGGTGGCAAGCTCATCTTTCCTCTCTTTTCTCTTCTCTCCCAGTTTTCCCCTCTTCCTTCACCTGCTCTTATTTTTTCCACCTGCTGCCTTTTTCCCTGGCAATTCACTTCTCACTCGTTTTTTTGTTTTTTTTTTTTTTCTGATCAACTGGGATACTGCTGAATTCTCCTTATTTCTGATCAACTGAGATCAACTGGAATACTACTGGTGGGGTTTCTCCTTATCTCTGACAACATCACAGCTGTTCATCAAGGCTCTGTACTGGTGCCGGGGATACCAGGCTTTAACAGGGCAGGCAAGGTTCCTCTTCTTTTGAAGCTTCAAGTCCAGTGAGGCCTAAAGGCTGTGGCTCTAACCAATCCCCATGTTAGAACTGAAACTCTACCAAGGTAGGGATCCAGTCCATTTGCTATTTGTTCATCACCTTGTCGGCAGCTCTTAGAACAGTGTCTGACATGTAGCAGGCCAGTGTAAGTTTGTAGAATGAATGAAGAAAGGAGATTTCACCCAGTCCTTTCCTAAACCACGGTGGACTTATCTTTGAGACTTTCAAGTTGCCAATTCTTCCCCACCTTTAGATTCCAGTTCAAGGCTGCCTCCTCTAGGGCATGTCTCCTTACACCTTCCACACTGTATTATGTTGTTATCTGTTGCCATGGCAGACCTCCCTTTGCCGCCTACTGCACAGTGAAATTCCCATAGGCAGAGGGAGATTTCTAGTTGGTTTTCTAGGTTGCAGTGAGTGCTCAGTGTATGTTTTCTGACTAATGGGAATCTCATGACATTTGGATAAATCTTGATATCTTATGCCATATCCCTGGTCCTCTCCACTTTCTACCTGCTCAGATCACACCATCCTTTTGACCCAGATGATGAAGATTTCTCTGACACAGTACAGTACCATTCTCATCTGTCTACTCAGCAAAGACAAAAAAGAATGGGAATTTTAAAAGTCTGTTTCTGATAAGGATACTGGTGGGAGCAAACATTGGTAAAACCTTTCTGGAAGGCGATTTGGCCCAAAATATTTTAAAAACTTAAAATGTACACAACTTTTGATGCAGCAACTCCACTTCTAAGAATTTATTCTGTGGAAATAATTTCAAATGTGCCCAAAGACTTATTCAATATGATGTGTATCCCAGTTGATGTTTATAATGTTAAGAAATTGGAAATCCTCACTAAGCAACTGATTGAGTTGAATACAGGTAAAAACCTACAATGTAATATTTCAAAAATGAAGTTAACATAATTATTGACCTGACAAGATGTGAATGTTGTTGTTGTGTTTTTGTTAAATAAATCAGCATATATAATAGATCCTGTTTATATAAAAATTATAACATTGTATTTCCATAGAAAAAATCTGGAAACGTATGTAACTAAGTAATATGTGGGCTTCTCAGAGTGATGGAAAGTTATTTGATTTTTATGTTTTTTTCTTAACTGTATTTTTCCACTTGATTTTTTTTTTTTTACAAACAGGAATTATTGATTTTCTTTTCTTGTGACAGGGTCTCACTCTGTCACCCAGGCTGGAGTGCAGTGTCATGATCACAGCTCACTGCGGCCTCAACCCCTTACTTGGGCTCAAGTGATCCTCCCACCTCAGCCTCCTGAGTAGCTGGGACTACAGGCACGCACCACCATGCCCAGCTAATTTTTAATTTTTTTTTTAGGGACTGGGGTCTCACTTTATTGCCCAGGCTGGTCTTGAAATCCTGGACTCAAGCGTTCCTCCCATCTTGGCCTCCCAAAGTGCTGGGATTATAGGCATGAGCCACTGTGCTTGGACCATAACGATTTTTTTTTAAGTTGTAAGAAATTGTCTGAATGCTTTGCTCTTTTTTGACTCTAAAAGTAAACTGTTTAAAGTCAAATAGACTTGAAAAAATTAACATTCCCACATGGACTAAGGACAATTTTAGATCTGAGATGCTCAAAGGAGAGCCTTTAACTGTCTGAGCCTCTGTAGCCACCAGTGAGTCTAATTTCCCAATGCTCTGAGAAACTGTGACAGAGAATCATTACCCTTGAAATGGGTTTGTGTAATATAAAAAATCAGGGTCTCCTCTCGACTTAGTGAGTGTGTTAACATTCATGGGAGTTCCCATGCATGCTCTGAGGGAGAGTCCTGTGACATCGTGTCTGCGTTGTATTGAACTCAATCACTTGTAGAAAATGTGTAAGGTAATAGGGATATTACACGGGGTGATATTATGGAAAATCCTAATTGGTACCAAAGTAATTCTTACTAGAGTGGACTATAAAGCCTTCAGTGCCATTCTAACTAATCACCCCGTGGCATTCTGAGCAAATGCAGGTTAATGGTGACGATCTTAATTTTTTTATTAATTAAATTAAGTGTGTAATCTGACAGTGCAAGCCCATCGTCAGCGTTCATCATGCTGATAATAAATGGCTTGAATACTCAGCTCCTTTGGCTTCACCAGAGCCCCGAACTCCTCTTCCATCCACCATTCATGACCTAAGAGAGATCTCCAAGTGACCCATCAGAGCCCAGAAACAACAAATAATGAAGCCATATGCCAGAGATTGGGGTGAACAAAAGGCAGGGTGGGTTCGTGGGCCTAGGAGAAGCCTCCAAACTCAGAGGCTGCAATTGCTCAACCCTCTGTTCTCTGCTTCTACACCTTGAGTTCCTCTTTAGCCAATGATTTCTCATAATACTTAAACATAGAAAGGAGAAAGTTCAGAAAAGTGAACATGAAAATGGGAGAAGCAAATATAAAAATAGAAGAATGTCTTCTATAAAATATCTTAGATGAAAACATAAGACATGAAAGTGGCTGGGCGCAGTGGCTCATGCCTGTAATCCCAGCACTTTGGGAGGACGAGGCAAGGGGATCACAAGGTCAGGAGTTCAAGACCAGCCTGGCCAACAAGGTGAAACCCTGTCTCTATTAAAGATACAAAAATTAGCCAGGGGTGGTGGTGCGCACCTGTAATCCCAGCTACTCGGGAGGCTGAGGCAGGAAAATCGCCTGAACCCAGTAAGCGGATGTTGCAGTGAGCCGAGATCGCGCCACTGCACTCCAGCCTGGGCGACAGGGGAAGACTCCGTTTCAAAAAAAAAGAGAGATATGAAAGTATAAGTGAATGTGAAAATAGAGAATGTGTTCAAATAAAATTAAACAATTGATCAAGCTGCTAGATTCTGGCTCCTTGAGTTTAAGGCAGGAGGGTGTCTTAGTCATCACTGTTTTCCCACCACCTTGCACCAGACCTGTTATATGGTAACCTCTATCAATCTTTATCTTACCAAGCCAGGACATTTTTAGACTTCCTTTTCTCAAAGTGTGTTCCCTGGAAGACTAACTCACCAGACACATTCTAAATTGAAAACTGTGGACAATTAAATTTGAGAAATCCTGCCTTTCACCCTTTCCTCTAGGAGATTTATAATATATAATAGTAATTTGAAGTCAATATAAGTCCTTTGGAAAAGAAATATTTTTAAATTGTTGAACCCAACATGGTCTAACTGAATTGTCCGAGCAAACTTATTTGATCACAGAACTCTATCAGCATCCCACAGAGCACAGTTCAGCAATAGACTACCTTAGATATCTGCTGGCACGCTTACAGCCCCAGGGATCAGATAAAAAGATTAAGATGGAAATAACAATTTCCTGATTCTCCTAAATCCTGGCATAATAGAGATGAAACTCTCCCTTGATTGTGACTAAATCCCTAATAAAAATATAGAATTATAGGGTTTTAGACTGGAGGGGAGCTTGGACATCATATATCTTAACCTCAGCTCATTACAGGAATCCGCTTTACAGTATCCATGATAGATACATTGTCATCTCTGCCTGGACACCTCTGATAGCCAGGACTCAGCAACTCACCATGCAGTAGATTGCGTTATGATCCAATTTCTTCTTCTGTTGAGTCAAAGTCTGCTTTTCTGAGGTTCTAGGTCTCATCCTGGAATAATAAAACAACCTACTCTCTCATATGTCTACATCCCAGTTCCTATGCCCTCAGTTAATATATCAGGAATTTTCAGTCTCTACACTTCAAAGTACAATCAGAATAAATAAGAAAAGTCAGCCAGGCGCGGTGGCTCACGCCTGTAATCCCAACACTTTGGGAGGCCAACAGGGGAGGACCACCTGAGGTCAGGAGTTCGAGACCAGCCTGGCCAACATGGCAAACCCTGTCTCTACTGAAAATAAATACAAAAATTAGCCAGGCGTGGTGGCACATTCTTGTAATCCCAACTACTCAGGGGGCTGAGGCAGGAGAATCGCTTGAACCCAGGAGGCAGAGATGGCAGTGAGCCAAGATCGCACCACTGCACTCCAACCTGGGCGACAGAGCAAGACTCTGTCTCTAAATAAATAAATAAGAAAAGTGGTTCTTGAATGGCTACTAGAGGGGGGAAAGGAGAAAATCTTACTACTTGAGTTACAGAAACAAAATAATAGAAATCCCTTAGTTGCAATTCCAAAATCTATTAAGTTCTGAAAACGGAAGTGTTTTTCATAACTTTGGCGCACACTTATTAGGTGACAACACATGACTCAAACTGATTTGAAGCTATTTATAGTATTTATTTATCATGCCAAGTGTGGGCACACGTACATTTGACTAAAGAAATAATAATATGTTTGATTACAGAAATAAGAGTGTTTCCTCAGGCCCCACTGGGAATATTACATAATATACGGTATCTGTGCTGTATAACCTTTCTAAAATTGGACAAAGTCTGAATTCTGAAACACATCTGGCCCCAAGGATTTGGGGTGTGCCACCGTGACTCTATCCTTTCCTTGGTACCTTCTGTGTGCTCAGTGCTTGACCTATATTAGTGTCTTTACTCCTCACAACTCTGAGAGGCAAAGAACCATTTCTTTCTCACCTTACAGGTGAGGAAAGTCATCCAGTTTTGCAGACATTTTTCTCTTCTTATTGACTGTTTGATATTTGTGAAGAAATCCATTTCTCCTTCAATTAGTAATATACTAATCAACAACAAAATAATTAAGTCACAGGATCCAATATGGGACACTGGTGCACACCAGAAGAGTCCTTGCCAGAAAGGGAAGACTGTGAGGTCCATGAGGCAGAAGAAGCCCTCAGAGGAATCCCTCCTGCTGGCCTCCGTTGTAAGGTACTTAGATTCACAATGTCCGCAGCTTCCAACTGCTCCTTTCCCACCCAAGCCTTTGGAAACTTGGGTAGGGTTAGGAGAGCCATAGACACCTTTTGCAGGAAAGAATATTATTCTGTGTTAAATTAAATTATGTCAAAGCCTGGATCCAGCCTCTGGGATAGAACTTTCTTACTGCCTGCTGCCCGCCCCTCACATGACCAATTATGATGAGATTTGAGGATCATCAGCCATCCAAAATTCTATTCCATTGGTTCTTTCACTATATTTGAAATTCCTATATATTTGTCTTTTGTACAGGTCAACCTATTAAGCCATTATAAACTTAATTTAAATAATCAAGTGTGTGAGTCAGTCATTTAGCCAGGCCCAGAGGGAACTGAATGTAGAACACACCAGGTGTGGTGGGAAATAAGAGGCAAGAAGCATGGGGAAGTTCCAAAGCGTGGACACTTCTGGAGGAGATCTACAGAGGGTATTAACTTTGGGGACACTTGGGGTCCAGCTTAGTGGCATTGAGCAGCAGTGGGAAGAGGCACTAAAAGGGAAAAAGAGGCAGGAGAAAGTGGGCAGAGTATCTCCAAAGTTCAGCATGGCCCACATGAGCTACGTCCATAGGATTGTGCCTAGGCTGTACACTAAGCGTGTCCAACCCACTGCCCGCAGACCGCGTACAGCCCAGGAGAGCTCTAAACGCGGCCCAATTTAAATTTGTAAACTTCGTTAAAATACTATGAGATTTTTTATTTTTAATTAATTAATTTATTTATTTTTAGCTTATCAGCTATCGTTAGTGTTAGTGTACTTTATATGTGGCCCAAGACAATTCTTCTTCTAGTGTGTCCCAGGGAAGCCAAAAGATTGGAGACCCCTGCATGTAAACCCTCTTAAAATGGATGACTCATAATATTTTAGACCATTCACCAGGTAACATCACTCCCCAGATGGAGTCCAGGGAGTGGAATGGATGCCCAAGTTACAGAACCAGGGAAACAAGGAAAGAGAATGGGCAATAGCACGTGCTAAGAGCCTCCAACCTCGGCTATGCCAGTATCCCCTTGGCTGCCTTTGTTCCAGCCACACTCCTGCACATGACTCCCCTCAGCCAGGAAAGCTCTTCCCCCTTCCCCCACTTCTCCCACTCTCTGCTAAGTGACCTCAAACCCATCCCTGCCTTCAACATCAATGTCACCTCCCGGACAGGCCTGCCCTGTCCACACCCCACCACTCTAAATTGCATTCTGCTTATTCAACCTTTTTTCATTGTTCTATTGCTTTTCTCCTTCAGAGCATTCATCACAATTTGGAAGCACTGTTGTTCTCTCTTATCCACGGTTTCAGTTATGCAAGGTCAATCGCAGTCTGAAAATAGGTGAGTACAGTACAGTAAGATATTTTGAAAGAGAGAGACCACATTCACATAACGTTTATGATAGTATATTTTTATAATATTCTATTTTATTAGTAGTTATTGTTGTGAATCACTTACTGTGCCCAATTTACAAACATTATAAGTATGTATATGTAGGAAAAAATATAGTATTCATAAGGTTCGGCACTATCAGAGGTTTCAGGCATCCACTGGGGGCCTTGGCACATATCCCCCATGGATAAGGGGGAACTACTATATCTATTTATTTATTAGTTTAGTGTATGTATATTCCTCTAGAGTATAAATGCTATGAGTACCCACTAAGAGCCAGTCCTTAACAAATAGCCGTTCAATGAATCATTGTCAGGCACTATGTTCTCTGTTTCAGCAGTGGTAGCCCTTTTAATCTTCATAATAATTCTCTGAACTAAGTTTTACAGATGAAACTTAGGAGGCTTACAACCCAAGGGGGATCATTTTTGTACCCTGAAATGGTGAAGTGCATACCCTGCGCAGTTGTGTGTGACAATTCTGCTCAGAAGCTCCTTGTTGTAAACCATTTAGAAGTGGTATTATCTTCAAAGGAAGAGTGTCTCTCTGCTCCTCTTCCCACCATTGTGACAACCATGGCTGGAGGGGTTACTAATGAACAGAAAGTCCAATTAGTCTCACCCATCACATCAGTCCTAGAGTTAAATCCTTGTTCCTTGCAAGCCCCAAGTAAAGACTCCTGTTTATACATCATGTTAATAATTAATTGATTAGTTAATCAACAAGCTAGTTCCTGTAAGATTGTCCTGTCCTTTTTTGTCCCCTCTGCGTCCTGGTCAGGGTCAGTGGACCTGTGCTCATGTATGCATTATGTTGATATGAAAGACTGAAGGAGCTGGGCGTGGTGGCTCACACCTGTAATCCCAGCACTTTGGGAGGCCAAGGTGGGCAGATCACCTGAGATCAGGAGTTCATGACCAGCCTGGCCAACATGGCAAAACTCCGTCTCTACTAAAGATACAAAAACTAGCTGGACGTGGTGGGGCATGCCTGTAATCCTAGCTACTAAGGAGGCTGAGGCAGGAGAATTGCTTGAATCCGGGAGGCGAAGGTTGCAGTGAGCCGAGATCGTGCCACTGCACTTCAGCCTAGGTGACAGAGCAAGACTCTGTCAAATAAATAAATAAATAAATAGAAAGACTGAAGGAAGGACCATTTGGAAACATGCACATGATAAGTGCTTTTTAACGCCCTGAAATTTTATGAGGGAGCTGCACATTATGTACCTGTTGAGAATAGTTTTTTGTTTTTGGGGTTTTTTTTTTAAGTACTGTTTAAAGCTGGTCGGGCATTGATTGAAAATGTATAGCAGTACCTGGTTACACCAAGATGGTAAGTCAAGGTTCTACCTTCTAGGAGCTCCCAGTCAGGTGCTACGACAGGAGAGACAAGGAAGGCTTCTCACAAGAGGAAGCTCAGGGGGACAGGAGAGGGGCTAAGAGGGGAGGCCATGGAAACTATCCTGGGCAGAGGGCAGAGCCTGTGTGGGGCCTGGGAGTGTGATTGCAGAGATGGAACAAAAGCAGAAGGCCAGGCTAGAGAAAAAATGTCGTTCCTTTTTTCCTGGGTGCTTGTGGAAGGGGCTCCATGTTGTGATATTTTATAAGATACTGCAGAGACACTTGCTATGGAGAATTGTAACTGAAATGTGGACCAACTTACTCTTCCTGCTGCTTTGGTACTGCAGCTGTCAACTCTAACCCTAAAGTAACTGATTCCTTTGCAAGATGCAGGGCAGAGGCCAGTTTTCAAGAAATGCCAAATATTCCATTTCTATCAGGTTTTAAAACTGTCTTTTACTCCCTAGTCTAAGCAGCACTTGGGTAGCCATAAGGCCTTACAGCTCGGACCGGTGTTCCTATTCCCAGCAGCTCATTAGAACCACTTGTGGTGCTTTTTTAAAACACACACGCCCAATCTACTAAAGCCGAACTTAGGTATACGCTGCACTCAGCAATTCCACTCCCAGTTAAACACCCAACAAATGTAAAAATTCACCAAAAGACATACAAGAATTTCATGGAGGCACTATTTATAATAGCGCCACAAGGAACCACCCAAGTGCCCAGCAACAGCTGAATGAGTAAATAAATTGTAGTATATTCAAACAGTGGAATAGCATACAGCACTGAAAAGGAAAGAATGAATGCAACACATACCATCATAGGTGAACCTTAGAAATATAATGTAGAGCAAAATAAGCTTGATGCGAGAGAACATATCCTGCATAATTTCATTTTAGTTTTATACTAAAAATCAGAAAAAATTAATCCATATATTAGAAATCAGCATAGTGGCTATGTCTTGGAAGTATAGTAACTAAAAGGGGACACTGAGGGCCTTCTGGGATTCTGGGTGCTGACTGCATGAGTGTGTTCACTTGGTGAAAAGTCATCGAGCAGTGTATTTATGATTTATATACTTTTCTGTATAATGTTATATTATTTCACTGAAATATTTTTAAAACTACATCTGCCTAAATTTTACCCCCGTATATTCAATTTCAATCGATCTGGGGTGAGACTCAGTTACCTGTATTTTTTAAAGATTCTCGGGCAGGTGCAGTAGCTCATGCCTGCAATCACAGCACTTTGGGAGGCCGAGGTGGGAAGATCACGTGAGGTCAGGAGTTCCAGACCAGCCTGGCCAACATGGCGAAACTCCGACTCTACTAAAAATACAAAAAATTTGTCAAGCATAGTGGGGCATGTCTGTAGTCCCAGCTACTCGAGAGGCTGAGGCAGGAGAATCACTTGAACCCGGGAGGCAGAGGTTGCAGTGAGCTGAGATCATGCCACTGCATTCCAGCCTGGGCGACAGAGCAAGACTCAGTCCCCCCCAAAAAAAGATTCTCAGATGTTTCTATTGTACATCCAGGTTCAGGAATCACTGACTAGGATTACCACTGATTTCTATTTCCGAATTTAATCTCCTTTGTTTGTTTGTTTATGTGTGTGTGTGTATATATATATATATATACACACACACACACACATATATATACACATATATATACACACATATATATATACATATATATATATTTTTTTTTCCAAGTCAGCCTTTCGCTCTTGTCACCCAGGCTCGAGTGCAGTGGCGCGATCTCAGCTCACCGCAACCTCTGCCTCCCTGGTTCAAGCGATTCTCCTGCCTGAGCCCCCTGAGTAGCTGGGATTACAGGCGCCCACCACCACACCCTGCTAATTTTTTGTATTTTTAGTAGAGATGGGGTTTCGCCATTTTGGGCAGACTGGCCTCGAACTCCTGATCTCAGGTGATCCGCCCGCCTTGGAATCCGAAAGTGCGGGATTACAGGAGTAAGCCACTGCACCCAGCCTCTTTGCATATTAAAAGAGTTTACTCATTAGTTTACTTTTCATTTTTCTTTTTTTTTCTCAAAATAAGAGTAAAATAGCTACTGCAACCATGTGCATCCAGGCATCTTCACGCCACTGAAATGAATGGAGGCTGGAAAGGCAGTACTTGTTCAGTGTCAGTACTTGATTTGCAGAAGTATTTGTACTCTGGTACTTCAAGAATCCCTAACAAAATTAATTTATTCAATTAGCCAAACATTTATTGAACCCCTACAATAATAAGAGCTAATGATTACTAACTTTATGAAGCACTTCCCTGGGCCGGGCATGATCCTATATCCTTTGCTTACGTTCTGGGGTTAAGTGTGCGGACTCTGGAGCCAGGTGACCCTGTTACAACTCTGGCTTTGCAACTTAGTTGTGTGACTTTGGGAACATTACTTTGCCACTCTGTGACTCAGTTTCCCCCTCTGTAAATTGGGGATCATAATAATTAATAATACTGTTTCTTGAAGTTGGGCTGAGGAGTAAATAATGTTTAGCCACCTACTGTAAGTAAGTGCCACCTACTGTAGCAAGTGCTACATATATATGAGCTATTCATTTCCACAAAAGTCCGACGAGATGGCTGCTTAAATAATGCTAATTTTGTACTTGAAGAAAGTAAGCTTAGGGAGGTTACATAACTTGTCCAAGGTCATACAGCTGGCAAACAGCAAAATCAGGATTCCAAGCCAGGTTGCCTAATCCCAGCACTGGGATATGTTGCCATCACACTCTTTCCTATGCTGACGTATTTCTCTCTGGGTCTGTGTTTTGATAGACACAGGGATCACATTTACGAAGGGATCTTTCAAGAGCCTCAAAAGCAGGACTACTTCATGAGCCAACTCGTAGTGACAAGCCCTGCCCCTGCAAGTGAGAAGGGGGGCGCTTCCAAATCAAGCACCATTTGTCAAGGTGGGATGGAATGGGTAACTTTTTTGCTCCCTGAAGTCAAAAATATTTTTTAAAAATGAGTTTGTCGTGTCTTGTTGCATAATACAGAGCAGTATTTATAGAACATGGAAATGAATATGAAAACTTGTATTTTGATTCAAGGCCTCTTAAAACTAAGTGGTGGTTTCATTAATAATTCTGACTTGACTTTTTCCTCCCAGATTATTGGAATTTTTTAAACTTTACAAATAGTATGTTTCTGACTGGGGTTAGGGAATGGAGAATGGAGAGGTAGGAAGAGGGAGGAAGCACATTCCTAAAGACACTAACACTGCCAATTTCTGGAAAAGCAATTCCATGTATTGAGAGCTACCATCGTGTAACAGATAGTACCGGGTATTTGGTCCCCGATACTGTTAATTAGATATGTAAAGACTGCATTTTTCGGGCGTTAATTTTAAATAAAAACCTTCATTAAACAATATCTCTCAGTAAAAATTTAGGCCCTAGCAATTAATAGGCAAAACTGTGTACCTAAGATTTTTATTATATTGATTCCAAAATAATTAGGTTGGCAAAAGCATTGTGAATATCTCTCCCCACGTTAATACAAAGTGCTGCTATCATTCTGCTGTTTTTTTAAAAGATGGCTGCATCTTACCATAAAATGTATTTCCAAGTTTTGTCAAGTATTAAGGTGATTGATTTTATTTCTTTTATTAGGAATTTAGGTTTATCTTACTTTTTTAATAGACTGTTGAAACGCAAGCCTGCTTTCACAGGCCTCCTGCCACCCAAAAGACTCCTTGTTCAGCACAGAGATTTCTTGCTGATCACATTTTTCCCTCTTCTTTTCTTTAAGCAAACACTGAAGGCTTTCAGCAGCTGCCCCAGATATCACTTTAAAACCCCTTAAGGCAGTTTGAAAGGCCTCCAAAAAAGCATGACATTCAATCAAAGTTCAGCAAGGAAAGTTTTAATGAATAAACTTAGTAAATTAGAAAGCACTGCGGCAGAGTGATTAACTCTCATTTGGGCATTAGTGTTGAAATTAATTAAAATGTTTAAGCCATAGGAGGCAGGCTACCTCGTCAGGACCTGGCTCTGCCCTCGGAGTCAGTCTGGATCCAGGAGTGATTCATCTTACACAGATGAGAGGGGGATAAAAGGAAAAGAACAGTCAGGACAAATGTGTTTTCAATGGTGCTTAGCAGCAGGAGACCACTGGGACTTCAGAGCAACGCTACTGGAGTGTGACATCATAATACGGTATGTACACTGTGGAGCGGAGTGAAAAGGACTTCGCACTTACATTCTTGCCCTCTCTCCTTTGGATTGGATGCCATGTATATTCATTTCTCTGCCAGGCAGAATGCTGCAGTCTGCTGTCTTCAAGACCACTCACCAATTAGCTCTGTTTCCCTGCTCTTTTTAAACCTGCTTGCCACCGTTAATGTTCCTGCGGTGACATGAAGAGGTAGGCTTGGTGTCCTGGTGGATTTCCCTAAGATCAACTCCATAGAATGTATAAAAATATAATTGCTTCAAACAGACTCTCAGACACACAACAACGGATTTATTTTTAAATTCCCTTGACAATATGCAGGGCAGAAACCATCTTTTCAAGAAACCCAAAATATTCCATTCCCATTAGGTTTTAAAATAACTTGTAAGCTCGATTTCTTTCCAGAACTATGGGTCTGTGGATCTTCTTATAGAAACCCATTACCATGTGGCTGTTTAACAAATCCGTGCCTGCTTAAAATTATGAATGACAGCCCATTTCATAAAGAGAAAAGTCCTCCTTGACAGGAAAACAATCTCAGTTGGTTCTCCTTGGATAACAAATGGACTTGCATCAGGCCCGGCCCCATAGCTCTTTCTAAAATAGGGTGGCGAAGGACTGCCATTCCTATTTCAGGGGTCCTAATTAAGGAGCTTGCAGAAATTAGTGACCACCTGCAAATCTGAATTATCGCCACCAGGAGAAAATTATCATGATTTGCTACAGATCTGCATTCATAACTTTAAAAACTGTCCATCTTCCTTATTTTTTGCTCTATGGATTTCTTGTCAGAGGCAATGTCAGAGGTCACTGCCAGAGTGTCCCTTTGGTACCCATTAACTATAACCAGCAAACTTGTTCACTATTGATCCATTATGTCTAAGTATCTATTATGGTGGATATAAAAGGTGGCTTCACATCTTTCTAAACAGATAATTCATAAAGGCCAAGGGGTCATGGCTTGTGATATATTATTCTTTCACTGTATTTGTGACTGAATGGACAAAGAGAGAGAAGATGCAAAAGGGGTGCCAAGGGTCACGAGTGTTAGACTAGAGAGGTAGAAAGCTGTGTGTCAACTGGACACATTAACATCCATATAAATAATAAAAGGCATTAATAATATTTGTTCATGACCTCATTATCGATTCATTCTACTCAAAAGCAGAGGTTCCTAGAGCGAATGAAGACAGAGTTGATTTTTTACCACCAAAGTTCAGTTGAGGTTGAACTCTAAACTGGAAGTCAACTAGAGACAGTAAAATATATTCTGGTAGGCATATACTGGGTCCTGGGATTGATACATTTTGCAAGCAGTGCATCATCCGGGGCAAAGCAACTGTTTGGAGAACAGAAGCCTCACACAGAAAGTGTTAAGGGTCTGCAGGGCCCTAATGGGCTCAGCACATCACCACATTCCTTTGGGACTGTTTGATTCATCATGTTATTTAACCTCCACTGGTTCGTATTGAACATTCAGCAATACACTACAGAGGCCATTGCTAATGTTCCACACATTCCCAGCCTAAAGGAAAGCATCTCATTAGGAGAACAATAAAATCTAATGAGTGAGCCTTGCTCGCAAGTTAGCTGACATTGGGCTCATTTAATGCTGTTTATGGTCTTCTACCCACTGGAGAACCCAGAGATGGTGCGCTTTCTCAAGACTACAGTTTGGAGGAAAGTAAATTGAGATGAATCATGGTGAGATGAGATACTTAAAATGTCATGCTCCATAAGTTTGAATGCATCCTTCAAGTTCTGAACAGTAAAATGCAACTGAACACTGAAACAAGAGAAACAAAGAAATAGCAGATAACTAACAATACAAACCCGCCTTCTTGGGCAAGGATGCTTCATTGGGGGAAACCAAAAACATCTTTTCAGAGCCCTCCTTGAATACACACCAGCATGCACACACACACAGAAAGACACACAGACACAACACACACACACACACACACACACACACACACACTTCCTCCCAAATTTCCTTCCTTTGCCACCAGACTTCAATACATTACAGGCTTTAAAACAACAACAACAACAAAAAGCCCATTATGGATCAGGGGATGACACGTCAAGATTGTAAGATTTTTAGAGACCAACAACAAACCACCAGCTTTATTTCTGTTTACAAATGTGAGCCAGTCCCTAGACTGGCTGAGTAAATTATAAATTGTCCCCAGTAAATGTAGGAGCTAGCGATCACATGTTTCTGAGTCAGGACAGGCCTTTTTAGCTTAAGAAGTGGGTCGAGGAGAGGCTTGGGGGTTGAGAGGGTGGGATGTGGGAGCTACACAGTTACTTTGCCAATTTCTTCTTCCAGAGCCCCATTCATTTCAAATATCTACGGACTCGATGACCTCTCTAAGTTAGAACATCCTAAGAGAAATCCAAGGACAACCTATTTCCTGGAAGCCACCAATCTAAGTGAATAGTCTAACCCTGGGGATAGCTTTTCTTCATTACATGAAACCCCAGTTACTGAGACAACTGGGGTCCTGAGGGAATTTTCCTTCGATGTCTGTGGTTCTCAATCTTTTTGTGGATCGAGGACCCTTTTGAGACTATAACAAAAACTATGATCCCTCTCTTGAGAAAAATATTGATACACAGAAAATTTTGCATGTTTGAGGGATTCATAGCATTCCTCAGATTGCCATAAGTTAAGAACTGCTATTCTAAATAGGGTTAAAAAAAAAAAAAGATGAGCATTGATGGAATTGCCCTTCCTTCCTTCTTCAATTCAAGAAAGAAAAAATAACGAAGCTTAGAGATGAGCCAGCCATTGTGACCCCCGAACTCCAAATAATACTGTCCTTAATAATAATATCCAAGGGTCATGCTAGTGGTCTCTATGGACATCTCTAGTCGTCATAATAATTTTTATTTTTATTTAATGTTTGGAGACGTTGTAAAAAGTGACTACTGTTTCAAAATGTGACCTCTGTGAGGTTTAAAACCTACTGAATCAGATGAGATATGAAAGCGTTCAATATAATGTATGACTTAAAGCTATATTTTTTAAACTTTAATAAGAAATGTCTGACTCTTAGATCACTGTTTCTAAAGCCTGGCAGACAGAAACATGTCTTTTAAAAAGGTCTAATTTATATACCAAATAGAGATCCAGCAGGTAGAAATGATGCCTTTCCTTTTTACCTCATGCCAACCAGAATCTTTCATCAGCTTTGAATACACCTCAGCTCCAGCAATATTTAACAATGCTAACTCATCTCATTTATTTTCAAAGATTTTTCAAGTACTCTGCTAGACAGTTGGATACTAAGATAAGCAAATCACGGTCTTTGTCCTTGGGACGGTTATAGTATTGTGGGAGGACAGGTGTGTGTGAACACTCATGCAGCTACTGTGGTGGCTTAGACAGCATCCATTCCCTTCTTCCTCCCTCCTGGCAGAATTTTTTTTTTTTTTTTTTGAGGCAGGGTCTCACTGTGTCACCCAGGCTGGAGTGCAGTGGCATAATCTCGGCTCACTGTAACCTCCACCTCTCAGCCTCCCAAGTAGCTGGTATTACAGGTGTGCACCACTGCACCTGGCTAATTTTTGTATTTTTTGTTGTTGTTGTAGAAATGAGTTTCACCATCTTGCCCAGGCTGGTCTTGAACTCCTGGTTTCAAGCAATCCACTTATCTTAGCCTACCGAAGTGCTGAAATTACAGGTGTGAGCCACTGTACCCAACCCGGAACTCCGTTTTTATTTGGGTACCCACCTCTCCTGTACATAAGCTATGTGATCTCTGGAAAGCTGACCCACACCAGGCTATACCAATCATGATAATCCTACACACACCCTTGCCTGTGATTGGCTCAGGCATCATGGCTTCAGCCTATTGCTTAATTGGTGACGGTAATTGGTCCAGGGATGAACATGTGACCTAAAGCCCTCCTCACACCAAAGGGAAGGACAACTGCGGGGAAGGTTCTCTCTCTTCCCCTCTATGCATGTTGCCCCAATTGCTTTTAGCAACTGTCTTGCTACCACTGGGGAGATTGGCCTGAGGACAAAACAAATATATCTGGGATGACAGATCTGAGAAAATTACAGAAACCCTAAGCAGAAACCCTGATCGTATCACATCTGGAGCCCAGTCTACATCCAAATGGCCTTTATATGAGATCAATCTACTATTTTCTTTTTGTTTAGTCTTCTTTGGGTGGACTTTCTGTCCTATGCAGACCAAAAACTTCCTGACTGTCATCCCTACTATTAGAGAGTGAGAGTACCCCTGGTATGCTACAAAAATCTTCAAAAAAAAAGCACAGAGGATGGACACAGTCACTCTGGTGGGAACTTTCTGGAGAAGGGGATACTTGAACTGAGTTTTGAAGGTTGAATAGGAGTTAGCTGAGCAGATATAAAAGGGAAAGGGGTTCTAAAGAGAAGAACAAGTGAACAGAGGTGTGCTGGTGCCTTCAAGGTTGTTGGGAGAGTTGTATGGCTAGAGTGAAATGAGCACTCAGGGGATGTTTTGGAAGATGAGACAGAAGAGGTAGCAAGGGCTGGATCATGAGGGGTCTCACATTCCGTGTGAATGTGGATTTTCTATTAAAGGTAATTGGGAGCCATTGAAAGATGTTAAGCTAAGTGTCATGGTTGGTTTAGCGTTTTAAACAATTGCTGGTGGCCAGTGTGGAAGGTGAGTTGGAGACTTGGAGGTGAGTTGGACAGTTCTGGAGACAGGGGGATCAGTTCAAGAGTCTCCATTTTGCTGGAATTCTCAGTCATCCTCTCCCAACAAGGGGCAGAAAACATGGGCTCTTTCTGGACAGTTCAGAGATGGGAGCTGTGAAGACTGGTACAGATCCAAGTTGGTGCTCAAGATATAGAACAGTGCACAGGGTCATGGAATGAGCCCCTTACTTGCTGTGTGGCCTTAAGCTAGCTGCTTAACTTCTCTGCGATTCCATTTCCTTGTCAATAAAATGAGGATCCTAATGCCTACCTTGCAGTGTTTTGGTGAGTAAAATAACATTTATAAACAGATAAGGCTACTAGAGAATAGAAACTAGATTAATGACTCACTGGATGATTGAGTGACGGGATGACGTGAGTGGTTTTCCCTACTTAGATTAAATATGTGGTTATAGACTTCAAAATGGCAGGCCCAGTACTTGGGGAGATGTTACTACCAGATGAACAAGTTATCCCCACTACTTTCTGAGATAAGTTTAATTCTCATAGAATTTTTTTTAATGAGGGCACATCTGCCCACAAGGATTAGAGAAGCTTCTGCTCAGCCATTAATTAAAACAACATGCTTTGAAGCCCTGTGGATTTGCAGCTCTCCATTCTTGGGGCTCAAGAGGAAGCATTATTATAAATTGCTTTGGAAGGAATTGATTAGGGGTTTTCCATATGATACCCTCAAAGGGCTTGAGAGATTAGGTTTTGGCCCGAGCTCAAGGGCTGCTGCCCAGTTGGTTTGGATAGCCTGCAGGGACAGGAACTGAGAAAGGTGCCTGTCTGTGCTCCTTTCCATAAGCCAGATCCTTTGGTCTCCCAAGTTGACTGTGCCCATTCAGTGGTGGTCAGAAGAAAGGGCTAGGGTGGGACAGTGCGGAGCTGGTGCCCACCTGCAGATGCTTGGAGGTATAACGTGCAGTGATTGAGAGATTTACCATCAGAGGCATCCAGGTTTTTGAGTTCCAGCTCACTCACTTACTAGCTGTGTGACCTTGAGCAAGTGACATAACTTCTCTGAGCTGTGACTTTTTTCATTTGGAAAAATGGGTTTTATTTATTCCAATTCTACAAAGTGGGAGTAGATCTACTCCTAAGGTTATTATGTAGATTAAATAAAACATTTATATGAAGTATGTATGCACCATAGTTTATAACAGATGGCTAATAAACATAGGTTGTTATTATTATTTATAATGAACATTTGTAATGTGGGGTCTGTCCATCAAGTAGCTGCTCCCTGATTTCCTTCTGGGGAATTACCTTTCCTGATTTGGTGTAGTCTTGGTGCCCTCTAGTGTGCTGACTGTCCACCTTAGAAGTTGAAAGGTGGAGGCTCTGCCCACCAGACATTCTTTTCACCACCTAGTACAGCCAAGATGTGAGCATTTCACCTGAGTTCAGGCAATCAGAGTTTCTGTCTCCTGAGACCTTGAATCAAAGCAAAGGTAGCAAACACAGTGGGATAGTGCCTGAGGAAGACGGTCTTCCCTTCCCTCCTGTTGGTGCCCCAAATAGTTCCTACAAAGTCTCCATTCTCTCAAAGGGCCAAAATCCATTTCTGTTGCTTGTGACCAAAGAAATGAGATACTGTTGCTTTCTGCTTCTAGGAAATGAGTGTTTCCCTTCACAACCTGCTTCACTTCTTGTCTTGTCTTTACTCCAATACACAGGGCACTGCCACAACGGCCCTACCTAGAATGTTCCCCAAACACAGCGTAAATTTTTGTAACTTCCTGCACGTTTTCAAGACGTCCTTTCTGTTTGGATGTCCATATCCAGCCCTCATCCTCCAACAGGCAAATTCTACCTCATTCTTTAAGCCCTGGCTCAAATGTTGCTTGCTAGGGAAGGCTTCAGTGACTGCCCCTGACCCAGCAGTACAAAAACATTTCATTTCCTCCACGTTTTTCATACTTTCACTGAAGCATTTACTACACTTGCCGTGTTGTATTACAGTTAGGTTATTTGCTGCCATCTACATTGTGTGCTCTTTGGGGATGGTCTTGTTCAGTTTTGTTTCTCTAGTACCTGATTCAGAGCAAGAGCACGAAGCATTTTTATTGAATAAATGGTGAAGAAATGACATTTCTTACAAACATATGACTTGTACAATTGTATATGCAAACATATGCAGGGCATGTCTAAATAATTTCAGAACAGTAGGCCAATTCAATAGACCACCTGGTTTTCCCAGCAGTGGTAAGAAACCTGTCCTTGTCTCAGTTAGCCAAATTGACTATCTGGATTCACCCAAAAGTTAAGATCATTGTCTCAACTCTCTTCTTTGAGAGTTACATCCCAACATAATTACATAACACTAGTAACTAAGTCTTCTATGGCCCTGACCACATCCCAAGCACCAAATCAATATTAACTCACGTAATCCTCATAATAATCCTATGAAGTAGATTCTGCTATTTTTCTCATTTCAGAGATGAAAAAACTGAGGCATAGTGAGGTCGAGTCACCTGCTCACGGTTACATGGCTGACCAGTGAAAGAGCTGTTTCTTGCCTCAGCTGTGCTCTTCCATACGATGCTGCCTCCTCTGAATTCCAGAGGAATGAGCAGATTCAGCACTTAGCCCAGTTTCACAGCTTGGGGGTTGGACACCGGATAGGGGTGGCTGCATATGGAGATCTGCCCACCTTGTAAGAAGTATTGACGAGTGCAGGTTTTGCTAAGCTATAGCAGGGTAGTGATGAAGACAAAGCAGTTTCCTCCCATGATATTTGATCATTCTGAGCCCCAGAAATAACCCTCGTGCAAGTAGGGGTCACATTATTTGCCTTGGCTAAACTCACCAAGCTGGATTTGGTAGGCAGTAGAGGGTAGTTCCATGGTTAAGCTTTTAAGTCAAAGAGTACTGAATGTAAGGCCTGGCTCAGCTGTCTGCTGCTGTGTGTGATCTTGGGCTAATTATTTAACTGCTGGGTGACTCAGTTTCCTCACCTGTGAAATAGGGCATAATAAAAGTCTCCATGTCATAGAATAGTTATGAAAATTAAATGAGATAATTACACGGAAATTACTTGGTATGTCTGGCACCTATTAAGTGGTAGTATTATACAAATGTTAGTACAAACATTTGTGCTAATTATGGGATATTTAATGACCAATAGCATGTTGGGTCTTTCAAGGAGCAATGAGAAGCAAAAGAGTAGGGTTGAGAAGTGAATGTCCATCTACTTTACCAAGCAAAGTGCAGTCCTTAAGAATTTACTCCACTGCCTGAAGCTCCATGTCTGGCCACCTAGTTCTCCCAAGGATTCCACTAGGTATGAGCACAAGATAGGGTTTGTAGTTTTCACACCCAGTAATCAGGGCTGATGGCTCAATAGGATTATTTTGTATAGCAAACCCAATATCCTCTTTACTATTCTTTTCCCCTTTCTGATTTCCAGTTGAAAAAAAAAACCCTCCAATGATAAATTTGGTCAAAAGGCTTATTTTATTACTAGTGCCTGTTGCCAAAGAGCTGATATTTCTCACAAATCCTGAGCTGTGAGTTGTGACAGCCAGTGCTTGGGTGAAGTTAGCACCTGCCTCATCCCCAAGGAGAAGAAGTGAGGATGTGATTTTCCTGACCGAGTCCATTACAACACATGTGCCCTGACCCCTGGGATTTGGGGAGGAGGATTCCCAATCTGCCAGTTCATTTAAGCTTCCAACTTTGCAGATTCCAGATTCAGATACAGAGAGCCTTCAAATGTGTTCTATAGAAACCAGACTTCATTGTAAAGTTCTCTATTAGCTGCAAAACAAACAAAGATGTACAAATAAAGTACATTTTAAAGTAAGAAATATATTCTGTTAATGCACCTATCTGTCTCAGCTTTTAATAAACCCAGTTTACGTGGTTTACAAATGAGACCCATTTCCTGAGAGATCTTGGAGTTGAAAATTGGAGTAGAAGTGATTATAAGCATAGGAAGGTATTACTGTACTCTGGGAGCCTCCAACACACTTAAAACACATTAATAAGCCCTCTCCATGGAGGATTCAATAGGATGAAACTAATCCTCGTGTCGTCCTCTCTCTATTTGTCCTTCATGACTGGGACATGAGAATTATGCACTAAATAACAATCTCAAAAGGCAAATCCCACAGAATGTGGGAACCTCTTGGGACTGTGTGTAGGTGTTGTCACTCCATAGCTGGCATCAGAGTGAACTCCCACCACTGGGATATGGAACAATTTGTAATGTAGCAATTAATGGAAATATGGCGAAGTATTCGCTTAGCAGGAAACTGGTAACTGCAGGGATCACCAAACAGAACAGTACCATGGCATGTCCAATATCCCAAGGGATTCTGAAGACATTCAGATGACAACCAAGTGCTAGGCATCTTGAGAAGCCCCTCTGTGCCCCATTGTTACTTGAGGTTGAAGTTAAAAATGATACCTTCTCTTCCACCCAGCTTTTGAGCTACACAGAAGGGAGGAGCCGTTTTATAAAAATGCAGCCTCGGAAATGTAAGGACGCACCATGCTTGCTCGCTTCACCCTGGGTGAACAGCCTTCGGCAGATTCTCATTAGGAAAATGTTCCACTGGGCTTTCTCCTCAGGGTGCAAGGGAGACCTGGGCCGTTGCAGAGCTGCATTTTGCATCGCCTGGATGATTGTAAAACTCCCTACTCACCACCCCCAACCAACCAAGAAAACCCATCAGCTTAAGTACCAACCCCCCACCTCAGTTCTCATATACTTTCATCTTGTTCCCAGGATCCACTAAAGTAAATAAGATGTCCACCCAGATAATGGAAACCCCTCCAGCTCTCAGTTAGTGCCTTTTCATGCCAATTAAACACATTTTATACAGTCATCGTAGATGCATCAATGACTGCATTCCGAGACGCCAATAGGGCCGCGGCAGACATCAGCCTAGCAAACGAAATGTATTTCATGCGTGTTTTCTCTCTGTCTTATTCTAACCACTTGGCAACGGTCTCAATTGAAAACATTGATTCTGAAAGATATATATGGGTATATAAACTGATTAAGCAGCTTATTTGCTGCTGATTACTTTACTAATAAAGATCTCAGCGTGCTTAATTTAAATTAATACTTCTTTAATGAAAATCCAGCTTAGAGCATTAAAAACAATCTTGACAGATGCGTTTATTGCACAAACATACATTTATCTACGCCAAGCCAATTGAACATACAATCATATTTGGTTGGAGTTATAATTGATAATGATTCTACAATTATGACTTCAGTTAGGTGTGTGTCGTTCACCAGAGTTACTCTGATACTCTCAAAAGGTTTTCTCATTTTGGAGGCTGTGAGGACCCAGTGGGAAGTACATGGAAGTTTGCGAAGCAACTGCAGAACATTTGGTTACTTTTGAGATGAGGAGTAAGATATCCTTGCTTCCCCTCCCCCTCACTCCATCCTCCTCTGCCTTAAAAAGCCAAAAGGAGGGTGGCTGACTTTCCAGTGTAGTAAAAATTGGAAAGGGGACAAAAGGTGTCAAATGTTAAGACCTAGGGATTAAACAAAATTGGGTTATTGATTAACCAGTGTGTTGGTAACCTGATGTTTGTGGCAGCCAAATACCAGAGTCTCTCGCCTCTTGGAGTTTATGGGCCAATTTCTCCCAAGATGTGTGAGCTTGTTGTGCCGCCGCCAGTGGACTCGCCAGCGGCTGAGCAGCTCAGAGTGACAGCGACTCAGCGTCTGGAAGCCCCACTGGGTTGTGAAATGAAGAAGGCCTTCTTTGCCCCTGATGCAGCCTGGGCGAGCCCCGAGGCTCCAGAAGCGAGCATCTCCCAGCTCCTAAAGAGCAGACATATATCCTGCCTTTAAGACAAGACTACAATTGCAAATCTGAGAATATAAATTACACTTTCATCTTTCTTTGGTTTTCTTTCTTTTGCTTCAGTTTTCATTCCAGGATAAACTTTCCTGTCAAAGGGACATTTCTGATGTGTCAAATTCACCACTATAATGAACAGGTTGACAAATGTGGAAGGTGAGCAGACATTTGGATCTGCCGCAGCTGCCTGCAGCCAGAGGAAACCATGACTTTCACAAGGATAACGAGGCTTTGAAAGATGGCGAAAATGTCGCCATCAACCTGCCCTTCTGCTACTTAGTAATTAGATAATTAGTCAGGCCCTAATTATGGGATCAGGGTGCAGGAAAACAATTAGCTGAAAGAATTACTATATAAAACTGAAACGGAGATTCCTGAAAACAATATTTAATTTTATGATATTAATATCTGCAGCAATAATGGGAGTCCTTGGCTGATGCCACCCGTGTGCCTAGGCATCCGGAAGGCAAGCTGGGTATTCTCCTTCTGAGAGCTGGATGTCAACACGAAAATGAATCCTGTGACACTGTCTTTTCAGGACCCCATGTGTGCCCAGGCAGGAAGTTTGTGGCTGTTGCGTGTCAGCCAAGTGTGTACATACCTGTGCCACACACACTTGCCTACAAACTCCCAATTCCTTCCCCAGGCCCCAAGAAGCTACCAAATATGTCTCCGGCTGCAAAGAAAAATGGGGCCGGCTCATAAATTCTTCTTGCATATGGTATGAGAGAGTAAACAGGTAAACAAGTTTTCAAATGCCTTCCTCCAACCTGGAATTATTAACACATTGTCTTGTTATCATGATTAAAATTAAATGATGTTCCAGGCTCTTTGACAAATGAATTTGGAATGGTTACAGTAATGGCATTACTTTAAATTATGAAACCAGGGAGAAAAAAAAGAGAGACAAAGAGAGAAAATTGAGCCTAACAGCCTGATCCTTAACTATTATTTACCTATTATCTGAGAGAATTGAATCTCGCTGTGCTGCGGCAGAGAATAATAAAAGATTTGTAGGCTTTACAAGGCCCTGTCCTCCCATCCAGCAAGCACCAATTCCCAGGGGCTCCATTGCGAGCCCTGGCTCAGCTTGTCTGATCATTTATCCATAATTAGAAAATTAATATTTTAGATGGCGCTATGATGAACCCATTATGGTGATGGGCCCCGATATCAATTATAACTTCAATTTCAATTTCACTTACAGCCGAGTAATGGGTCCTGGTGGCGGTGTAGAGATGGGCTGGAGCTTCAGAGCATGACGAATACAGATCACTGCACATTAGGATGAGCAATTATTTGAACATGTATAAAAACTATTTACAAGCAATGTAATTGACCGGGGTCAGGGGGAGATGCTGAAAAATGGACAGGTTGACAAATTCTTGTTCCATACCAACAGAAAGGATTTATTAATTTCTTTGGCTGTAATTGAATTTTTGAAAGGTTCTTGTTAAGCTTGCCCTGCTTTGCTCATCTCCTGTGCTGACCTTCCATAGATCTGATGCTATAGCTCCTGCTTGCTTCCGTAGCCCTTGGCAGGGAGATTGCTGATGGAATTTATAAAAAAACAAGCAGCCACTTTCAAAATAGATTCAGCAGAGAATAACAGAACCACCACTCTACTATTGTGTAACTTTCTCTTTGGAAAAAAAAAGGCTCATAATCTTGTGGATATTCCAGCTAAACACTGAGGGTTTCAATTCTACATTTTACCAATTTTAAGGCTGACGTGAGCAGTGATTTAAAGGTGAAGTAACCTTTCAGTGATATAACAAAGTTCAATTTTAATAAAATGGATAAAAGCAGTTTTTACCATTTGCAGCTGAGTAGACATCAAAGCCATGTGTCTCTTCTATTTCTCTTTAACCATTTGTGTTTCCTAAGATAATGTTACCAATTATTTAAAATTCCCTTTGGGAGGAAGGAGGGAGAATAAGAAATAATTATTTGCGGGGGGTTGGGGGTATTATTTTCACTGTGATCTGTGCCCAGACCTCTCTACCTGAGAAGCTCTTCTCCCTTCCCCTTCCATTCTTCCCGAGCTGGCTCTGCTAGATCCATGAACGCCCAGTTTTAACAATTCCTTTTCAAGAACACACAAACAGACGGATGGCAAATATGCAAAGCGGGAGGAATGGCTTCCCAGACTCAGGCAACACACACCTTCTTCCAAAACGCGTAAACTCTGAGCAGGCTTGGGGCTGAGGCAGGCAGCAAGGCAGCCCAGCGAAATCACACCAAATCAGAGCGAAAGATAAATTATGAAAATATCTCAGTGTCTTTATTTGTTAATTTTCCATGGCCTTGGGATGCTGCTGCTGGTTTTGTCCTGGCATTGCCTCATGCATTTGCTCTTGTTTTTTTGATGTCAGTTTAATTGTTCACTGTCAGGGGCAGAGCAGCAGATAACAAGCTTAGCAAATGATGTCTGCTGTTGCTACACATTGGTTAATATTTTACATGTTATTATCCTCTGTCCATTACGACAGCAAATTAAACTATAAATCACACCTTCTGCCTATGTCACTGAATCATAAATTGTCTCTACCTCTTTCTCGCTCTGGTGCGGCAGCTTGCCGGGCTCTCTCTTTCATGAGAAAACGGAGTGGAGAAAAGTGCCTGTATGCTTTAGTCTGAGTTATGGACTAGTCAAAAGCACAATATACATCAGGTCTTATGAAAAATGGGGAGTTTGTTCTGCTATAAAGCAGAAGAAAACTAAGCATCTGGGTAAAAGTTTGAAGCTGTTATGGAGAAACAATATGTTACCTCAAAAATTTCTGGTGCTTTTCTTGTAGCAATTACTGTAGCAAAAAGCAACAGCTTCCTCTGGAAAATGTACACTTGTGGGTAAACTCACTCATATGCTTGTCTGTGTGGGTAAGTAGAACATCGATAACAGAAATTAAGCCCACGCTTAATAGTAAATATCCTGGGAGAATCAGCCTCACAGATGAACCTAGGTTATTATTCCAGGAATACCAGAGAGGTGCAGCCTTCCTCTGGGCTGCGCGCTCTGCTCTAGGCACAGGGCAAGAAGGGTACTCTGGAATTTCTCTGTTGGTGTTTGGGGTCTCTCAGGTGGGTGTGGGAGGATCAGGCCCTCTGCCTTTACGAGACCTACCTGAGCCAGATCAGCAATTTAGAAAGCACACAGCTTTTTGTAGCCATGCCAAAATAACTTCAGACAAACTCCTGACCAGAATGATTTTTAAAATGCTGGCTTCATCAATGGGCATCTTTGAAGGCTGTTTATTTCTAAGACACACCAGCATGAGCTGTGTGAAAAAGGAGGCTGGCCCAGATTTCACTAAGTGTAACCTGCCGAAACATTGCTTATCAGGCTGGATGCAAGTCGGTTGAGGATGGGGATCACTTGAAGAAAAGTTCTAGAGAATGACCACCAAGGCATTGCTTCTAATTCATTCATTCATTCATTCATTCTTCTTTCTTTCACTTTTCATTTTCATTTTTAAAAGAGAGCCTGCGTGGTTAGTTGTCTGTGTGGTTAATTTTTTTTCTAGTGAAATCAGCAAGATATGAAATGTGAGCTGCCAAATTAGATAACTCACTAATAATTCCTTGCATACATTAAAAAAATAAGAATTGAGCACGTATTTTGTGTGCTACTGCTATAGGTCCTATAAGGGATATACAAATTTAGTGATAATCATTCATTCACTCATTCAACAATATTTCTTGAGCAGCTATTTTGTACCAAGCATTGTGCTAAAGTGCAACAGTTAACAGAACTTAGGGTCACTAAGAATAAACGGGTAATCAACAAGATAATTGCAAAGTGTGATAAGGATTCCCATGTATGAAACAAGGTATTCCATGCTAACCACTTTGTATTTTTTTATCTTTTTTTTTTGAAACGGAGTCTCACTCTGTCACCCAGGCTGGAGCGCAGTGGCATGATCTCAGCTTACTGCAACCTCTGCCTCCTGGATTCAAGCGATTCTCCTGCCTCAACCTCCTGAGTAGCTAAGACTACAGACAGGCACCACCATGCCCAGCTAATTTTTGTATTTTTGGTAGACACAGGGTTTCACCATCTTGTCCAGGCTGGTCTCAAACTCCTGACCTCAGGTGATCCACCCACTTTGGCCTCCCAAAGTGCTGGGATTTTTACAGGCATAAGCCCCTGTGCCTGGTTTGCTTTGTTTTTAATGTAGAAGATGGTGGCCTCAAATTTTCTAAAAGAGCAAGTATGTTGGAGATTGCGAGAGGTTTGTTAAAAGGGAGACATGGTAGTAGATGCCGTGGCTGAATTAGAATGCCAGCTGTACTGAGTAAGCTTGAGCAAATTGTTACATGTGTGACTTAGAGAAGCCAATAGAACCTACATTGCAGGGTTGTTTTAAGGATAAAGCAAAATAGCATAAGAAGGTGCTTAGCAGCAGGCCTGACCCATGGTGAGAGGTCAGCGAAGGGTCTCTTCTCAAGTCAAAGAAAACCCATTGGAAATTACAAAGAAGATACCTGCTTGGATCCTGAGCTTGCATCTGAGCCTCGCCAGGCCTCAGGCGGGACTCTGCAGGGCCTGCCCACTCCTTGCCAACCTGAGGACAGTCTGCATCAGGGAGCGAAGCAGCGGAAGCACACTCCCATATATATTAATGAGATGAAGGAATGTGAAGACCCCAACAGAATCTGTTTATACATTATACATTTATCTTGTTATTATTCAGCATTGATTGAGTATCCTCAAATCTGTAAGCCTTTTATAGAATGGCCCAACAACTCTCAATTACCTGCAGTCTACAAAAGAAGGTAAGTCAAGAAATAAATGAAAGCAGAGAAAAGACCCGTAGTTCTTACCGCAGCCCCGAGAATTCACACCGAAGCCTTCTTTTGGCTCAGCCATTGTCAAGGACCAAGAAGGGATAGTTGGGGGCCAGGCTTTCAGTCCCATGAGGGCAGGGACTGTAAATCATCTCACAGCCACTTTGCCAGTTTCTAGCATAGAAACCATAAACATTTGTTGAATGAAAGAAGAATGAATCACTTTTTTGTATGCTCACTATGTGTCAGAGAGTATTCTAAGAGTTTTACGTATAGTAATGTTACTTAATTCTCACAACAACCTTAACAGTGGTACTATTATTACCTCCATTTTCCAAGGAACGAAAGCACAGAGAGGTTAAGTAACTTACTCAAGGTTGCACAGCTACTAAGGACAGAGGCAAGAGTCAAACCCAGGCAGTGTGGCTCCAAAGTCAGTGCTCCGATGTGCTCTCCCCATTAGCACTAGAGGCAGTAGAGGCCAGATACTTGCCTTTAGCCACCAGCTCATGTTTCCGAGCTTTAGAACTGTTGCTTCTTCATTCATCAGTGCCAACCCAGACTCAAAGGGACCTTTGACACCCCTCACAATCTCACCTGCAGGCCACTGGTGTCTACCTTAGTTGTCTGTGCTCCTGACTTGCACAGACTCTCAGGTTCCACTTTTCCTCCACTCTTACTAGATGTTTAAAAATTTTTTTCCATTTATGATACTTGTACACATTTATCCTTACTAGATGGTGATGTACCACTCAACCTTCCCCTTCATCTGATTTATTGCCCATGTTCAATTTTAGGTTCCTCCATTCCCCAAAAAGTGCAGACTACTTCAAAGTGATCATCTTGATATCTTTACAACTGTTTATCCAATGCCAGGCCCTGTGCAGCTATTCCTTATTTCTATTCCTCATGAGAACTCAAGGAGAGGGATGTACTTAGCCCCATCTGATAGACATATGCAATGATGTCCCCTGCCTGGGGTCAGCACTGGTGTGCGGTGGAGCCTGGACTCAGAGTCAGTGGGCCCAGCTTCAAGTCCATGGCCTTCTCCCTACTCGCATAGTTGACCCCACTTCCATGTTCACCTGCCATGAAAAGCCCCCCAAAACAATGAAGCAGCCAAACCTTGGGGGATGGGACAGTGGATGGGGGTGGTAGAAGAAGCAAAACAAAGGGGCCTCAGAGCTCCCCAGCAGGGCTCAGTCTGGGGGAAATATCTGTTCCTGGGTGCTTCATCAGCCACAAGGGCAAAGACCTAGGACAGGCAAGAGATCCGATCTGAACTCTGATATTAAAAAGGAGGCAGTAAGAACAGAGTGATCACTCTGAGCCTGTATATTAAATGTATTTTCCCTTTGTAAAAAAAAAATGCAAAAGTTATGTTTCAACATAAAGGCAGCCTGTGTTTCATAGCTATTCTAGTTTATGGGCCGTACATTCCTGTGATTGTCTTGAACTGAATAGGCAAGTAAATAATCATCGAGAGCCACAGGTAAATCACTTGGAGGTGAACCAAGCCTGTCCAGAGCTTCCAGAATTGGCACAAACATTATTTCCTAATTTTGCAGATTTCTTCATCTGAGCTCAGGAAACACCTTCTCTCGTTGGCTTTGAGGTTTGACACTTTTTTCCACTCACATCCTGAAGAGACAGCGACAAGGTGAAACGTGAGAAGTGTATAAAGCATTTTCAAGGATTCCCCGTCTAATTTGCCTTCTCAGTTCCAAGGAAATAATGCCATGCACTTCACTTCCCTAAGTATTTATTCTGTGCTACCAAATGACTAGAAATGGGAAGCGATGGGAGGAGTCCAGAGAGGTGGGAGATATGGACCACACTTTCACAAAGCCTAGAACTGGGTTGATTTTTTTTTTTATGGTGGCAAAACATACATAACATAAAATTTGCCATTTTAAGCGTTACAGTTCAGCGACATTAACCACATTCACATTGTTCTACAACCATCACCACCATCCATCTCCAGAACGCATTCCTCTTCCTCAACTGAAACTCTATGCCCATTAAACATGAACTCCCCATTCTCCCTTCCCCAACCCCTGGTGATCACCATTCTACTTTCTGTCCCTATAAATCTGACTACTCTAGGTACTTCATATAAGCAGAATCACACAATATTTATCCTTTTGTGACTGGCTTATTTTATATAGTATGTTTTCAAGGTTCTTCCATGTTGAAGCATGGAGGACATGGTTGATTTTAAGCATACGAATGTTGAACCAATGGACACACCAAATCTCAGGCAAGTCAACCAAGAGGGAAATGCATATCCACATTCACTTGTGGTTGTTTTAAGGAAATTTGACTCTAAGCTGCAGCAATAAATCCCATGCATTTATTTAGATCCTGCTGTGTGCAAAGGCCCGTGGGCAGCTGAAGCAGAAGTAGACACTGCATTTCAAGGATCTGAAATCCAGTCCAGGAGACATAGTGTGCAGATTCAAATCCAGGTATTAAGTGCTAAGTAACTTTAGGGTACAAATGAAAAGGCAAACAGGAGTTTAAGAGAGGTCATTTCAGGCAGAGGTGATTGTGGAAGAGATGAATGTTAGTGGGAATTTGAAGGTTGGGTAGAATTTAGTAAAAAGGAATGGCCTAGATAAAGAAAACATTCCAGACTGGCATGGGGTGAAAGCATGTTTGATAGCCAACTGTCTTTTTCACAGTTTCATCCCCAGTGCCTGGTACCACAACAAACATGTGCCTCATGAATCAGTAAATGCAGAGCCCAGAGGTGAGAAAGCCCAAAGTGAAATTTGGAAACAATGGGTAGATGGTCTGGCTTGAGAAGAGGGTCCCTAAAAAATGTTGGTAGAAATCAGGATGTGGAAAAACTTTGTCAGACTAAGAAGCTTGAACTTTATCCTGAGGAAAATAAGGAGGCATTAAAGGTGGTTGATCAGGACAGTGACTATTCCACTCTTTCTAATCATAGGTGCACCAGAACATGAACACCCCCAGAGAAGCTTAAAGTGACCATAGCTGGGTAATGGAATACAGCCATCTTCATCAGGTTTATGCGGATAGGGCAACATCTTGTTTGGAAGTATCATTTTTTGGAAGCATTGTAAAGTGACAGTAGGTGGAGGAAGCTGCTAGCCAACAGACTAGGGAGGACAACATCCCAGTAATCACAAACAAGGGCAACAATATAGCTGTGGAGATTAAGAGGAAACAGGCAGATCTTGAGGCCATGGTTGGAGAGAGGATTACAAAATATGTAGGGATCTTGAAACTCCTGGAGGACAATCGGAAGCCAGAGACAAGGACGAAAGTCAGGACTGATTGATCTCAGTGGCCAGTGAAGGAGGTTTAAAGGAAAAGGAGTTTTTTGCCTTGTAGACTGTGAGGTTAGAATGAGAGACCAGGCTTCCCTATTCAAAAGAGAAGCAGAGCTTCAGGATTAAATAGCTAGAGAGATTTGATCTGCAGCAAGGCAAATGTGGACGGTGGAAAGGCATAGAAATAAATGAAAGTCATGAGAACCCAAGAATTATGGGGAGGAGAAATGAGAAGAGAGGAAGGGAGGGCTGGGGAGGGGGACAAAGGAGAGGAGAGGAGGAGACTGACTTTGCACTTAACAGAAACTCACTTCAACTGGTTTAAACCGAAAAGGGGCATTTATTACAAGGTCACAGGGATATTTCATGGAACCCAAAAGGGCAGCCAAGATTGAAAGAAGAATGGAACCAGGAACTGGAGAGTTGTCCAGAACTAGCAATTACTCTCTTTTCTCTTTCCCTCTCCAATGCCACCTGCACTCTCTTCTCTGCCTCTAAACCTACTTTATTCTTGGCTTTCTCCACTATGCAGACACCTCTGAATGCATAGAGGAGACAGCAGGGTTACATCTTTGCATGCAAAAGACCAGCAGAAACTAAGTAGTGACCCTGAATCCAATTCCAAATGTCCAGGGGAGAATGCATGACTGGCCTCTTATCTAGGTTTAGGGTTCTCCTGGATTCCATCAGCCACAGGTGGGAGGTGGGGGTGGAGGGACATGGTGTAAATATGGCTCCTGAGCTCCACTCCCACGCGAGAAGGGCAGCTTTGAAAAGCAGATCCCACAGAAGGTATAGACCAACCAAATCAGGCAGGAGCCGTGAAACCCTACCATGTAAGAAAGGACTGAAAGCATTGCAGCTGTTTGCTCTAGAGAAGAGAAGGATCTAGCAACCATGAAAACAGTCTTCCGGTAGCTGAAGAGGTGCCTGCAGATGTGTGCATGATTCTGTAGGGGATGAGGTGGCCAATTCAGCAGAGGAAGGAGAAGCATTCTGCCAGGGAGTGCTGCCAGTTCTGCAGTGGACTGTTCTGGGAGCAGGAGCCTCCCCCAGGTGCAAGGGGAAGAAGAGCTATTAGTCCCTTAGCAGCAGGTGTTTTAGAGTGGGAATTCCAGCCCCGAGGGAAGTCACATGCATGACTCACAGGCTTCTTTCAAAGCTAAGGTTTTGTGATATTTCTTCCTAATCCCTCCACTCCCGCCCCACCTCCTCCTGTCTCCTCTCTCTTTTATTTTATCCAGTCACCACCTAAATCAGGGGCTTCTATTTGGAGAGGACATTGGGAAGCCCAGGAGTGTCCTAAAATTAGATGCAAAATTGTAGTGGGGAGAGTTAGGACATACATGTAGATTTCTCAGAGAGAGGGTTCAGTCAAGGGGACCATGACCAAGAAGAGGGTGAAAAGCAATGACTGAAAGAGAAGTGCTTTGAAAGGCAGCTTACAATACTAGTGAAATAGAGAAACAGAGATGGAAGTAGGAAATACAACTCAAAAAAGGAGAAGTCAGATATATTTTCTGAATACTAGTATCTAACAGCTGCCATGATTAAATTTCAAGTTTACTTTTGAGCTACCTGGCAGCCAGAGAAACCTAGTTTGTATAGCTATGAGAAGCAGCAGTCCATCAAGAGCAATGAAGCTATTTCTAACCCTGACTTCTAAAAGAAATTTCCCTTCAAGCCAAAAATATCATAAAAGTAAATATAACAATTATAAAAGTAGTAACTATTATATTAGTATAACTACTATAAGTATTATAGTATTAATTAGTATAACTACTATATAACTATTACTATTACTTTTATTACTATTATCACTATTACTATTAATTCAAAAGTAATAGTAATTACTGTTTATTCAGAATTACTTTGTGGCAGGCACGAAAGTAATTTTGTAAAGTAATGTGGCAAGCACATTATATATACTATTTCATTCAATCCTGACAGTAATCTATTAAGTAGGCACTATTCTTAAACCCAAATTACCAACGAGGAAATTGAGGCACAGCAAGGTGGACAGACTTGTGCCTGCATTTTCAGAGTTGGTAGAGAGGACACCCAAGCTGTGCCTGCCAGACCCAAGGGTCACACTCTTAGCCACTATAAATAACACAAATCTTTAAAAAGAAAAGGAAAGGGCCGGGCATGGTGGCTCATGCCTGTAATCTCAGCACTTTGGGAGGCCAAGGTGTGCAGATCACCTGAGGTCAGGAGTTCGAGACCAGCCTGCCCAACATGGAGAAACCCCATCTCTACTAAAAATACAAAAAATTAGCAGAGTGTGATGGCGGGCCCCTGTAATCCCAGCTACTCAGGAGGCTGAGGCAGGAGAATCACTTGAACCTGGGAAATGAAAGTAGCAGTGAGCAGAGGTTGCGCCACTGCACTCCAGCCTGGGCGACAGAGTGAGACTCCATCTCAAAAAAATAAAAATAAGAAAAGAAAAATATCACCTGTGGCCCATACCCTCAAGCAGCTTTTAATCTAGCTGGGAGTAAAGACGTGCACAAACAAAACATTAAAAGTAATAACTTTACCATCTTTGAGAATCTACAATGGTGGCTTTATTTTGGCTGCTTTGTATTATATGGGCTTTTCCTCGATTTTCCAAACAACGCTAAGAAGTATGTACTGTCGCCCCTCTGTTACTGAAGACTAGTCCTATCTGGGTCAAGTTCAGACTGCTCCACCTGGCTTTCAAAGTCCTGTATAATTTGGGATTTTCTACCCAACATAATTTTCCACCACTGCCCCAAAGGAGGCAGCACATACCAAATGAAAAAGCATGGAATTCCATCCAGACTCTACCACTTTCTCGCTCTGGGACCTTGAGTGAGTTGCTTAGCCTGTCTGAGCTTCTAGTTTCCTCAATCTATAAAATAAGAATAATGACGACTACTCTTCAAGATCTTAAAAGAATGCAAGATTTAAGAATAAGAGTATATTATGCAGGGATCACAAGACAATTTGAGGGAGGGAGGAAGGGACCAGGTAAGAGAGGCTCCAGTAGTGATATGGTTTGGCTCTGTCCCCACCCAAATCTCATCTTGAATTGTAGCTCCCATAACTCCCACGTGTTGTGAGAGCAACCCCATGGTAGAAAATTGAATCATGGGGGCAATTTACCCCATACTGTTCTCCTGGTAGTGAATAAGTCTCATGAGATCTGATGGTTTTATAAGGAGAAACTCATTTCATTTGGCTCTTTTTCTGTCTCTTGTCTGCTGCTATATAAGACGTGCCTTTCACCTTCCGCCATGTTTGTGAGGCCTCCCCAGCCACGTGGAACTGTGAATTTATTAAACCTCTTTTTTTTTTTTTCCCATAAATCACCCAGTCTCGGGTACGTTTTTATCAGCAGTGTGAGAACAGACTAATACAGGCAGTGATCTATGTATTCATTTCTTCATGCAGTCAGCAGACATTTACTGAGTCTCAATGGGCTTACATCTGTGTTAGGCACCAGAGATCCAAAATGAATGTGCTTGGGGAACTTGCAGTCTACTGGGAGCAGATGGGGGCATGTTTAAATAAGGACAGTGCCTTGCATAGTGAAAAGTGGGTAGTGATGAAGGTCTGGAACGGGCAAAAGTGTGAAGAGAGAGAGTGTATGAGCAAAACTTTATTGGAAAAGCTGACAAGACTAGGTATCTGAGTAGACTCATGATGAAGGAAAAGATGAAGAAAAGTCTGGGTGGTGGAAACCGAGATAGGGAAGTTGGTTTGATATGGGATAGCTTGAGTTTGAGGTGATGTGAGACATCTTTGTAAAAAATACCCAGTTGGCAATGACATGGACTGGCACTGGGGTGTGAAACAGGACACCTAAGTTTAGGAATAAGGACTAATATTGTGACTATTGCAGTCATTAAAATGGCGAGCTTTCTGAGGAGTTGTATTAAGATTGAAGAGGAGACAGACAGTTTCATATGCATCAAAACTAACAGCAAGCTTACCTTTTTAGCAAGTGTTAAAGGCATGCTACTGGGCTATTTGATCTATGTCCTGTTCTTAAATTTCTGTACCAATATGGGTAATATCAGTGCTTTGTCAATAAGGACACCCTTGGAGGCATGAGGAGGAGGAGGAGACAGCAAAGAAAGGGAATAGTCAGAGAGGCAGGAGAGAAGAAAGGTGATTAGGAATTGTGCAATATCCCAGGAGTCATTGTCAGAGAGACAAGAAGATCAAGGCAGTAGCTGAAATTTTTATTTATTATTCATTTATGTATTCATTGTTTTGTTTTTTGGGTTTTTTTTTTTTTTTTTTTTTTTTTTTTTTAAGACAAGGTCTCGCTGTGTCACCCAGGCTGGAGTGCAATGGTGCAGTCATAACTCACTGCAGCCTTGAACTACTGGGCTCAAGATGATCCTCCCTCCTCAGCCTTTCACATAGCTGGGACCACAGACATGCGCCATCACACCCAGCTAATTTTTTAAGTTTTCTAGAGATGGGGGTCTCACTTTGTTGCCCATGCTGGCCTCAAACTCCTGGGCTCAAGCGGTCCTCCCCGCTTGGCCTCCCCAAAACTTGGAAGTACAGGCGTGAGCCACCATGCCCAGCCAATTTTTTTTTTTTCTTTTTTTTGAAACAGAGTCTTGCTCTGTCACCAGGCTGGAGTGCAGTGCCACAATCTCGGCTCACTGAAACCTCCGCCTCCCGGGTTCAAGAGATTCCCCTGCCTCGAGTAGCTGGGTCTACAGGCGTGCACCACCACGGCCTGCTAATATTTTGTATTTTAGTAGAGAGGGGGTTTCACCATGTTGACCAGGATGGTCTTGACCTCCTGACATTGTGATCTGCCCGCCTCGGCCTCCCAGAGTACTGGGATTACAGGTGTGAGCCACCGCGCCCGGCAATTTCTTTTTTTTTAAGGATAAGAAAAAGCAAATTTTCTCCAGCAACAAATCAGAGAGAGAGAGAGAAAGAGCCCTATTTGTAAAGAAAACAGTGAGACTGTCGTGGGTTACGGAAACTGTTAGTAAGGACAAAATGGAGGTAGTTGGCATAAATGGCTGGCCTGAGAAATCCCACAAAGAAAGGAGAGACACAAAATAGGGGGTAAATGGGTCATCAGGGTCAGGTAAACGGTTGTTTTCAACTGAGAGAAATCTCCTCCTTTGAGAAAGATGTCTTAATGTGGGGTACAGGGAATGTTCTAGAACCTACACCCAGTAGGCTCAGTCTTCTTGTGCAAGATTAAATCAGGAAGCTTCTGACCGAAGCACATGAAAGAGAAGTATTCTTAATCCTGGGCAGTAAGTTGAAGCTTGACAGTAAGAACTCTTGGGGGCCAAATCTTCATAGTTATTTGTTTCTCTTGCCAGACAGCAGGAACAGAGGGGAAAAGGGAGGGATGGTGATCTGGGTTTCGGGTTGACACCTGTCTGGAGCAGTACTGAGAATCTGGAGTGTGGGCACAGTTAGGAGTCCAGGCTGGAGGGTGAGAGCTTCAGGGGGATGGATGCAGTCACTGGAATGAACTCGATGAAGAAGGAGGTTTGAAGATTGTAGTCTAAGGGAGCTTCATGAGGACTGGAGGGAATTGATGGCTGTATTAGTTTCCTTGGGCTGCCTTAACAAAAGGTGCAAACCTAGTGCTTAAACAACAGAAATTTATTCTCTCATAGTTCTGGAGGCCAGAAGTCTGAAATCTAGGAGCAATAGCTGCTTCTAATGGCTCTAAGAGGGAGCCATTCCTTGCCTCTTCCACCTTCTGGTGGCTGCAGGCGCCCCTCGGCTTGTGCCTGCGTAACTCTAGTCTCTGCTTCTGACTTCATCGCCAGAAATCCTTTGTGTGTCCCAAATCTTCCTCTACTTTTCTCTTATTAGGAACAATTGTCATTGGATTTAGGGCCCACCTAGATAATACAGAATGATCTGATCTCTATATCCTGAAATTAATTACATCTGCAAAAAACCCTTTTCCCAAATAAACTGGATTTCCCTAGTTTCTTATGCATCAAAACCAACAGCAGGCTTATCTTTTAGCAAATGTTAAAGACATGCTACTGGGCTCACTTGATCTATGTCCTGTCCTTGAATTTCTGTACAAATATGGATAATATCAGTGCTTTGTCGATAAGTACAGCATGTTCCATCCGCTGCCACCTAACTCTTAACAAGCTATCTGAGCGGAGGTGCTTGTGTGAAGGTGACACTTGCCCTCACCAATGTCATCTAAGGAAATACCCATCTTCCCTTAAGTGTCTCTCCTCCCTGCCTTCACATATCAGTGCACTATAAATGATGATGAGGAGGGTTTGTAAATCAAGAAAAAGGCCCTGTTTTCAAGAACTCCTTAATTAGGTAGGATGGATATGGCATCCTAGTTCATTTGGACGGGACAGTGGGGAACCGTTCCATCTCCTGGATGTCCCCACCTGGGTCCTGCAGTGTTCCCAGGGTGACTGCTCTGTGTAAGGAGTTTATAACTTAGCTTCTTATTCCTTATGTCAAGATCGATAGGAATATTGTGCAGGTTGAGTCCATTACCAGGTTTTACAAAATGGTTTGGAGATTCAACATGGAATTAAAATTTCTGTTTAATTATTTATACCTCACCTTGTTCTGAAAACAATTCAAGGTTCCTTGTCAGATTATATACAGTAGATCAGGGAAGAACAAATTAGAAATTGATGAGAAAAAAAGATGTAGGACTTGGAACCTGAAACTGAGCCAGGAGTGAGACTGTAACGCAGCAATGCATACCACAAAGTTCTGTCTGTTCACAATGGGTGGGATTCACATTTGGGATCAGACAGCTCTAACAACCAGTGCAAAAAGAGAAACCTGATCAGTCACAGCATTTACAGCATCCAAGAGACAATATGCCCACAGGCCGAGTTCTTAGGAGAAGCCCAGTTAATCCTGAACTGAGAAAGACAGGAATTTCACCCAGGGTTCCTCATAATGAGGCTACTCTGTGATGAAATAAAGAGCATTCCAATAAAATGCCCACAGAAGTGATGCCTTCTGTACAGGTCTATTCCTTCGTAGAAATTTGCAGCATCAACAGCCCACCAAAGGGGAAGACAATAAAAGCAATTCTTTGTGGGTCAACATGATGTAACCAACACAGTGCTGGCCTGGCTTAAATTAGAACTCAACTTTGGGGAAGGTTGACAGGTGGAAAATGTGGCTGGAAGAGAGAAGTACTGACTTTACGTCCCATTCCTCACTATTTAATATGTTGCCATGTGGGACGGTGATAAGAACTTAGGCTTTAGATGGAGATAAAAGTGAATTTGATCACCACCACTTAATAAGCTGTGTGTTCTTGATGTATCTGCACCTCGGTTTATTCATCTATACAATGGGCGAAAAAATCCTTTTCCTTGTGAGTGAAAGGCAATGTAGATGCAGTGCCCAGCACAATGACTGGAACAGAACAAGTGTGTGATAAAGAGCAACTACAAAGCCTTCTGTCATGTCTTCAGGTGGTATAATCACCTTGGACAAGGTGAATTTCTTGGGCCTCAGTCTTACCTTCTGGCAAGGTATTGTAGAATGGGTATTTCTTGAATTCCTTTTCATCTCTGGCATTCTATCTCATGACTCTATGACATTTAAGATATAACTTTACATCAAAGAACATGAATACTAAAATTATGTTGTTGCTTTTATACAAATACTCCCCCTTTTTATTTTTTAAAGACAGAGTCTTCCTCTGTCAACCAGGCTGGAGTGCAGTGGCATAATTTTGGCTCACTGCAACCTCCACCTCCTGGATTCAAGCGATTCTCCTGCCTCAGCCTACCCAAGTGCCACCACGCCTGGGTAATTTTTAGTATTTTTAGTAGAGATGGAGTTCCGCCATCTTGGCCAGGCTGGTCTCTACCTCCTGAGCTCAAGTGATCTGCCTGCCTCGGCCTCCCAAAGTGCTGGGATTACAGGCATGAGCCGCTACACCTGGCTAATACTCCCCATTTTAACAAAAGTCAGTATCATATGTGTGTTCTTAGACCTACTATAAAAGTGTGATAACTTCCAATAGTTCATTGTCGTACAATATAATCACAAGAAAGACAAGATGGTGGGAAAGTCATAAATGCAGGTAACCAACACACTCCTTCAATGCCTCCCCACTGCCTACTGGATAAAATCCTGTCTTCTTAGCAGGAAGCTCCAGGGTCTTCAGCATGTGGCCACTGCCCACTTCTGCTGCCTTGGCCCTGACCTGGTCCTTTTCATGGTGAACCTTCAGTCTTAATGAACTGGTCGTGATCCAAATGCACCCAGTTTTCTTAAACTATATTTTACCCAAGCTAATCCCTATGTTTCAAATGCTTCACCCCACCCCTCCCAATGGCTTCCAGAAATCCACAAAAGAAGTTTCTAGATGGTTAATACTAACTCCTAATTTATCTTCTCTGGAAGATAGAGTGTCAAGGAGCAAAAATATTATTTAAGTTAATTTTTTAAACTTTGCTATGGTTTCCATTTGTCATTATTCCTTTGGCAATACCTATGATTTCTTAAATACAAAGTGCCAGGCACTGTCTTACATACATTATTTTTTCATTTCTTGCAACATTCTTGAGAGGTAATAACCATCCCCATTCTACAGATGAGAGAGCAGAGGTTAAAGGAAGCTAAGATATTTACCCAAGACAGAACAACTAAGAGCCGGTTGTGGTGGCTCATGTCTTTAATCCCAGCACTTTGGGAAACTGAGGCAGGAGGATCACTTGAGGCCAGGAGTTCAGGACCAGCCTGGGTATTATAGTGAGACCCCATCCTACAAAAGCTACAAAAGTTAGTCAAGCATGGTAACATAAGCCTATAGTCTCAGCTACATGGGAGGGTGAGGTTGGAGGATCGCTTGAGACTGAGAGGTCAAGGCAGCAGTGAAGTGAGCCGAGATCTTGCCACTGCACTCCAGCCTGTGTGACAGAGCAAGACCCTGTCTCAAAAAAAAAAAAAAAAAAATGATTAGGGAGTTGGGATTCAACCCAAGCTTCTGAAACCAAAGTCAATGCCCTTTCTACCATACCTACTGCCTCCCCATAGGAGCAAATGGCATTTCCCACAAGGCTCTCTACCTGACAAGACAGATCAGACACATGGAGCATAGCGACTACTGAGGAAATGAAAGATATTTTGAAAGTTAATATATTCTGTTTTCTTGGTTCCAGAGAGGATTATATCTAAACTATTTTTCCTAACATACATACACACACACATGAGTTTATCAAAATCCGTTGGCAGTATTTATGGCAGCCACATCAGTTTGTTCCTGGAATGTGCAAGAAGTGTAAGACATTGCCCGGCCCCGAAAGAGCTGATAACCTCACTAAGGAAAGAGGACATGGAGGCCCACGATTCCATTAGACAAAGGCACTGATGCTGGAAATCGGGTGCCGAATTGTGTGTTGCAAATTATAATGTAACTCACACTACAGAGGAGGCTGGTCCGGAACCCAGTCTGGAAGCAGAACAGGTAGGGAACCTGCCCAAAATATGAGCAGGGCATCAGAACCAAAAGGATAATCCCTCCAACCCAAAGAGAAAACCCAAAAAGAATGTAATTATAAAAAAGATAACAGATCTGTCCAAAGAAAGCAGGATATATTAACTTATGAGATATAAGTCTTAGTTCTATTTGTTCTGGTATTTCTATAAATTTTGCATTGAAATAGAAAACACAAACTGAAATTAGAAGTGCCATCTTAAGGTGTAACCTTCCACTATTGTGTCTGAGTTATTCAAGCCTTTCCGCACCCATTTTAGTGGCCTGCGCATGCACTGTTTTTAGATAAGGGGTTTATTGAGGGTCTCCTTGAAGTGCCAAGGAGCTGGCGAGGCACTGGGGACCCAGCAGTGAACAAAGGAAACGTTGTTTTGAGAAAATCACTGGTGAGACCCCCCAGAATCTGGCCTCTGCAACCCCTCCTATCTCAACTCCTACTTCTGACCCCCTGGTTCACTCTGCTGTAAACACATGGGTCTCCTGGCTGCTCCATGAACAGCCCCGGCAACCGCACACCCCACCACTGTGCTGTTCCCTGGGCAGATACCTGCGTGATGCCCCCGCTCCTCCTTCAGAGTTTGGCCCAATTGTCACTTGATTACGGAAGCCAGTTGTAACTCTCACTCCTTGCCTCTTTCCATGCTTATCTCTAGAGAGCTAATCATCATCTAGCCCACCCGATGGTTTTCCTGCTTATTTGTTTATTGTCTGTTCTTGACACTGGAATGTAAGTCCCAAGAGGACCAGAATCTTTGTTTTGTTCACTTGTATTGAAGAATTTATGTTAAAGCTCACTTGGGTTGAAGAACATTAATTTGGATTGAAGAGCACCTAGCACCTTATGAGTACCAAATAAACATGAATTGAATGCAAGATCTTTATAGAATCTTAGAGTTCGCCAAATGACAGGGTCTGGATAATTTTCCTAATGTCTTAGAGGAAAGATTCCTAAAACCATAAGGATTTGTTCTTTGAAATGACATCGATGAAATAAGGGGGAGTCCACTGGGACAGTCTGACTCAGGGAATGAGAACAGGCCTCAATTAGCTGTTGGGACCAGCCTGGGGCCTCCTTTAAGTTGTAGAAATCCAGAAGTCAAATCATTAAATCAACTATAGACCTACCATGTGCAAAGGAGCTGTGGCCATAATCTGACCTGATTTCCCACATGTCACCAATTTTATTTCCATTCCCAGACTCCTGCCTCTACCTCCCAGCATCCAAACTCACAACAGACACCTACCAAAGCTACATATTGATGACAGAGCTGGAAAGGCATCCTGAACTGGGTGGGGAGGGAGTGGTGGAGTGCCCCAGGGTGCTGCCAAACTCTATTTTTGTAGTATAGAAGGCAAGCTAGTGATAAGGCCCTCAGGTCCCGATCTTAGCTGGCCCCATGACATCGGGAATGAACTTGGCTTCTTCGTGCCGTGTCCCTGGATAAGAGGACAATCGCTTACATTCCCTAATACAAAGTAGTAAATCTCTTAGCCTGACATTCATGTATTAACTTGTTTGGGTGATGTGGGAAGACCATATTAGGTTGAACCACGGAGTTGGCCATACTTGTACATGAAAAATGATCCAACAGTGGTAATTCCATATGGTTCATGAAGAAAATGGAAAACTATGATTTAGGTAACATTGGCTCAGGTGGGTGTGCTTTTCAAACATGGAAACAGTGGTTCATTGGTCCACGCTCTAACTCTACAATTGAACTAAGCTCCCAGAAGGTGATAATTACTAACATTTATCAAGTGCCTTTGGGTCGGAAGCACTTTCACTAAAACCATTTTATCTGATCCTAAAATGAACAGTTAACCCCCACATTCGTCTTACAATCAACTAACAAACATTAGGCACCTTCCAATTCATGTATCAGTCAAAAAACTGTGGCCTACGAGCCAAATTTACCTACAACATGTTTTTGTACAGCCCAGAAGCCAAGAATGGGTTTTACATATTTAAAGGTTTTATGAACCCACACACATACACACACAAGAATGTATGACAGAGATCATATGTGGCCAGCAATATCTAAAATATTTACAATCTGGCCCCTTTACATACAAAGTTTGCCAGTCCTGTTCTAGATGCCAGGCACCGTACTAGGCACACTTAATATGCTAATGCAATATGGTGAGAGTGAGCAGGCCTTTTAAGCTTCAGGCACAGTTTGGCACTGGTGTTGGGTGTGGCTACAGTAGGGAAAGAACTCAGAAAGCAAAGGTTCTGGTCCCTGTTCTGTGTCTCACTCTTGCCATGTAACCTGGGATAAGCTCCCTACACTTTCTTAAGCCAGTAGCTTCTTCTATGATATGAGCTGTTAGAAAGAAACTTCCTTTTACTATGAGGCTATCAATTCCTTAGAACTAGCCCAGAGGCCCAGAAATGAGGACATGTATTCTAGTTTGAGGGCTTTTGAAAATCATGATGACCCAATTACTTTTCTTCCTGTTGTAAATTTAAGAATAACTTTAAAGTGCTAAAAGGACAAGGGACAAGAATAGGGAGGCAACAGATTGTGAGGGAAAAAGGAACACATCTTCCAGACAGGAAATCAAGGTGTGTCATCTCTGTTCTAGGTGACAAAGGTAGAATTGCCATTTGAGGGGGTCAGAATAATGTTTTTAAGCAGAAAGTAGTTTTCCATGTTTGAACATCCAAATGCAAAAAGAAAAATACCAGTACTACAGACCAAATACAAAGACGGGAGGGGGATTAAATTTTAAAAATGCTCATGGCAATGAAAAACTGTAACTTCCAATGTGAACCAATTCATTGAGGCCTTAACATTCATTTGTTGGGAATGGAGGGGGCAGTAAAATCTGCCGTCAGAGCCATCTGGGGAGCTGCAGGCTGGAAAGGTCAGCTTTGGCTAGGGATGTGCAACTCCTCTTCTTTGTTAAAATGATGGTATTCGACAGAAGTTACATCTGAGGTCAAGTGACCGCAATAACAGGGGACAAGGAGCGCTCTCAAATCATTCTCAGGAATGAAAATGACATGAAACTGACATAATATCTGAGGTGAGATGAAACTCAAATCCTCGGCAGCTGAACACTTCACCTACTGATGGGCAGCCTGACCCTCACCAATCTCATAATCATACCTGTGTCAAGAGGGGAACAGTCTTCAGCAACACAAGGCGCAGCTCCTGGCGTTTTGGAGGGGAGAGAAGGCTTTGTCTCTGCTTCAGAAATGATGTTGTTAAAAGTTTCAATACTCAGCTTTAAACCTTTCAAATCAATGTCTTATTAGAAAAATTGGATTCCACCTACATGCATAGAATCTCTTCCCTTATGTAATTTCTCTCAGCTCTGGCTATTTCTTGCCTGGCATTTTCAGCAATAAAAGCTGTGTTTTAGTTCAATGACTATCTTCATGTTATTTAAAGCTTCAACCCAATTCCATTCAAACTGTAAGGGAAGTCTCTAATCTGGGTTAATCATCTAGTTTCAAAACTACCTTAGGGGATGGAGGATGGGTTGGGAAAAATGATGATTGATTATAAACTCTTTGCCCCCCAGTACCACATATGAAAGGAGGGTGGCCTAGAGACTGTTGAATATGCTAACTCCTAATAAAGGACTGGAGAAAAGGAAGCCCATACTACATTTGAATTTAAAGTGAGTATTAAAATTAAAACCCCAAAAGGAGAAATATTACATTTAGTCAGCTGTTACAAAAAATACTTCATGCTCTATCATCTTCCTTGTAATTGCTCTAATAGGAGGTTCAGTGTGGTAGACTTGTATTCCCAACTATTGGCGTGATGAAAAGAAGTTTTGGTGTCTATTTATTTTTTCCTGAAAAGAGAGAAGGGGACTCAAGGTGTGGCCCATTTGCATAAACACAACTGCCCTGTCTTCGGAAATGTGCCCTGATTTCTTCCCTGCCAATACATTTAGGCACCCCAAAGCCAATAAATACAGTTGTCAGCAAGGGGATGAATCAGCATGTATTTAAATCAAAGACAGCAGTGAAAGACTACATTAGTTCTGTTCCCAGGACCTGTCAAACCACAGAAGAGATTAAACATCTGACCCTCTTCATCCCCAACATTGTTCCACAAGAGACATTTCTGTCACTATTCCTGCCACTTGGCTTTCAAAGATGCCACAATGCCTAGGGCGACCTCTGCTACATTTCAGTGTTGTTTATTGATTTCTGACCCAGTGCTTAATAGTTTTCCCAGTCCCCCTGAATGGCTTTTGTAAGCAATGGGGTTTGTACATCTGACCGATCAATACCTTTTATATTTACAATAAAATTGAAACTGCTTCTGCTGGGGGCGCAGCCCAGCATTTGTCATCCTTCAGCGAGGGAAAACTATGTCATTATCTGAATTAAAACATTTATTTCTGATTAAGAGAGTGTCCTATCTCATTAATTTTTCCCTTTCCAATAGAATGGGAATAGAACCCTATTGATTTTTGCACTTTTACACATCTCCACTGCTGGGAAGATAATTGAGAAGTTAGCCAGAATAAATGAAGTTTCGAGTCTAGTGGGCCAGCCAATACCTTCCAAATTCAAGGTGTTTTTATGAAGCTGGATTTTAATTTGTTGGCAAGCTGAAGCAGTGGGACTTATTCGGCTGAGTAAATTGGATTAAGAGTAGAATCGGCTCGAAGCATGTCTTGGGGAATGCTGAGGGCCTGGTTCCCCCTGGACAGCCAGAGCCTTGCTTTAGATTTATGCTAAGACAGCTTCCAAATTGCCCTCCTTCGAACTCCAGCTCGCTTCAGGAAGTGTGGATCACTGACCCAAAAGCCTATTAACTTGTGTTTCCCTTCCTCACGCCTGTGGCCTTAAAAACAACCAAGATCTAATCAGAGGTTGAACTAGACCTTCAGATTGTCGGCACCAATTGATTACACTTTATTAGAATAATGGGACTAAATCCAAGCTTCATTAAAAGGAATTCCCTCCGCTTGGAACCCTTTCTTCCGCAGACCTTTCAATTATAAGCCCTTATGGCACACATAGGGAATACTGCTCACGTTGATACTTTTCTCATTAGGAATTAAAAGTCATTTGTTCTTATTTCCATATGCAAAGCCCAAGCCTTGTCTCCTCCTAGAAAGGAGAGAAAATGCACAGCCTCTAGGGTTAGAAGGACCCAGGGTCTACAGAGAAATTAAACCAGAGCTATCTTTGTTAATGTCTTAATTTGTTATCTTCTCTGTAATTTATTTGTCACTGGTCCATTACTTTTAACATTCACATTCACTTCTATGTATCTTTAATCCCTCTAGGAAAAACAGGTTGCATCCTTGCATTAAAGGAGAATGGGAACCAGGCTAGAGCCAAAGATCTTCCAGGTTAGAGCCAAAGATTCTTCAAGGGAAAAAATTTACTAAATGCCTTCCCTGGTGACCTGAAAATAGAGATCTGCCAAGAGAAGAGCTCATCTAAAAACAAGACTGAGAACTTGAGTTCATGTTTAGAATGCCGCAGCTTGAGAGGAATGTGGAGATCATGTTTCCTCTTAGAAGTATAAAGAAGTACTGAAAATTAAGGAAATTGTTTATAGAGAAAAGACTTCAAATTGGATTTAGGTGACATAGGACAGCCTGAATTTGGCGGGTGAGGGGGGGGTGGTGTGTGTGTATAGACCAAAAAGAAGCACTTCAAGAAGGCCCTAGTTACCAAAAAAAAAAAAAAAAAAAAAAAAAAAAAAAAAATGCAACACAGCAGATTAAAAATGCTGTGGAAGTGAAGAACTTAATTTCTGACTGCATTTTAATGCATGGTCCAAAGTACCAAAGTATGCAAAGGTTGAATACATTCATCACAAACAGTTCTGTTTTCTCTCTTTACACCAATGAGGAATTACAGGATTACCAATGACCTTCCTCCCAATGAAGCTCTGTAATTATGGTCATTTATTATACAACTGAGATGAATGGATGGGATTTACATAGAATAAAAATATTATTTAACAGCTGCGTTATTGATGTGTGAAGCATAATTTTAATTTATTTAAATGCTATAAATATACTGGTAATGTATGCTTTTCAAATTAACCTCCTGAACCACACACTGGCAAAACTTCAATTAATATTGCACTAAAATCTATTTTCTCATGTTGTGTGGAACCATGTATGGCTAAAAATCCATACTGCTATGATCCCCAGCATACTTTACCAGTGTATTTTACTTCCTCCTTGATTCACGATTTCAGTTTGAAATTGAATTTCAATTGGAATCATTTAGAAAAATATATCTTCTCTTAAACAAAATATCCCTATTTAACTTTAAAATGGTTTTTACTATAAATTACAAATGCAATGATTTGAGGGGAAATTCTATATATTTATGTTCATTTGACATATTGCAATATTTTTAAATATTGGGTATGTTTCCATTGAAATGATAAAATGGGAAAAACATTTAAACCAACAGCTCTATCTAATTTACTTAGCGTATTAGCATAATCTCAATAAGCCTGCAAAAAAACCACTAGCTATACATTATGTTGAATCACTTGATACTGAAAGCATATTGTATGTCTATATGTGGAGATAGACTTACGTATTTTACTTCTGGATTTATCTCTTTTGTATTCTGTCCATTTGCTCCTCGTTGTCATTATTCCATGCTCATCGACAGAAGAGTTATAGTTTGCAAAAACCTATCAGGTAGGCTGGACACTAGATAATTGAGGTGATGATCAGCCTCGGCAAAAGACAATTGATAGTGATAGTGTCAGAGGCTGCACCTAACAAGATCCGTACCCTTTGTCTCCTTTAGCCTTTCTCTGGAATGGACCGAATATGGAATAACATGGACATGTCTGATGCACATCTGGAGATGGGACGGCAGCGCATAATACTTCCTGGAACTGCGAGACAATGGGGTTGTCTTTTGACATTGAGGCAGGTTATTAAATAGAAGTGTGAACTATTAAGAGATGATCTTGACCCTCAATACATTTTTATCAAAGTCAAAAAATATTTGACACCACTGAACAGCTTATCACAGGCACAAAAGGGGAAATGCTTTATTATGGAAATGTGTACTATGTTCTTCAAAACAGAAGAATAAAAATATATGCATTTTTAAATGAATAACAGCTTGTAAGACTCCCAATGATTAACAGCAGTTGTACATTAAGTATTCTCTGAAATGATATTTGTAAACTGGAGGGTTGACCAATCTTAGTGCGAACTTCCTAAATTAAAAATTAAATTTTAAATTAAATTTTAAAACAAGGATGATTTTAAGTTGCTTTTATGTTAACATGGATTTAACAGAGCTTTTCCTAAGAGGCTTTTCAAATGCACTCTTATTTCTATTAAGGGCTGGAATTCTATGGGGGTGAAGGATATTTTAGGATACATATGGAAGCTTGTAAACGGAGATTTTTCCCCCACAGACTCTAAGGCACCTTCTAGATTTTTAGTAGACAGCTACCCTAGCCTCTCAGGTTGTTTTCCTTATAAACTGATCACCTGTTCCTGCCTTTTTTAAAACTGAGGGACCATCATAACTCTACACCTTCTACCTTCCCATATATTTATGAGTTTAAAACTGCATATTGTAACATCCTAATTGCAGTGGCAAAAACTGATGTAGCCCACAGACAATGGACCTAGGCCAGAAAGGATGAAAAAGTCCTAGTTTTGCATGGCTATTTAACACCCTATAGTCTATATAAAAATATGCCAAGTTGAGGCTTCATAGTAATAAAATAGTATGGGTATTGCCCTCAATCCTGGCTGAATGAGCAATGCCCCCTGATTGGGTAATTGACAAACTACATACTGTAACACACTCCAGAATAGCCCTGCTTTTTCATTAGATTGAACAGTAGGTTAACTAGATAACTCTGCACTCGGCAAAATTACTTTCCACTGACTTCAAACCATCGTCTTTTCTCCGCAAGCTATTGCTCCCTGTGATATTTCCTCATTCTTCTCCCCAGCAGTGTACTTTCAAAGCCAGTTACATGCTAGGTCAGTGGTACTCAGATTCTTCTGTTTTACCTTTCCCCAGGGTCAATTGCCTTTGGGAGGGAACCAATATAGATTAACAGGAAAGATACACTGCCTGATTCATGGCATTTAGAGAGGCCTTCAAATGCTTACTGGCTCTTCTGGGACTGATGCCGTTTCAATCAGAATCCTGTCTTCAATTAGTAAATAATTCCAGTTCTGAAAATTTAGTCTTTTTAGACTAAATGCAAGCAAAAGACCTATCTTTAAAGATATAGGTATGTCATTCACTTTTTAAAATGCTAATAGATTGGAATACATTGGGATACATTGTCCAGTGGACCAAGGTATTTGGAGTCCACGCAAGAATTTCCCAAAGCATCTGTTTTCTGCCTTCCCATCAGCGTGAGTCAGCATGGCCAGCAACACCTTAAACAAAGCTCCAAAGCCTCTCTGCCACTCCTCCTATGCATTTGGGGAGGCGAGGCCTCCTCACTTAACACAGGGTATCAATTGATTTATAACAAAGTGATAGATGTAACTATTGTCATCGGAATTACACTAAGTTATAGCTACATGGTTTTCTGTTCCAGTAGCCACTCCCCATATGCACCATTACTCAACCCCTGAATGATAATAACACTATCTAGGAAATTTATATGCATGATTATAAATTAATTCTTTTTTTTTTTTTTTTTTTTTGGCTAGACCACCAGCAGCATGGACTTGTAATTTCCAAACAGCATTTATGGCATTAACTTGGGAATACTATCCATCAGGTCTGATGACAAATGTGGAAGATTATGGTCTTGCCCGCCACTGGCTCAAGCAGCCAACTGTGCTAGGGAGGCAAGAAGATGCAATAACGGAGAAGCTGGGTGGGGTGGCCAGTCTCCCAGGCAGCCTGCCTCGAAAACAGTGACAACAAACTGTGGAAACTTTCACTGTCAAAAAGAGGAGGTCTTCACCAGTGAGGTTTTGCAGACACAATCTAGACCCTGCTAATAATAACAACAGCTGCTTTTTAACCTGCTACATGCCAGGTGCTCAGTATTCATTATCTCGAATCCTGCCTGTCATCCAGCAAGGTGGGTATTATTATACCCATTTAATAGATAAAAAGACTGAGGAGCAAAGGGGTTGAGTGACTTGCCAGGAGCTGGTGAGTCAGGATTTGAATTCGTGCCTGTCTAACTGCAAAGAGAGAGGAGGTGCCACAGATCCAGGTTTTCAAGGTTGGCTTTTCCAAGCATTGCACAGAGTGACCATCACCATCACCAACAATAAAAAACATTTTGATTTGCTTAAAAGAAAATATAATCATTCTAAACAACTGGGAATAGTTAGTACCTCTAACAAAATACCATCTTATAAGGAGTTTAGCAGAGCAGCAGTTAGGAGCTTAGATTCTGGGGTTAGACCAACCTGGGTTTGAATCTTGAGCTGTTACCAGCAAGTCAGTTAACCTGGCTAAGGTTTGGTTGCCAGGCTTGTAAAAAAACGAGTGGGGCGGGGGGAATAACTGGTAAACATCAGTTGAAAATTTTAGTTTTAATGGTAGAGGAAGATGTTCTCACAGACTTAACATAACAAAAATTGCCTGGTCATGGTGGCTCATGCCTGTAATCCCATCACTTTGGGAGGTTGAGGCAGGAGGGTCACTTGAGCTCAGGAGTTAGAGACCAGCCTAGCCAACATAGTGAGAACTTGTCTGTACCAAAAATAAAAAAATAAAAAAATAAAAAATTAGCGAGGTCTGGTGGCATGTGCCTGTAGTCTCAGCTACTTGGGAGGCTGAAGCAGGAGGATTCCTTGAGCTGGGGAGGGCGAGGCTGCAGTGAGCCGTGATCCTGCCACTGCACTCGAGCCTGGGTGACACAGCAAGACCCTGTCTCATAAATAAATAAATAAATAAATAAATAAATAAATGTCCCCTAATCATACAGGTAGACTGTTCCACAAACTCTTGGACCTTTTGGAAATTCTGCTATTCCTCACTGCCTTTTGCCCTCAAGACCTTAGAGGATCCTGTTAGGGAGGTGGGGGTTAAGAGGAAGTAGGGGAGAGGGAGAAGGAAGGGTGGGTTTGCAGAGCATCCCCAGTGCCTTTTCTAGAGGCTCTTGGCACATGCTGGGCAGCTCCCACTTTGTACTTAGAACAAGTGCTTTTTCTTGAGGATTATCAATCAGTATAATCCTCCTCCTCCTTCCCTCTCCTCCTCCTTCCTGATCCGCACGCACAAACTAAACCCACATGCCTGACAAGTCCTTTTTTGACCATGAAGTTTAATACTCTTGGATTATGAAGTGAAAAGCTGAAAATAAGTCTAGAGGACAGTTCAAGGCCAGGGCCAGGGTCACTCTGTTGGGAAGAGCCTGGTTGAAGAAGCATAATGGAGTTAAGGATCCCAGGCAGAGAAAACAGAAACACACATGAGTCCTCCTCACTTACAGTGACAGGGACAAACTTGCACTTGCTCCTGCCTTAGGCTCTCCCTGCCCTAGCACAGTCTCTGCCAAGTTTCCAAATGACCAGCCTCGGTTTTGTAGCCCTCTCTTTAAAATCCTTAGTGTGCCGGGCGTGGTGGCTCAAACCTGTAATCCTAGCACTTTGGGAGGCCAAGGCAGGCAGATCACTTGAGCTCAGGAGTTCAGGACCAGCCTGGACAACATGATGGAACCTCATCTCCACCAAAAATACGAGAAATTAGCTGGGTGTGGTGGCACACTCCTGTGATCCCCGCTCCTCTGGAGGCTGAGGTAGGAGGATGACTTGAGGTAGGAGGATGACTCCTGGCTCCGCCAGGAGGCGGAGGCTGCAGTGAGCCAAGATCACGCCACTGCACTCCAGCCTGGGTGACAGAGTGAGACCCCTGTCTCAATTTTAAAAAAATCCTCAGTGCTTACAACATGTAGCTTTCCAGCTATGGTTTAATGAACATCACTTTGTAGACATTATTTGGTGAATCTTCACAGTATCCCTGTGTGGGGGGTACCATTATTCCCGTATTTACACTGAGCTCACTGAGGCTCAGGAGGTTTCACTGTCAGAGGGAATGCACACTCAGGCCATTTGACTGCAAAGCCCTTGCTCTGTCCTTTAGTCACCCTGTCCCCATGCAATGACTCCATGTGGCCCAGCTAAAATGACCACTCCCTGTTGGCCGAACACTTTGCAGAGTACAAGAGGATGTCTTTGCCAAGAACATGGGCTCTGCAGAGGGCCACCTGGGTTTGAATTCTGATTTTGTCCTTTCCTCACTGTGTGAACTTAGCCAGATAATTTCTCACTGCCCAAGTTCCCTCTCCTATAAAATGAGAATTAAATGTGCCTATCTTATACAGTTGTTGTGAGAATATGCAGATAAATATTTATAAAGCACTTAGAACAATCCTGTAATATGGTAAGTGCTCAATAGATTCAGGCTAAACCTGTGATATTTTGCAGCCTTGGAGCTGTTTTTTGAGATGGAGTCTCGCTCTGTCTCCCAGGTTGGAGTACAGTGGCGCAATCTTGGCTCGCTGCAACCTCTGCCTCTCGGGTTCAAGCCATTCTGCTTCCTCAGCCTCCCAAGTAACTGGGATTACAGGTGCACACCACCACACTCAGTTAATTTTTGTATTTTTAGTAGAGATGAGGTTTTGCCATGTTGGCCAGGCTGGTCTTGAACTTTTGACCTCAGGTGATCCACCTTGCAGCTTGTAATCACACCATTTCTCTCCTTAGAAATCCTTGCACTCTCCTCACCCCCTTCCTTCTGGATCAGCCCTTCATCCCATGGCCTCAACATCACTCTCCTGACCTCCCACCTCAGAGAATGGATCTTCTGTCCACTCCTGCCACACTTACTGTCTACACCAGTCATCAGATGGTACTGGCCTTCCAATCTCTCCATTGGCCCTCTTCTTTCTTTCTTTCGAGACAGAGTCTCGCTCTGTTGCTAGGCTGGAGTGCAGTGGTGCGATCTCAGCTCACTGCAACATCCGCCTCCTGGGTTCAAGCAATTCTCCTGCCTCAGCCTCCACAGTAGTTGGGACTACAGGCGCATGCCACCACGCCTAGCTAATTTTTTTATATTTAGTAGAGATGGGTTTTCACCATGTTGGCCAGCACGCTCTCGATCTCTTGACCTCGTGATCCACCCACCTTGGCTTCCCAAAGTGGAGGGATTACAGGCATGAGTTACCACGCCCGACCTGGCCCTCTTATTTCTATTTCATTTTCTCATACATTGAAATAATTTTTCCATTTATAGAATATGTATAATAGCATGTACAGTGTGTGCATAATATTCAATATGTAGCTTTATAGATAAATATTTTTATAGAATGATACTATACATCATTATATGGTTATATTAGGTGATAACATGTGTATATTGGTAGACATCATTTCCATCTCTATACTTAGATTGCATCAGGTCCTGAGTTGGTGCTTCCTTCTCTTTCTTGTAGCACCTAGCCTAGAGGAGGCATTCAATAAGTGAAGTTAACTTGAAGCCCAGCTTTTATTCACAAATCCAAATAAAATGTAAGGCCTGACTGCTCCTACTTCCCGTTCAGTTTTAGAATGCCTCACTTCATTCTCTTTTAGAATTTATTTAGTTCTTTGTTTTAAGAAGGCATCTGGCAACATCACCCTAACACTTGCCCCCAGCTCTGTTCCAGACATGATGCACTCAGCATGCAGTGACTTCCAAGATCTTCCCTCCGACTCCAGCTCTTCCCAGCTAGGAAGCAGCACTCCTCTTCCTCAGGGTTTTCCTTTCTCTCATTATCCTCGGTCTACTTTTTTTTTTTTTTTTTACAATTAAAAGAGTTCTTCCAATCCTCATTCGTTCAATGAATGTCATGTTGTTCCCCTGCTTAAAACCCTTCACTAGCTTTCCATTATGCTTAGCATATGTGTGCAGTCACCCTTCCATATCCACGGGTTCCTCATCCGTTCTGTGGCGTCTGCAGCTGTGGACTTAACCAAACACAGATCAAAAATATTCAGGGAAAAAAAATGCTTTTGTGCTGAGCCTGTACAGAGTTTTCTCCCTTGTCATCATCATTCCCTAAACAATATGACAACTACTTACATAGCCTTTATTGTGTTAGGTATTACAAGTAACCTAGAGATGATTGAACGTATACAGGGAGATGTATACAGGTTATATCCAAATACGATGCCATTCATATCAGGGACTTGAGCATCCACAAATTTTGGTATCCTCTGGCGGGCCCAGAATCAATCCTCCAAGGATATCAAGGGACAACTGTATCCATGTCTTCACATGGCCTATGAGCAGGGCAACCTTATAATTTATCCTCCAAACTGAGACCTTTCTGAGGGTGAATCAGATGCTATTAATAATGTGCCGGGGGGCCAGGCACGGTGGCTCATGCCTGTAATCCCAGCACTTTGGGAAGCCGAGGCAGGCCGATCACAAGGTCAGAAGTTCAAGACCAGTCTGGCCAACATAGTGAAACCCTGTCTCTACTAAAAATACAAAAAATTAGCCAGGTGTGGTGGTGTGCACCTGTAACCCCAGCTACTCAGGAGGCTGAGGCAGGAGAATAACTTTAATCCAGGAGGTGGAGGTTGCAGTGAGCCGAGATTGCACCATTGCACTCCAGCCCGGGCAAGAGTGTGAGATTCCATCTCAAAATAATAATAATAATAATAATAATAATAATAATAATAATAATATGCTGGGACAACAGGTATCAATCAGAGTGTCCTGGGCAAACTCTCTTTCAAAGGCCCTAATGACCTGGCCTCTTTGTCCTTCCTGGCCCTTCTAGGCCTCTCTCTCTTGCTCATGTGGCTACAGCTACATCTCTCCTCCTTTAGTTCCTTCAGGTGGTCCAGCTCTTGCCCCCTGGGCCTTGACCCCTCACATGCCCTTTCTTCAGCTTTCTTCCCCACCTGGCCCTTCAGGGCCAGTGGTCCTCCTCAACCACCAATCGCCAGCAGAGTTCCTGTTCCTGGCTCATAACCTCCTGTTGTTTGCTGTCCTAGCACTTGCCCCAGTCCATATCTGTGCATTTATTTCTGTGCTGAATGTGCTGGGGGTGTTGGTGGCAGCAGGGCCATTCCTATTTACCTCTGAATACAATCCTTTTGTGTGGCACAGGTTCTGGGATGCTCCATGTAAAATGTTTTCATCGATCCATTCAACATTTTCTTTCAACTTTTATTTTAGATTCAATGTATACATGTGCATGTTTGTTACCTGGGTATATTGTGTGATGCTGAGGTTTGGAGTATGAATGATCCCATCATCCAGGTACTGAGCATGGTACCCAACCAACGGTTAGTTGTTCAACCCTTGCCTCCCTTCCTCCATCCTCCCTCTAATAGTCCCAATGTCTATTCTTGCATCATTATGTCCGTGAGTACTCAATGTTTCACTCCCCCTTATAAGTGAGAACACATGGTATTGAGTTTTCTGTTCTTGTGTTAATTTGGTTAGGACAGGGGGCCTCCAGGTGCTTCCATGTTGCTGCTCAGGACATGATTTCATTCTTTTTTACGGCTGCATAGTGTTCCATGGTGTATATGTACCACAATTTCTTTATTCAATCCACCATTGATGGGCACCTAGGTTGATTCCATCTCTATGCTATTGTGAATAATGTTGCAATGAACATGTGAGTACATGTCTTTTTGGTAGAATGATTTGTTTTCTTTTGGATATATACTCAGTAATGGGACTGCTGGGTCAAATGATAGTTCTGTTTCAAGTTCTTTGAGTAATCTCCAAACTACTTTCCACAGTGGCTGAACGGATTTACATTCCCACCAACACCGTATGTACGAGCGTTCCCTTTTCTCCACAGCCTGGCTAGCATCTGTTGTTTTTTGACTTTTTAATAATGTCCATTCTGACTGGTGTGAGATGGTATCTTGTTGTGGTTTTGATTTGCATTTCTCTGATGATTAGTGATGTGGAATATTTTTCCATATATTTTTGGCCTCTCATCAAACATTTATTAAGCTCCTACTGTGTGCTAAGTTCTGTAGTAGACACTAGAAATACCAAAATAATATGGCAAGAAGTTCAATCAAGGGTGTAAACAGACACATACACACAAGAGGTATGAAACAATGTGAGAGTGTTATATCTTGGAAGGGTCCCAGGCTCTAGGAGCAGGGAGGAAAGAGGGCTTCACCTCCCTGGGGTTCACCACAGAGGCCAGAAGCTTGGAGTCCAGTGGGTGGGTTGAGTTCTCTGTGAAAGGGAAGATGGCGTTCTGGGCACAGAGATTTGATGAGGGAAGTAGGGGGTACATGAAGGGCTGGGGGCCTGGATAGGTGACTTGGAAAAGCTGACCAGTGTGACTCCTCCATATGGGGAGTGAGGAAGTACCAGTCAGCTTCCTGCTGCAGAGATGACCCCGGGCCGGCACAGTGGACGAGGGGTTGCTTGGGATCCTCGTTCTTATTCCTCCCCTCCTTTCTGCACATCCTCTCTGAGTCGTGGCCCAATTGCCTTCTTTTCCTAGGAGACAGTTTCTCTTTCAGGCTCACACTGCCCCAAATGCCATCTCTCTTCAATCCAGGAGTGGCCCACTCTGAGCACCGGTATCGTCCACGCCCCCATGTGGGCCTGGGATGCAGATCCTCCCCTTTTGGGTCACGGCCATGAGAAGCAGCCTTGGAAGGCTACCCTGGAAGGCTCCCACTCAGGGACACCAGTTCACAGGAAGGCTACTGCACCCATCAGAGAGTGGAGATGCAGCTGTAGGGTATAGGGTAGCGGGCCTTGAGGACCCGCCGGGCGGCTGCCTGGAGCTGGAAGGAGGCTCACTTACAGAGCCTGTCATCCTGGTTCAGGACGCTGGGGCAGATGCTGGGGCCCGCTAGCCGCTCTCCTGGGCCATCGTCCCACTGGGGGGATTAGCTGAAGGATACAAGTGGCGTGGAGCCAGTCCTGGGATCCCCAGGCCCCCTTCCAACTCTTGATGATCCATATGAAAAGGTGGCAGTGACTCAGGGAAGGTGGGTGATGCTGTGAGGGAAATGAGCCATTTACAAAACGAAGGTCTCCCCGCAGGCGGAGGCCAAGCCACAGAGGAGAACGAATCCCTCTTTGCTTCATGGACATGGCTCTTTCTCTGAACAATCTGTGCTCCGGACCAGGACATTCCTGTTAGCGGTGTCCTGTGGGACCCTAGTTGTCCCACATTTACGCCTGTGGGCCTTGCTGCTGGGGATGACACAGTCTGCTTACCAGGGACCTGACCCAGAGAGGTACAAGAGGACAGTCGTCTACACAGGGCCCCTCTTTGCACGAGGCCACACTTTAAGGGTAAGAGCAATAACAGCTCTCAATTTATTAAGCATTTGAGGTGAGGCATCTGCTAGGCCATTTACATGTTCAGTCATTCCTCTGTATCCCCAGGGGATTGGTTCAAGAACCCCAGGGATACCAAGATATAGATGCTCAAGTCCCCAATATCAAATGGTATAGTATTTGCATGTAACCTACATGCTTCCTCCCATATATTAAATCATCTCTGGCTGGGCGCGGTGGCTCATGCCTGTAATCCCAGCACTTTGGGATGCTGAGGCGGGCAGATCACCTGAGGTCAGGAATTCAAGACCAGCCTGACAAACATGGAGAAACCCCATCTCTACTAAAAATACAAAATTAGCCAGGCGTGGTAGTGCATGCCTGTAATCCCAGTAATTCGGGAGGCTGAGGCAGGAGAATCCCTTGAACCTGGGAGGCGGAGGTTGCAGTGAGCCAAGATCGTGCCATTGCACTCCAGCCTGGGCAACAAGAGCGAAACTCCTTCTCAAAAAAAAAAAAAAATCATCTCTAGATTTCTAATAATACCTATTACAACGTAAATACTATGTAAATAGCTGCTACATTGTTTTTAAAATTTGTATTAATTTTTGTTGTTGTATTATTATTTGTTCCTTTTTTCTGAATATTTTTCATCAGCAGGTAGTTGAATCCATGGATCTGAAACGTACAGATACAGAGGACCAACTGTATGCTTTCTAATCTTTATAACTGAGGCTCATGACTGGGAAATGGAAGGGGAGGATCCAAATTCAGACCCATGTGACTGGCATACTCCATCCATTGTGTGACACCTTTCTCCTTTCTCCGAGAAAGATAGGGAAAGAGCTAGAGACAATCTGGTGGCCTTTGATACCCCCTTTGATAGAATGTGGGCCTGGGCTCACATGGTGTCAGGTGCTTACCCCATTCTATCCATTCTTGCCGCATGGTCTGATGGGAAGAATGCAGGGGATACACCATGTTGAAGGGCCCAGGGTTTAGCTTCTGTCCCCACCAGTGAAATGTGCAACCCTGGGCAAACATAGTGTCAACTGTAAAATCAGGATAATAATACCTACTCAATTTATGTCAAAACAGAAGGAATGAGTTTACAAACGATGCTCCCTGGAAGCCTAGGATGGAGTTTCTCAAGCTTCGGAATGCATAAAAACCACCTTGTGTGGGCTTGTTAAAATGCAGATGCCCAGGCCTCAACTCCGAGATTGGAATCAGCGGGGCAATATGAAGCCACGGAATCTGCATTCTGTGGATGAGAGACAGCAGGTGTGGAGAAGCCCGGACCTAGGCTGCATGGCGGCGCCTCCAGGGTGGGTGGGAAGCGAGGGAGTCCATGGGTGGGATTCAGAGTCTCTCAGCCCAGCTTCACCTAGAACTGTTCTGTTTGTAGCTCCATTATATATTGAGGTTTCAAGTAAGATTTCATTTAAAGGACGATTACATGATTTAAACATTAAAAAAAAATGTTAAAGATTGCAATGCATCGCCACACATGAAAATGCTTTGGGTAAGTGAAAGGTGCTCTCCAGATGAGAGCAATTTTACTAAAACTGTGGCCATCTGAAACCCTCTGGGAATGAATCATTCTGGAGAGCCTAATCTTCCTGATAACATTAAAACTTTTTATTAAATGTTAATCGTTTTGTGGGAAATATGTTACACTCTTCCTTGCCTTTTAAAAGAGAGAATAAAGAACATAATTTAACTGTTGTTTGAAAACTCAGGACCACCAATTGGATACTGTGAGGCCATCCCAAAAGTGAGTCCTGCCAAGCTTGACATGGAAAGTGCATCCATGGGATTCCACTATTCGTGTCCCCTACTCAGGCCACGGTTTATATAACACCAAGTGGAGGCAGAGCAATGTGGTGAAAACAGGGGGCACTGGAGAATCAGGAGGATGAGCTCCAGCCTCCACAGTGGCAACCGAGGGCCACAGAACCCAGAGGAAGTCCTCTCGCCTGGCCCTGCTTTCTTTATCCATAAGGCAAGAGGCTAAACCAAGCCGTCACCTGAAGAGGGGTCCAGTCTCTAAGGTGGGGGTTGCAAACTCCATGGCTGTCAGGGGCCAGGCTGGTGGTGCTTGGGGAGAATGGGAGAGCAAAAGCCCAGCTGGGGCGCAGCCACCGCTTCACACCAGCAGACTGCCGATGTGAGAGTGACAGCCCACTGCTATCAGGTCTTCTAAGTTGCCCAGAAAAGCTGGACTTTCTTGTGAAAGCTCTGGATTCCTTCCATGTTGGCACCTGTGAAGGATATGGGGGTGCTGGCTCCCACATTCCCCCTCTTTTTCTGGGTGGCCTTTTGTCCTTCAGAGACCACAACATCAAATACCACATTTCTCATTTCCTTACAGCTAGGGTTTTGGATGCAAATCAGTTTGCGTCAATGAGAGTAAGTCATAGTTTTGAAAGGCAACGTAAGGCAGAAGCTGTCTTCTGACTCCCTATCCAGAGCCTGAGCTGCCAGGAAGTGTGGGAAACACAGGTCAAATAAAACCCATCTGTGGGCACCACTGAGCCCGAGGTCTCTTCTGGCTCTAACACTTGTAAGACAGGGGAGTAGCAGGGTAGACAGCCCTCAGGTGGCTGACCTGCAAGGGGCCACCTACACCCACTGGGTCTTTTTCTTCAAATGCCTCTTCAGCCTCCAACTCCACCCCTGAGGGGCACGTGTTTGTTCACTGACCCAGTAGAATCCAAGCTCTGGCGTTCTCGCCTGGACTCCATTGCCCAACTTTTTCCCATAAGGAGGATTAAGGACACACGATTCTGTTTCCCAAAACAGGACAGAGATTGCGACCCTTCGGGCAGGGTCCTGCCAGGGCAGTTGGCATATGGAGTCCCTGCAGCTTTCTCCATCCCTTTCAGCATGTTCCAAAGGGAGCAGCTGGGGGCTTCGTACCAAGGGCTCAAGTTTCCAACCCTGTTACTCTTAAGCTGCCCAAACCGAATTGTATCTGCCTAAGTGGTATGTGGGTAGGGAGGATTTAGGCATGTTTGTGGGGACAAATTTCATGAGCACCCTTTTTGCACATAATAGCTGTTACTTACCAAGGACCCACTGTGTGCCATTTCTAATCCTCACAACCACCCTGAGGGGCAGACATCACTGCCTCCATTTTACAGATGAGGTAACTGAGGCTTGCAAAGGTTAGTGACTTCTCTAGGGTCCCACAGATAGTAAGTGTCAGAGCCAGAATTCAAAGGCAAACTCCTTCTCTTTATTGTTCTTGATGAACCAGGGCTGGGTTACTCTTGGACCCAGAGCAAGCAGATTCTTTTCAAAGGCGTCCAGGCCCCTGGGTGAGCCTGCCAGTGAGTTAGGTAATGTGATCCTGCCTCCTAGTGGTCAGGTCGGTGGCTCAGTTCCTCACACTAGGGCAGGAAGCCTCTCCCGTCTCCCGCCGTCCCAGGGGTCCTGGCAGCTGGTTATTTCAAGAAGTGGGCTTGGCCACTCTGGGACAGTGAGGCCTGGGAGCAAGTGAAAGCAGCTGGCTCCTGTTCTCAGGCCCCTCACCTCTCACCCGGGGAGTGGCAGCCACAGCCCCAGGCCCTCCGCCCACATCAGTCCTGGTCAGATAGAACATTAGGCACATTGACCCCCTCCCCATGTGCAGGGCATCTGCTTAACTTTTTACATCTGTTGCCTTAGTTCCCACTCCCTCTCCCAGGTGGCGATTAACTACTATCTCTTATTATTCAGCCACCCGGAACTTGGCATGAGAAACTGCTCAAGAATTACACTTTGGAGGGTGGGGCTGGGGACACTATATTTATCCTTATCTGAACAGTTTAATCACCTTGAGACCTTTTCTTTAGTAATAATCACACACACACACACACACACACACAGTCCCATTAAACCTCACAATCTTTTTTCAATTCAGCATAATTTCAATTATTTATTTAATTACAAATATAAATATTAACACACACACAATGAAAATCAATGCCACAGAGCCCTTCATCCAGTTGCCTATGCTCCAGATTTTGAGTGCAGACACCCCACACCATTCTTCCAGGAGCACGTGTATGTCACACTCTGTCATGCCAATTAGCTAAACAAAAGGTTTGTCTCTTCCTCTCCTGAAAATGCACATTTCCCTGTTTTGAGCATGTGTGTTGTTAGATGATGTGGGTCTCCACAGGAGCTCTTCAGCCCCTGGTGACTTTGAGTGGCAGCAACATTCTCTGCTGCGAGTAAGGAATCCCTATATGGCCAGGCCACCTGCTACTGTTGCTTCTGTAATGATCTCAGCAGCACAGAATCCCTGATTAAGAAAAATAAAAGTATTAATTCTAATGGCTTCACAGTAAGCCATTAATTTGCATATCTCCAAAATTGTATCTTGCTTAAACCTAGAAAATAAATGATCTCGTGACACCTTTTGACCTTTTATTTAAGAATATCTCTTGTCTTCCTCACTTATAATGCATTTTTCCCTTCCAAGCCTAGCTAACTCCTACCTATGCTATGAGATTCTGACCAGGCATTGCCTCCTCTGGGAAGTCCTCCCTACCACTGGGGTGGGCTATATCCCTTCCCTCTGCGCCTTGTAATTGGATAGCACAGGTGCTTATTGAGAACCAAATAATGTAATTAAGGCAGAAGTATATACATGCATCTACAGATAAAATTCAAGAAAAATCAATAAAACTTGACATAAGAACTTCTGATTTTGGAGGAAACCTTGGTTTAGAGGAATGAAGATCAAAACCTTAAAGCCATTTAAATGTTTTATTGCACTAAATTACTAGTTGCAGCTCCCTCTCTAAAAACTGAAATTTTTTAACACTATCAAGAACCATATTGAAAAATGTTACTTGCCCAAGGGACCACAAATAAATACATGCTTAAATGAAACTAAAGAAATTTAATTAAGTGTATGAACAGTTATACTAAATGATTTCTCCAGGAAGCCAATGGGAAATTATACCTAACAAGTAGCTACAGAATAAGGTCTGTTGTTGAGAGGTTATTAACCTAATCACATAATCAAATTTCACCACCAACCGTAGCCATCTGATTTGCCATGTCAAAATAAAACCATTGTTAACCCTTCTTAATGAAATCAGAATGGGGAGGAGGGGGGTGGCTGGTTTTAGAACAATGTAGTTCTTTAAAAGCAAGGCTTACAAATTTTATTTTCTTCTCCTGACACCAAAAACAATACTTTACCATTGTTCAGTGAAAATCTGAAACTATCCAGCTTTTAAAAAATGAAATTGGAAATGAAATTCATGGATGATTCTCTTCACAAAAGTCATTGACAAAGGGGGAAATAAACAAATTGGTTTTGCTCTCAAAATTTGGTGAAGGAAATTTGTTCCAAGGCTGAGGTGTTCCTTGCCAGTTTTAAACCCAAGGTGCATTTTTATAGCCAAGAACTAAAGCCCTGAAACACAGCGATCCACAGAATAATGGAAATGCTGACACAACCTTCACTTCGGCAGCAGGAATGGTGCCACTATAATTTATGGAGAACACATTTTGGTTTTGTCAGGTTTTTAAACATAGACTGTTATAAATTTGAAGGAGGACTGTCTTGTTAAAGCTTCAAATGGCATGTGTTAGTATTGGTTATGCATCATGTCCAGTGTTTGGAATGGCATTTGTATTTGGAATGGCATTGTGATGACAGTCTATCCCAATGGGAAAAGAGGACACTGAATCCTGTTTTATTTTCAAAACAATATTCACTGATTAAAAGCATCATGGTCACCATCAATGACCAGACCAGCTAGAAGATCTAGTAAAGGTATACACCCTCAGATACAGTTCCCTTTTTTCCTTTTTTCAGGGATACATTCATTATTTGACAAATATTTATTGAGGATACCCAGTGTCATGTCCTATCCTAGGCAATGGTGATAAAATGTTGGTTGTGAGGCTATCTCTGCCCTCTGGGATCTTATATTTTTTATCAAAAGAAAAAAAATTAACACTATATATTAATATATGTATAGATATTACATATACCGTCCAAACCACACATCCTTAACCAAAGTGGAAAGAAGTCTTACAGACAACTCACACTGGTGGGTAGGGCCCAGCAGCAGCTAACAGGCCCCCACTCTCCAACTTCTGTTGGAGCTATAGGGTGGGTGGGTGAGGAGTGTAAAAGGCTAATCTCAGAGGTGGTGAGCATGGATTCCACACTCAGAGCTCTGAAATTGACTTATTTAGGAGAAGGAGTAGATAAGTGGGGAATGCCAATCTGTCTCACCCTATTATGCTTTTGCCTTATTTACATCAGCTGTTAGAGGTAGTAATTCTTGTACCCTGTTTCTGAAAGGAGTTGTTCATGGAGTCTGTTGTCCAGGCTGGACTGTAATGGCACGATCTCAGCTCACAGCAACCTCCACCTCCCGGGCTCAAGTGATTCTCTTGCCTCGGCCTCCCAAGTAAATGGGACCACAGGCGCCCGCCACCATGCCCGGCTAATGTTTGTATTTTTAGTAGAGACAGGGTTTCACCATGTTGGCCAGGCAGGTCTCAAATTCCTGACCTCAAGTGATCCACCTGCCTCAGCCTCCCAAAGTGCTACGATTACAGGTGTGAGCCACTGCACCCAGCCTATGAGTGCTTTTTATTAGATAGAAATTGTGATAAGTATAGAGATAAAGACAGCAGATTTGCCTGCCTACTCCATCACTTTCTAAAGTTATGACCTTGAAGCCTCAGGATTCACACTCTGTGAAATGGGCATAAGCCAAGGGTAACCCTATTACAAGTAAAGATATCACAAGAATCTCAGGCAGGACTCATGCAGAGCAAGGTCCATGGCTCAGTCTACCCGTGAAGAGTAGAGGAAGAAGTACTAGAAGACTGTAAAAAAGATGCCCCTTTATATGACATGAACTGGGAAGCATCTTCCAGTGGGGTATCATGCCACCGTATAAAGTGATGTTTACAAAAACCATAATAATAGCTAATGTCTATTGCACACTCACTGGGCTATGTGGTCCTTTATTTCATTTGAGTGTCACAAGAATCTTTTGTGAGATGTGGAAACTGAGCTTCTAAGATCAGCAATTTTGCCAAGGTGGGTGACCATAAGTTCTGGCAATCTCACTTTATGCCTGATGTCTTGGGTTCATTACTGATAGGGCCCCCTTTCACTCTCCTGTGTGTTCTCATTTTGGTGATGAGTTATATGGTGACCCAGTGTCACATAACTCATAGGTGGCAAAATCAGGATTTGGACTCCTACAGTCTGACTCCAAAGCCCACACTATCGTGCAATAAATACGCTTGTTACAAAATTTTGTGAGAAAAAAGAGTGCAAAATTATATGTGTATATTATCCTAATTGTTTAAGTATTTCGTGTATAGGAAAAAAGCCTGGAAGAAAATGCATGAGTTATTAAGTGTAGATGGAGGGAATAGAATAGATTTTAAATAGTTCTTTCTAATTTGTGGGTTTTCTAAATGTTCTTTAATTAGAATGTATGGCTTTTATAATGAAGGTAATTTTTTGGGGGGGCAGGAGACGGAGTCTTGCTCTGTTGCCCAGGTTGGCGTTCAATGGCACGATCTCCACTCACTGCAACCTCTGTTTCCCGGGTTCAAGTGATTCTCCTGCCTCAGCTTCCCGAGTAACTGGGATTACAGGTGCCTGCCACCATGCCCAGCTAATTTTTGTATTTTTAGTAGAGACGGGGTTTCACCATGTTGGCCAGGCTGGTCTGGAACTCCCGACCTCAGGTGATCCACTCGCCTCGGCCTCTCAAAGCACCGGGATTACAGGCGTGAGCCACCGTGCCTGGCCTGAAAGTAATATTTTTTAGAAGTACAGGCATAAAAAAGTATCTCAAGTATTATTTCATGAATAAGTATTATTTGATATTTTAGATGCTATCAAAAATTAAGTACACTGAAGCCAAAAAGAAATGAAACAGGACAAAGAGGAGGAAAAGGAGGAGAAGAAAAGGAGAAGGCCCTTGGACTAAAATTTGTAAAACCAGAGATGGAATCTATAGTCACTCTAATTGGCCATGGTGTGGCTCCAAGCTTGGAGACCTTGAGTCCTCCAAAGTCCCCAGAGGGTCAAATCTAAGGGAGAGCATAGTCACAGACATGTGTGTCACAGTCACAAAAAAAATCTTAAAGAAAATTTGGAGATTTGAATACGGACAGGATATAAGATGATATGGAATTACTGTCACTTTTAGGGGGAAGGATAATGGTATTATCAGTTATAAGAAAGAATTTTGTTCCTCCTGGGGGATGCATACTGAAAAATGTAGGATGATGTGTCATCATCAACCCCTCAGCTCACAACCATTCAAATGGTTCAGGGAAAAATGTGTATATGTGTGTATAAACAGAAAGAGAGCAAATGTGGCAAAACGTTAATAACTGCTTCAACTATTTGGAGGGTACATGGATATTCATTATAATATACCTTGAATTTTTCGGTATGTTTGGAAATTTTCAAAATAAAAAGTTGTGATACAGTTTTTTACGAATTCTTTGAAATGATAATGTAAGAAAACAAAACAAAAAAGCATGTATCTAAATAATCATAATATAGAATACATGTTTTAGAGCCAGAGACTTCAATGCTAGTCATGTGGCCTAAATGTTGTATAACCCTGGGCCAGCCTCATTTTCCCAGTTTCTTCATCAAAATGGTGATGATGATAATAGTATTACCAACCTCACATGCTTTTGTACAGGATCAAAAGAAGATTTTGTGTGTAAAGCCTCCATCACAGTGCCTGTCCACAGTTCATGTGAGTAAAAAAATAATCTACTCAAGTGACACAAAATGGGAACCTTAGGAAGAGCCTGTAAAGCTTTGAGGAATTCAAAACAAAGGAAGCTTTTTCCTTCTATTGCCATATTTTTTGTATAAATACAACTGAGCTTGATGTTATATAAAAAAACTAATAACTCAGAAGTTTGGTTTAGGTGGAATCAAGTGGTCTAAGTCTTTATAATCTCTGACCAAATCTACTCAACCACAACTGATTTCTATTGGGTTTGTGTTTACCTGGGTTTTGGTTTGTGGTTTTTGCTTTAGCCAATTTCCCCCAACTCTGACCTAGGGTTCAAGCGAAGAGCAAAGGAGCTCCAGTTCAATCCACACAGGTAGCTCCACTGGGCATGCCAGGGTCATCAGAGCACTCACAAAGGAAGAATAAACTTGGGTTTCTTATATCAGTATCCTAATAAAATAAAACAAGATACAAGTTGATGTACTGGTAATGATGACTATAATACTAAAAAGTGAATCTTCAATATTTTACTCACACACATATATTGTTTATTATGTGTGCCTATAATGTACTAAAGAAACAGAGATCAATAAGTTAATGTCACCACTCATAATTTGGTGGAGATGGGGATTGACATGTACATCATTTATGGTAATGATATATTTGCATAGCACTTTAGAGTTTACAGACCAGTTTCCCCACATGGCTTTATTCAGCTAACCATAGAGAGGTAGTGTCCATGGTGGGCAGTGTCCGGGGTATCTTCTCATTGAATTCTCTTATTTTGTCTTCACAAAGTGATACCATAACAAGCACTCTAGGGCCGAGAGAGCTTCAGTTCTGGTCTCACCACAGCATCCATATTGCTGTGCCTTAACCTTTATTTAGCCTAAAATCCATATCTTATTCATCTTTGTATACTAATTCCCTGTAAGGAGCCCAGAGTATAGTAGCTACTCAATTAATTGATGCTTATTGAAGGAAGGAAAGAAGGCAGAAAGTATATAGCAGGAAGGAAGAGAAGAAGACAGGGAGAAGGGAGGGAGGGATGAAGGAAAAAAAGAAAAGGAAAAAGATTCAAACTCAAGAATTTCTCAAGCCCTTACTAGGTGCATAATGTGTGCTAATCATTATGGGAAATGCAAAAGAAGCCTTCAAGACACAGTCCCAGTCCCCAAAAGATTTTTAATAAAATAATTTAAAGACCGTAAATGAAACTTTCAGCTAAAAAAAATCTAAAAAAAAAGATTGCTGTCAGGTATGTACTTTATGATAAATCAAAGAAAAAAAGTTGAAATTACAAGGAAATACACGTTAATTTATTACAAATTCAAGAGGGTGACTTCTCTTTTAACCTGTAAACATTGCTAAATTAAACTGAGGTTCAGTTGGCAAAGTTTGCACCAAATAAAAATTCCAATGAAAAATGTCGGCTGGGTGTCATGGCTCACGCCTGTAATCCCAGCACTTTGGGAGGCCGAGGCCGGTGGATCACTTGAGGTTAGGAGTTCGAGACCAGCCTGGCCAACATGGTGAAACCCCGCATCTACTAAAAATACAAAAATTAGTCAGACATGGTGGCGCATGCCTGTGGTTCCAGCTACTCGGGAGGCTGAGGCAGGAGAATCTCTTGAACCTGGGAGATGGAGGTTGCAGTGAGCTGAGATCACACCACTGCACTCCAGGCTAGGCAACAGAGCAAGACTCCATCTCAAAAAAAAAAAAAAAAAAGAAAAGAAAAGAAAAGAAAAACCTCAATGAACTGAAAACCCCCTTTAAACAGGAGCTCCAACGTCAGCATTACAATTTCACTTACATATTCAACAGCCATCTTTCTTCATTACAAATAATAAAGTAGCATCTCTTTCAAATATACAGGTATTGAGTTATATATGCATAAATTAACAGAAACTCAAGTAAAGAAGAAAAATCTATTTAAATCTGCATTAATCTTTTATTGGCTTTTCCACTTGTCATAAACAGTTTGTAACCAGATATATATCATCATACTAAACATCATGTAAAACCTCTCACTCAATAATCCAATTGATATCCAGGTAATATATCCAGTGGCAACAGTTCTCAAATGGGCCATTTTATAACCTAGGCAAAGGTTAATCATCCTTAGCTTCCTAAGTGTGATCTTAACCGAACTCCTGCTGCTTACTAGTGACTTTTGAACAGCATCCTGTTTTATGGTTAGTTAATTATTCTTTACTAAACATTAATGCATCCCAGAACTGGGACCATCAAACAATATGCTGAAAGAGATGTCTATTATCTTTTATTGTTGTTGGACATTTTTTTCACACTTAAAAATTTTTGTTTAGAACATTCTTGTTGAATAGTTAAACTTTATCTGTTCTTTACTAAGTCTTTATTTATATTTGCCCCACCCCCTTCATCCCCAAATGGATTAAAAAGAAGCCTCTAAAATATATAATCCGCTACAATGTAAGCAAATCTAAATAAATTAGGAAATTAAAGAGGAAATAGGAATGGAAAAATAAATAAGAGCCTAGAATGAACTTAGTACCCTAAATGCCCTTCAGGAACTCCTGAACATTTGTTGAAGTTAAACCATAAATTTGGCTCTGAACTGTCTAACAAAAGCGATCAGAGAAATTCATTCATTTGTTTACTTATATGACAAATACTTCACATGGTAGGTGAAAGGCATTTTGTTGGACCTAGGTTATATGGCGTGGGATAACAAAGACTCAGTGTTTCGCCTCGGAGAACTTACCATCCAGCTTTGAAGACAAATTTTAACAGTTAGACATAAGTTATAAATTATGAAAATTCCATAAAGGAAATGAATAGTGTTCTAAGAGAGCAAATATTAGGGAAGATTGAGATCACACTTTAGATGGGGGAGAGTGACATTGAACTTGAAACCTCCGAGTTGCCTCCTGATTTCCATTTCCTCCTTCTTTGTTAATAATAGAATTCCAGTTTTTAAGGAAGCACATTACTGCCCCAATAAAACGTTACATTTTCCAGCTTCCCTTACAGTGGGAGATGACCACGTGACTAAGTTCTGGCCAATAAAATGTAAGTGGAAACACTCTTGGCTTCCGGAAACTGCTTAAAGACAGCAGCTTTGGTTGGGAGAAGCATCGCTTTGTGGTTCCCACTTCTTCCTACTGATGGCTCCAAAGTCCTTTGGACCATGACGGGATCTTGAAGATGAAAGGCATGTCCGAGGGTGGCAGAGAAGAAAGACACATCCAGATGACATTCTAAAGACACCACAGGGACCCTAGATTCCCGCCTGACATAAAAGAGATACAGATGTCTGTCTTGTTTAAGCCACAGTTCTTTGAGAATCACTGTTGTACGTAGCTGAACATAAACCCCAGTGATTCTACAGTGAAGAGATCATCAGACAAAGGTTGAGAAAAGATTCCAGCCAGTGGCCATCATGTTGGAAGGACCATGGCTTTTACTGCAGGAACTGAAAGATAGGTATAAATAAAGTAATGAGTGAAGGGAGACAACACAGGATGAGCTAAAGGATATGCAAGGGCAGACCACTCTGGTTCTGGGTTAGAGTTTATTCTAAATGCTACAAGAAGCAATTGGTTAAGTCAGTGGTTTCCAGACCTTTTTGCTGGCCACTGAATCCTTTCTTCATATAAAATTTATGCAGAAAACAAAAAAGCAGGTCTGCTCTCGTGGAAGCCAGAATCCAAGTCCCCAGAGCCCATGTCCACCTCCCTCTTTGCTCTCATTCCCAAGCCCATAGTAGCTCCTCAGGCAGTCTGGAAGACCCCCCCCTGACTCTTGGGAACACAGTCTCAAAACGATGGAATTATCTTATTCACAGAGTCTGTAAGGTAAACAGGCACTCAGGAGAAACACAAGTCTTTCTAGTACTGAGGCCAGAGAGAAATTTCTCCTGTGGATCTTCACAGAGAGAAGTTTGTAATGGCTTTTTTCGGCTAAAGCTTCATGCCAAGGCACAATTCAGAGAAAGCAATTTTAAGGGTGGGGGACAGGAAAGCAGGGGCTGGAACTATGTAAAACACTGCAGCCCAGATCCTTCACCTTCACTTGGCTTAATCCAGGATAGCCTCAGTCAAGCACTGAGATGCTCATTCTCTCCCCGCACAAATCTCCCTCCATTAAGCTCAGTCTCAGCTGTGGTCAGGACAGCTGCCTGGGAGCCCCCTCTGGTGCTGTCAACAGGGGCTTCTCACAGAGGCGGGCACCTCCCCCTCCAAAGATTTCCATCGCACACTTGTTTGGCCTGCAAATAAATTGGCAACGCAGCTGAATTTAATCTTTTGATTCCCCCTTGAGAACCAGTTTCTCCGAGCCATTCCCACGTAGACAAAAAGATTTTGTCTCACTAAACCTGTTTATTGACCAAAACTGTCGCCTCTGCTCTGACCACTGACCTTATCTGAATATTCAAATCTATTACAGATCGCAAGTTCAAATGATTTTGGTGCCCTCTGGAAGCCCTGTTTTCATAGTGAGCTGATTACGAATGACAATATTATAAAGGCTTTAATTGAGATTCTACAAACAATTTGCACCCTGGATTTACAAACCTAATATATTCAGAAGTGTGAGTGCTGCTGACATTATTATTTTCTTCAGGAAAAGTTAGCCATGCCTTTGTAAACGCTGCCACTTCCTCTAGCCAACGCATTTCTGCCCTCTCCACAATCCCTAACCCTAGTCTGCAAACAATTTTGCAAGGCAGAAAACATCTTTTGCATTCTGATGCAAACCTCGACTGCCCATTCTCCACTGCCTGGGGAGAAAAGTTTGAAACCCCACTCATGTAATGGAAGTAAATGAGTCAGGAACATAGGTTCTAATACTTGCATTAGCACTGCCTTAGGCAAGCCACTTAATTCCTCTTTATCTTACCCTTCTTGGTAATCAAGGGAGGATAAAATAATTCTACACCCAACTCACAAAATTGATGTTTGGAGAGAAGAGAATTAATTGACGTTAAAAGGTTTAAAAAGTCAAAAGGTGCACTTGCAAATGTAAGCTGTTTTTATTAAACAGACATGTTTTTAAAACAATGAAGATACATCTGAGTAAAATGTGAATAGTATTAAGACCTAACATTTACTGAGTACTGTATTACATTTGCCAAGCCCTATGTAAGTGCCTTAAATGCACTATCGCATTGAATCTAGAGAAAATCCCAGTGAGGTGAGTGCTGTTCTTAAGCCCATTTTACAGAGAAGGAAAACTGAGGTTTGGATAAATACATAGCTTGCCTAAAGTCATAGAGCAGGAAACTAAAACTCATTATCACTATACTCTATAGAATTTACAGTATAGATACTTGCAGATTTTATTGGATTTTTCAGCCCCACCAGTAAAAATATCCTGAAATGAGTGGTGTGAACAGCTATTTGCCATATGTCTCTTATAAGGGGTTCAACTCCTTGGTTGATTGATCCTGAGCTGAAATGGCCTTGGTTTTCCCATTTGCTCAGTAAGAGTTTGCTTATCTCAAAGAATTTTGAAGTCCTTGTCTAAGAAGCAACACATCAGAAGGAACCTGTTCATTTCATCACCTTTTTCTAATCTTTGGCAACAAATATGACCTGAAAATCAGTGTAATAATGAGTTAAAAGAACATGGTTAAAGGGAACCTCTAACCTCTTGTATTAATCCAACTTGCAGTGGAAAGCAGAATGTCTTTTTTTCCACATGTGCTGCAGGAGACCTGTTGTTCCAACCAGTAGAAGGAAGTTTTTCCCTTGTCTTCTCTGCTCGAATAAAATCAAGTAAAATTGTTCCAAATCAGCAGGTAAAGTACAAGCCTTCTGAAAGAAATGGCCTGTCCGAGCACTAATATTTCAGAATTCCAAAGTTGAAAACTCACTGTAGGTAATTTATAGCCTAAATTTACTGAATTCCCTTCCAAGACAGCCTATTTAATCAAAGTTAACTGGTGAAAATTATGAAGGCTCTTAATTGAGCTCTCCTACGGTAGGCTTTCAAAACAGCCGTGCAAGCACCACAGAAAATAACAAAATGAATAAACCACACTTTTCTCTAGTTCCATTTTCAAATACGACGTCTGGAATGAAGAGTTTAGATCTCCAGGTGGTGATCTTCATGCATAATATAGTGTTTGTCCTGAATTTCATTGCTTTGAAAAAAAAGGCATGAAAAGTCTTGATTTAGTTGGTATTTAATGTGATTTTTATATAACTTCTGTGATATAATCAGTCGCAATGGGAATCAGTGGGGAAACTTAAAGAGCAGTAAAACCTTCAGCTATTGTTCTTTCTGTGCTCTGATTGGCTTGCTGGGTATACAAAGCTGAAAAATCTCAGTTCACATACACCTACTCTATTTGTAGACAACCATAATGATTGAGTGCGGTCCAGCACCATCCCCTTTCCCAGCCAGCCAGCCAGTCAGAATGCAGGGAAGACAATAGGTATATTGGAACAGCAACAAAGAATGTGTTGCTGTAAATCACGTTCCATTTCTGCATAGCTGGGAATAGTAATGCACAAGCCATAGGCAAGTATATTAATGTCTCTTGCTATCCATAAATGAAAAATCATGCACAACACACTCTTGATTGTTATTGCAACATAGCTTTTTTAGTATTAGATTCTTTGCTTTACTTTTTTAAAAAAGCAAAACGCATGTTTTACTATTATTTAAAAGCATTTTTTCCCTTTCAGTTGAGTCCGTAAGCATTTCTTTCCAGCAGATAAACACATTGTCTTTCCTGAACACTGATTGACTAGCGATGTGTTTGGAACTCAGAGGTATTAAATTTCTGCAGCTTAATGATATCAGAAAAAAGGTATCATATCAACGACCAAGGACTTCCCTACACCTAGTCAATTTGAATTTGGAAAATTGTTAGAACTGCATGGAAACATGAAATGAAATACACTAGCAACACATTACATTTACATGTTTTAAATATGCTTAACCATGCATTTAATTTAGATTTAATGAAATAGTTATTATATGCAACCAAAACATCAGTGTTATTAAAAACAAATTTATAGAGGATTAACAGCTGTGTTACATGTCTATACCTACCTATGCCAAAGTCTTTCATTCTCAATAATGTGTTTTGATCATTAAATTGTATTTATTAAATGTACAGTAATTGAGTAATTCTACTGAGTCAGATTGATTAGGGCACTCCTTGGAGTTTGGATAAATACCAACTGATAATTTAAACTGTTTGAAATTGGCTCTGGAATCTATATACCAACTTTTTGAATATTTATTTCATGTTTTAAGATTCATAATCAGTCAGTATGAGGCTAATAGAACTGCAATGTGAATTCTAAGCTGTGTATCTATAGGATACATTTATCATTATTATTGATGATCAGAAAAGACATCAACATTCAGCAAAGGTTAAAATATTTTTTCATTGAGTTTTCTTTTTCTTTCTCTCCACTTTTCTGTAGGAAGAGTAATTTTTGAAAAGGCTACAGTGGGGAAAAAAAGCAATGAAGAACAAATTGCTGTACATGAAGTTTCATTTTTGAATAGCTAGGGAAATTAATTCACTTGACTGCAACTGGTTCATTACTACCCCCAGCTACCCAAAAATGAAATATCACGTATGGTACCGTCTTTGCCCCATAGGTCATAATACTATAGTGATCACAGCAGGGCTGGGCTCGATTATGGAAAATGAGACCCCAGTCAATGCTCTCAAACACCCCCTGCCTGCCAAGGAGCTATCTGGGTGCCGTACTTGTGTTTACCTATTACCATGCTTTTATTTCATTACTTTGGACTTGCGGGATGCTATAAAAGGAGACAGAATTTTGGAAGGTTCTGGAAGCTCTTACTAATGAATGCTGTGTTTAGGGAGACTTTCCTCCTGCATTCTTGGAACAAATCATTTATGCCTTCCTTCCTTAACCTAAATTCTATGGCATATTCTTAAATTCCCCACCAATAGAAGAGAGGGAGAAAGCAAATAAGGAAATGAACAGCCTTCTACCTGCAACTGGAAGCACTGTCTCTCCAAAAGCCACCTGCCTTTGTTGCTTCACCTGTCTTGGGGTGAATGAAGAATAAATTTGTGGTCAGGAATTTTTGCCTCATTTCACTCCATCTGCTTTCTCAGCAGTTTCTTTTTAGGACACTGCAGTCATCCTACCTCCAGATTATCACTTTTAAACATAATCTTTACCATTAATTGAATATTTAATATTTTCCAGGCACTGGCATTATCTCATTTAATGATTATAGTAAACTGTAAGGTAGACAGTGACAAGACCTAACACTGACTGAGCAACTTTTAGGTACCAGGCACAGTTCAGATAATTTTTGTTCTCTGAATTCACATATTCCTACCAACTGTATGAGTTTGATACTATTATCAACCCTGTTTTAAAGATGAGGAAACTAAAGCCTCAGAAGGGTTCAATAAACTTCCCTACATTGCAAAGTTAGTATGGAGAAGATCCAGGCTTTGGACTAAAGCCCCAGAAGGGTTCAGTGAATTTCCCTACATTGCAAAGTTAGTATGGAGAAGATCCAGGCTTTGGACTGAAGCCCCAAAAGGGTTCAGTGAATTTCTCTACATTGCAAAGTTAGTATGGAGAAGATCCAGGCTTTGGACCCAGGCAATTTGGCTCCTGAGACTATACAAGGAGTTGCTATTCCTTTTTAAAAAATGAGGGACACAGATTCAGAAAGGTTGGAAGAGCTGCCCAAAGTCACACAGTGAGTTTGATAGTGTTAAAGCTGGAATTCAATCCCAGGTATGCCTGACTCCAAATACAAAGCACTTAACCCACCAAGCATGCACATTATACTCCTCCCATCCCCCATTTATAGGGGTAGTTATCCATTTGAACTCGCCTGTTTGTACATCCATTGCCCCAAGGACTAGGATTATGTCCTATTATCTGTATCTCCAGCAACCTGAATGTAACAGGTCCCTGATTCTTAGTAGATGCTCAATAAACATTTATGAAACTGACATAATCAAGGCCTTTCATGACCCCCATCTGCTACAGGCAGGGTTAATTATTTTTCATATACATGTTCTCACTGGCTTGCCTTCATTGCTTTGTGATAACACATTCTTCACTAAACTGTAAGTATACATAAATATAGCATAGTCTCATCCATTAGATTGGGAGATAGCTTAGGGCAGAAAAAGTGTCTTGTTCATCTCAATATCTTTACTACCTAGCACTGGGACTGGCATATGGTAGGCATTTGTGATACAGATTGTGAGCTACTGCTCTGAAATCCCTCTCCTTTTCTGCCTGGACACTACTATACTTCCCAGCTTTCCTTGCATTTAGGTACAGCCATCTGACTGAGTTGTAGACAGTGGGTTGTGAGAAGGCAAGACATGGGCTATTTCTGGGCCAAAGCAATTAAGAAATGGGTACGCATCCCCCTGCCCTTTTCTTTTCTACCAATAGGATTCACGTAACAAGAATGCCTTAGAGGATAGTGAAGCCACAAAAGGGAAGGGGTCTGAATCCCTGAATGAGTGCATGGAAGAGAGCTGCCTGCTGACCAGGAATACCAGGACCTATTACATGAACAAGAAGTAAATTTCTATTCTGCTTGATCATTATATATTTTGCATCTATTTGTTACTGTAGCTAGTGTTATCCCAACCAATACACCATTTATCAGTGATAAATGATAAATACTAATCCTCAATATCAGCATACTGTTTTTAGTTGGAAGAGAAGACAATCCCATCTGCTTAAGAGTAAAATATGTAGTTTTTTTTAAATGTTATTTCAGGAGAACAACATCATTATTACACCAGGGTCTTTGGGTACCTACCTAAGCTAATGTACAGCAGGAATCAGCTTTACTTTCCCTTTGAGAAAATGTATTTTTCTTTTCTTTCTTTCTTTTTTTTTTTTTAGACAGAGTTTTGCTCTTGTTGTCCAGGCTGGAGTGCAATGGCATGATCTCAGCTCACCGCAACCTCCGCCTCCTGGATTCAAGTGATTCTCCTTCTGCCTCCCAAGTAGCTAGGATTACAGGCATGCACCACCAAGCCTGACTAATTTTGTATTTTTAGTAGAGACGGGGTTTCTCCATGTTGGTCAGGCTGGTCTCGAACTCCCAACCTCAGGTGATCCGCCCGCTTCGGCCTTCCAAAGTGCTGGGATTACAGGCGTGAGCCACCACACCCGGCCAAAAATGTAGTTTTCAAACAGGCAGGTGATTTGTCCAATGCAGTACAACAGATTGGTGGGAGAGCCTAGTCCAGGCCTCCTGAGTCCCAAGTTGTATCAGTAAGAAAGTAAACAGCTGATTGCTAAGTGTAGTGTAAAAAAAAAAAAAAAAAAAAAAAACTTTAGTCATTTTTGCTTTGGGGTTAATTTTTATATTCCTCTGATGTGAACACAGACTCAGGTCAAAGCTCAATTTACTGACTATTATTTTTTGGTCCACTTTTTAGAATATCTTGTCATGGAAAGCAAATGTGCAGTTACATCTCAAGAAATGGTGCTTTTCCAGACAGCAGCTAAAGTTAGACTGTGTTGTTCATATGTGATGCTGTACATTTATTTTATGTTTAGAATAACTTTACATTTTATTGCAAAACAAATGTGCACTTGTTATAGAAACTTCAGAAAATAAAAATGAAGGGTGGGCATGGTGGCTCACACCTGTAATCCCAGCACTTTGGGAGGCCAAGTCAGGCAGATCACCAGAGGTCAGGAGTTTGAGACTAGCCTGGCCAACCTAGTGAAACCCCATCTTTACTAAAAATACAAAAATTAGCCGGGCATGGTGGCGGGTGCCTGTAATCCCAGCTACTCAGGAGGTTGAGGCAGGAGAATTGCTTGAAACCGGGAAGCGGAGATTGCAGTGAGCCGAGGTCACACCATTGCACTCCAGCCTGGACGACAAGAGGGAGACTCCGTCTCAAAAAAAAAAGTAAAATGAAAAAAAAAGAAAAACAAAGTCACCCATATGTATAGTATATGAGATATATTTGACCAAAACAGGGTCATTCCATATTCCATATTCTCCTACAACCTCAATTTTCAATGACTGCACAGTGTTGTGCTACAAGAATGTATCAGTATTTATTGACTGAGGCCTTACACGTCTCAGCTATCAGTAAAACAGAACCACAGTTTAGAGTCAGGGCAATGAAAGCCGTAGACATAGCAGTTTTATTCTTTCATTGATTCATTCATTTAACAAACATTATTTGGGTACCCACTTGGTGCCAGACATTGTGCTAACTGCTGGAGCACCTACAATCCAAGAGACTCATGAAGCTTCTCCTTGCCAGGGCAGAGTTCCTGCAGGTCAAAGTAACTGTGATATAACAACATGCTGTTGCCCCACCCCACCTTCTTCACCCTTCTTTCAACACAGCCAGTGTTATATGGAGAATGTAGAGGAACTCAAGAGAAAGAGAGGCGCTTTTTTTTTTTTTTTTTTTTGCTAAGCGTCATATGTTCATATTAAGTAGATAAAGCCCAAGAAACAGCAAAAATACGTTACGTTGCATTAGTTCTCATGATTTTTCCTTTCCTCGCTGCCCTTGCCTGTCTTCCCTGTGGCTGAAATATACTCCCTACTCCTTTGACATTGCATTTGGCCATGTGACCAAAAGGGATGTATGCAGAAGTGACAGTGTTCTAGTTCCAAGCAGAGGCTTTAAGAAACACAGCATGTTTTTGGCTGGGCGTGGTGGCTCACACCTGTAATCCCAACACTTTGGGAGGCCGAGACGGGCGAATCACTTGAGGTCAGGAGTTCAACACCAGCCTGGCCAACAGGCTGGTGAAACCCCATCTCTACTAAACATACAAAAATTAGCTGGGCGTGGTGGCATATGTCTGTAATCCCAGCTACTCGAGAGGCTGAGGAACGAGAATTGCTTGAACCCAGGAGGCAGAGGTCGCAGTGAGCCAAGATCACACCACTGCACTTCAGCCTGGGTGATGCAATGAGACTCTGTCTCAAAAACAAAGAAAAGAAAAGGAAAGGAAAAGAAACACAGCACATTTCTCCCATTAAGAAATGGGTATCATCTCTTGTGTCCTGCCCTACACCATTAGAAGAGCATGCTTTCGACTGGCAACTGTTGCTCCTACACTCTGAGTCCTAGAATGAGGAACACGTGGAGCTAACCTGCACCTACCTTGTAGCTGGACGCAGAGCAGTCCCAGGGAGCCACGGACCTACAACCAAAAAATAAAATGTTTGCTATTGCAAGTCATTGATATTTTGGGCTTGTTTGTTATACCAAATTATCATAGCAATCACTGACTAATACAGAACAGTTCAAAATAAAGTGTTCAGTTGTGAAGGTCTATCTGAAATGTCGTGAACTCTAGGAAGAGTTTAAAGATTCTCCCACATCATCTCTTTGCCTCGCCTGTTGGAATCGGAATCAATCTCTCCTTTGTGCTTCCTTAGTATTTTGCTTGTGTCTCTGTTATAGCTGACATTTACCAAAGCCTGCTTTTTGTACACATTTAGTTGTATATGTGTCTATTTTTCCTCCTGGAACATAAGGTACTTTTTTGTTTTTGTGAGTTTTTGAGGGCAAGTACTCATCACAGTGTCTAATGCCTGGCATGCAGTAGATGTCAAGAGTATTTAATTGAATGAATGAAGGAGGTCTTCAGGAAATGAGGGTGGGTGTAATGAAACTGAACAATGGCATGTTAGCCTAACCTTTGAGATGCACCATGGTGTACAAAGGCAAGTACAGAAACTGCATCATTTTGGCAAGGGTGGGAAAGAATAAGCAGAAATTTAAACCAAGACAAGTTATAAAGGAGACAGCATGCTATCAGAGAAAGAGGAAGCTCAGTAACCAGTAGTCATGAGACCTACGTTCTAGTTCTGAATTGGATCCTGGACAGCTGTTTTCCCTTAAGAAGTCCCTTAACCTCTCTGGTCCTCATTTTTTTTCACACATAAGAAAAAAGAATGATACTTTTACTCACAAAGATCAGAAAAATCTTTGTGAAAGATCAGAAAAATCTACAGTACAAAGATCCAGAAAAAGGTACATACATGACAGAAAAGCAGCTTATTTTTTTCTAGGAATAGAGCCTATATTTCGTCTAACTCCAGGAAGCCAAAGGATAAATCATTAAATGACCACACAGGTTCATATTGAATCATTATAGGAGTTGCTCACTCACAGTGATTACTGTTTTGTGCTGCCTGTTTTTCATTAACGGAAAGCAAAAAACTGAACATTTCTAATGTTTTGTTGCCAGGAACTCTATTAAAATTGATATTTATTTTTACTTATTTTATCTTCCAGGCAAACTTAATTCCTCCTCTCATTTCCCTCAGTCATAGTTGTTAGTTATTATTGTACTTTGACATAGTACAATGGTGCCCTCAGAAGACAGTTTTTTTCTGAGACAAAGTTTTGCTCTTGTCACCCAGGCTGAAGTGTAGTGGTGTAATCTCGGCTCACTGCAACCTCTGCCTCCTGGGTTCAAGCAATTCTCCTGCCTCAGCCTCCTGAGTAACTAGGATTACAAGCACAAGCCACCACACCTGGCTAATTTTTGTATTTTTTTTAGTAGAGACAGGGTTTCACCACGTTGACCAGGCTGGTCGGAACTCCTGATCTCAGATGAGCCGCCCACTTCGGCCTCCCAAAGTGCTGGGATTACAGGTGTGACCCACCATGCCCGGCCCCAGAGGATAGTTTTGTAGACCTTTCTGCCCCAAATGAAGTGGTCCCATAGTACTGTACTTTTAGTTCTTATTTCTTGTTTTACAGTTTTCCCATCTTGCTTCCCCACTGGTAGGCTACCTTTGTCAATTCTAATGGCCATCAGTAAGAAATGACAGCTGCCTCTTCCTGCATGTCAGGCTGCTACCAACCAACTTTCTGCATCAAATCTACTTGGAATTATATGTCAAATGGAATAAATAATACGGAGAAGAGCCTAAAGATGCCTTCCACGGGGCTCAGTGAATGACATTTAGTGCACAGACTTTGTTGCAGCTACTTTGGGGACTCAGTCTTTTAACCTCTGTATTCAAGTTTCTGTCTGTGTTTCAGAGGGCTAAGATTGTTAATGGAATAATATCCTAACAAGCAAAGCTCTATTCTAGTTCTTTACTGAAAAAGAAAACAATCTGGGAGACACATCTCTAGATAAGATGGTATAGATACAATACCTTTTAAAAGTTATTATTATTGTTGTTAGTGTTACTATTGCTTTGTAATCATTTTGCGGGGCTGTGTATGCTGTGGAAAGAGCACTGGATTGGGAGTCTAGAGTTTTAGGTTCTAGCCTCAACTCTATTAAGTGACTTCAAGAAAATGACTTACCCTCTCTGGGTCTCAGTTCCCTAATCTCAAAAAGTGAAAGGATTCAACAGGATGATCTGTGAGCCTCTATGTTCTATGAATCTACATCAAGGTACCCAGACTATTGCTTGGCAATAACTGCAGTATGTCTGGAAATAGACTTCACTTTATGGCTTTGGCCTTCGTGGTTTGCTCTAACTTGAGTATTCGTTTGATAGCCAAATTCTTAACACCATTTTCTGGTCCCTTTACTGTTTCTTTTTATAATGATTTTGTCCTTAATTTGGACTTATTTCAAGGAGAAAGATGTTAACTATTTAAAAGTGATGGGATGTTTTAATCTGGGCTGGAAAGCCTGTTCTTTGAGAATGGCTTAATTAACATTTCCAGGTTCATAACATTTTCATTTATTCATCTTTTTGTTTTTAAATGGTTTTTTAAGTTTTCCAGAGACGGCAATCTCATGTTCCTAATAGATTATAAGAGAGAGAGTAGGTCTGCTGGGATCTGCATTCTTATTAGGTTTAAGATTCACATTAGGAAAAAAAAAAAAAAAAAAGGAGCTTAAGCAGAATAGGTCCACCATGCTAATAAAAAAGGAAACAGAACTTTAATTCTATACAAGATAATATGTTCAGATAGTCAGGCAAAAAGCAGATTCAGTGACCTTGAAACAGGACAAATATTTTTCCTCCCTGAGCTCATTCTCAGCAGGGGAAACCATGTCTTATCCTTCTTCCCACAGGGCCCCAGCAATGCAGAGAGACTTGCCCTGTAAAGGAGGACAGAGAGTTACTGAGACAGAATGACAGAAGCTAAAACTCACAGCTGGGTGGCCTTTCGTGACTTGGGGGATAGTTGGCCATCAGAAATTGGGGTAAGAAGGAAACACATCTGGCACTGTGCTCTGCATGTGATGGGTACCCCAAATACAAATTAAATTCAATTAAATAAAAGAATATTGGACAAGGTATCAGGAGGCCTGCCCCACACCCCTTCCTCACCCCCAAGTCCTGTGCTATGGATAACAGCAGTAAGCTCTTGGATAAGGACTTTCCAGTTTCTGGTTCTATTTCCACATCTGCAAAATGGGACTATCAACATGAACCCAACATACTTTGTGAAATGGTTGTCGTGACTGATGCACCAGATGAACATAAAAGGTCTACATTTTAATATGATCAGCTGACAATATAACCTATTTCTGGCCTCTTGTAAAGATCATAAAGATTTTTATGATCGTGATAGCTGCTGAGCCTAAGAAAGAGGAGCAGTTAGTAACAAAACACTATATACTGCTTTGTTCATTTTGGAAAAATGGCTTGAATCCGCCTTTGCCCTTGTCTTCAGCAGTTCTGTAAAGAATTAGAAAGGGCTGAGGCAGGTGGATCACCTGAGGTCAGGAGTTTGAGACCAGCCTGACCAAGATGATGAAGCCCCGTCTCTACTAAAAAATGCAAAAATTAGTGGGGTGTGGTGGCAGGCACCTGTAATCCCAGCTACTCGGAAGGCTGAGGCAGGAGAATCGCTTGAAGCCAGGATGTGGAGGTTGCAGTGAGCTGAGATCATACCATTGCACCCCAGCCTGGGTGATAGAGCAAGCCTCCGTCTAAAAAAAAAAAAAAAAAAAAAAACATTAGAAAGGGATGAGACTATCTTGCCAAGTCTCTTATAGGCCTCAGAGTTGGCGTCTGTGGAGTTTTTCCCTGAGTCACCCTCTCTGGGAGTGACAATCAGGAAAGTTCCCCAGAAACACTACTGTGGCATGGTTGACTCTCAGGCTCTTGGCAGAAGAAAGCATTATGTGTGGGGATCAGTCCTAAGTGGCAATTTGTCATGTCTTTACTCTCCAGAAAATGACCCAATTTTGCAAGAACAGGGAATGTGTTCAGAGAGTGGGAGAGTATTTCTAAAGTCACAAGCCAAACATGCAAGAACTCCAGTTATTCACAGGCACTAGATAATTAAAATGCCCTATTGTCTATTAGCTTTAATGCCTGATGCATTTTCCTTGTAGGTGAATTTAAGGGTTAAGCCATCCCAACATGCCTCACTCCCAATTTATAAAATGGAAAATCTTCCATAAATCAAAAGTTACAAACAGACTTTGTAATGTCATAACTCTTGCGACGGCTCTCACCTTGATTGATTCCTATACATACATTCTGGCTGATTACCGTAATGTGCTCTTGTGGGACAATTGGCACCGGATGGGGAGAAAGAAGCAGGCAGGGAAGTAAATAACAAATGGACCTGGCTCCTCCTCATCGAGAGTGATTTCACTCCAATGTTCCATCATATCAACTGGGAAAGAGAGTCGTAGGGTTTAGGCAATCAATTACAGATATGTGTAGAGGCAGACACAATCATTTCACTGACTGTCACCAGTCTCGAGCAGTGACACCGAAAAGTGATCCGTCACTCGATTTTCTCTGACACCCTGAGAAAGATGGCAGACACTTGTAGACTAACAGGCCCTGGATTGGTTAGCTTATAAAATTGAAAAATCGCTGTGTTTCAAACTTATCCAAACCTTTAAATACCTCTGTTGCTAAGATTTCATATCTTTCTGGCAAACATTTAGAAAGATTACCAATAGGCTAATGACATCATGCCAGAGTGGAAGGTACCGTCTCTTATCACTGCAATTGATGGCGTCACTGTATCCAACAGGAGGGTTGGAAGGGTGATGGAGTAAGAAGGAAACAGCTACTTTCCTTCAACATGGGGATGTGGCAGACACCACATTGGATGTGTTCCACCTGCTAGGACAATTGGTGGGAGGACCCCCAGAGGGTTGATGACCCCCTGCCTCTCTCCCACCCACATTTCCAGAGCCCTCAGCCCACCAAGTTTGCAGCCACTGGAGGCCTGGACTTAGTCCTCTCCCATTCAGCATGATTTCCCTGAGTTGCCCAGCCTTTGCCAGGTGGGATTCTACATTGTCTACACTGCAGTGACGGCAGCCTTCTTTCCATGAGAGTCAGTCCATGACAAGTAAAAATGTTTACGGCCTTTGTCTTTCTTTTCATTTAAAATGAAAATAGTTTCATTAAGACCCATGGGTTCAAAAGAAAAAAAGGGCTGAACCCAGTGGTTCATGTCTATAATCCCAGCACTTTGAGAGGCCGAGGCAGGAGGACCACTTGAGCCCAGGAGTTCGAGACCAGCCTAGGCAACATAGCAAGACCCTATCTCTACAAAAAATAAAAAAGAAGAAGAAAAGAAAAGAAAAAAATTAGCCAGGCATGGTAATGCATGCCTGTAGTCCCAGCTGCTCAGGAGGCTGAGGCAGAAGGATAGCTTAAGCCTGGGAGGTTTAAGGCTGCAGTGTGCCATGATCATACTACTGAACTCCAGCCTGGGCAACAGAGTGAGACTCTATCTCAAAAAAAAAAAGAAAAGAAAAGAAAAGAAAGAAAGAAAGAAAAGAAAAGGAAAGAAAAAGAAATCAAAAAAAGTATTTTCTTACACATAAATGAGATATTTAATTAAATTATAGAATGTCATTGAGAAGATTGGCACTGTCTTTGAACCCTTAAAATATTAATATGTGAATATATTTGAGAAGTGGCAACCAGAGGCAGCTTTTTAATCTTTTGTCCGGAGGTTAGGCTGCAGACCATTTCCTGAGAACAGGCAGGCTGCATGTGGGACCTCCACAGCAAGGGATGACGGACAGGACTTCTTCCTATGGCAGCCACCTCTGTGGAAGCTCCACTGTCTCCCAGCTGCAGCCTAAACTAATATTTCTGCCAGGTGCTTAAGAAAGGTAAAAGTCCGTTGAGGCACCCTTCTATCCAAAATCCCACACTGCAAAGTCTTCCAGAAAGAGACTGAGAAGACCTGAAGATGCCATCAGCACCTTCACTGAAAGTGACTCAGCCCATATCTGCCATTTCTTCTAGCACTCGGAGTCTCTGCCAGCCACCCAGGCACTATCCCTTCCATCAGCATATTTTCTCTTGGCACTGGAGGGTCTAAAACGAACCCAGCACAGTCGCATAGTCCCAGACTTCTCCGTGTAAATCACCAAGAAATATGACGACCTTCTGCAGAAATGATGTTCTGCATTTCAAAGTTCATCCACTGCTAAACTAAATCAGGGGCAGCAGTCTGGTTCTCTGCTGGGTTCTCAAATCGCTTGACTCTAAGCCCCCTTAAATCCTTTCGCTCACACTGGCTAGCCCCTTGTAAACTGCCCTTGGCGGTGAGAGAAGGTCCCCCTCACGCTTACTGAGTGTTCACTGGTCCACTTTCCACTTTTAAAAGGGCCAGAGAGCAGGTACCTGGAAATGATTTTAAAAGGACTACTGATGTTCCTATGGCACTCTGTACTTCTCAAAGAGCTTTTGTGTCTGTTAGTTCATTTGACTCCTGAGAAAAAGGCCCCTGGAAGTAGCTGAGCATCCTAAGGACAGAGAAACAGAGATAGTAAGGGAGTTACTCAAGGTCATACAATGTGTTAGCAACAGTCTAGATTTTTGGACTCACGCTGTGCTAATCTTGCCCCCTAAAAAGAAGAGGCATGGTGAAAATAGTATTAGTAATGGCAATAATTGTCATAACCTTCTGAGCACCAACTGAGTGCCAGGCCCTAGCTGAGCCCTTCATCCACATCACTGTATTTGACACTTTCCACCCTCTTTGGGTCCCTCTTGCTAAACTCATAAAATCCTTAGAACCTCTCTGTATACTATGCAACTCCAGCCTGCTGACTTCAGGGAAGGTTCTGGCACTGCCAGTAGTTTGACCTCAGAGTTGGAAAACAGGTCAAAAATCTGAGCATCGCCGAAGAATTCAGAGTAGTTGCAGAAAGCCCTAGAAGAAAATCTTTAAGAAAGTACAGAACTCTCATAAAATGCTATGGGCCTGGAAAATGATTTCATAAGTTATTTCGATGGCAAAAATGTATGAAACAGAATTGACTAATTCATAAATAACTTCAGAGTCTCATCTATTATTTCTCACATCATAACTTACAATGGAATAATTGTTTCTAATTCTGCTGAGTATTTTCTCATGCTTTTTGGTCCCCTTGGTAAATCTTATTAGTTGGGTAACTCCTAAGACATTGTAGCTTTCTTCTATGATGATGAAAACAAGTAAATATTAATAGCAATTTGTTTTTAGTACTATGCAGCATTAATTTCACCACTAGAACCTCTTTTTTTTTTTCTTTTTAATTTCTCATCTCAGGGAAAATCGGTTGAAATTCCCCCAAAGAAGGGCTTACAGGAAAATACAACAAGAAAACTCAGTGTCCTGTGATCTTATACAAATCTCAACTTACATTTTATTTACTATATACATTACTGCAAACCAATATGAACCATAACTCCATTTAGATAATAATAATCAAATTATCCAACCTGGGATAGCATGTTTTATAGATTTTGGTCTAAATTTAATATAAAAATGCAGTAGTCCTTGTTTGGAAGAGTTTATTAAGGGTTAGCAAAGAAAAAGCTTTTTCAATAGTCTATAACTCTCTAATGGCCTTTTTCAAATAAAATGGGAAAGAATTTGAAAAGAAACCTATATCAGTGAGCTGCAATTGTAACATTACAGTACAGGTCTATAAATCTTGACATGCTCAGAAGATTGCCTAAACCAGCAATACAATCTGTCCAAACCTCATTGTCTCCACGACCAGCCAGCCTCATTTTAAGAAATGTATGTGGTCTTCAACCTAATTTTATCACCTTCATTTGTAAACTAGTCAATCAATCAAAGCATCCTGGGAGTCTAAATAGAAAAAGGAGTGCATTTTCATGCATTCTGGGCGACAGAGTCAAAAATTAATCTCCACTTGATCAGACATTTCTTGCCCTCATCTCAATAGACCATCATTAGGGTCAGCAGTGTATATTAAAAATAGAGTTACCGCAAACAGTTCACCAGCTGGAGTTTGCCGGCTGCCTGCCCTTTCCTCAGAAAGCTTCCTCCTCTGTGTGAGCCTGAATATGTTCACCAGATTCATCTGGAAAGAAGCAGGCTGGAAATAAAGTTAGGAAAGAAAACGCCTGCCACCCTCGGGAAACAGGCATTGCTTCCCAAGTGCCTGGACCTGCAAAACACTCCAAGTGAGATTGTTACAGAGAAAATATTTCCTAAATGTATATTCATAAGGATCAGGCCCAGGTATTCTCTACACACTGGGGGTAAGGGCAGGAGCTTGCCCCAGGGCAGGACTGATAAATCCGGGAGGAAAGGCAGAGTGTGGCTGGGGCTCCAGGACAATGTTGGTTTGGAGCTGTCTTGATTTTCCTCCCCGGCTTACCATTCTTCAGGGTTTCTGCTCGTCAGGCCAAGGCGTCTCTTTTGGGTAAGGCCACAGTGGCACTTCTTTCCAGGCAGTGACTCTACCAGGTGCCTCCTTGGATCTCTGGCTCCTAAGGAAAGAATGACTAGATTTCTCCCTCGATACGTATTTATTGAAGGAAGGGAGTTGGCTGATAGCAAATTGATTTTCATGCCATGAACCTGGGAGCCATTCTTCGCATCTCTCTTTCCCGACATCCACATTCAGAGCATCAGGAAATCCACTTGGCTTTACCTTCAGAGTCTAACCAGAAGCTGACCACTTCTCACCTCCTGCACTGCTACCATGCTGTTGTGAGCCCCCATCCGCTCTTGCCTATCTTGTAATAAATAGCACCTACTAGGTCTTTCTGAGCCTACCCTTCCTCCTACTGTCAACACAAAAGCCAAAAGTGATTCTTTCATAACATAAATCAATCTACTGCTCTGCTCAACCCCTTCGGCAGCACCCATTTCATTGAGAGTAACAGCCAATGCCCTTTAAATGGGCTACTTAACTGAAGGCTAAGAAAATGATACTTATTACTTAATGACATTTACTCTGAGCCCAAGATTTCCCTATAATTACCTCAGTTTGTATTCCCATGCCACTGATGACATAGCTGATATTATTAATAATCGAACCATATATTGAGCACATTCTGTGTACCAGGCAATGAGTTAAGTACTTTACTTTCTTTATCCAATCTCTCTATAAATGGGGGGCATGCGGGACTCACTGAAGTTCAGGGCTTTCTGCCATTGTAGACATGGAAGTTGTTTACTTACATAGGCTAAAAAAGAACTGGTGTGATGTATAGCAGAAAGAACATAAGCCTTATGTTCAAATCCTAGCTCTACCAACTTGGGACTGGAATGACCTCAGACAAGTCATTTAAGCTTCTCAAGCCTGGGCCTCCTCACCTCTAACATGAAGTTGGGCTGCTATAAGGATTAAATGAAATAAGGCATAAAAAATGGCCACAATGTCTGGCACAGTTTCTGGTACTCCATAAATGTTCTCTTCCTTTTGCCCTGTTTGCCAGCCCTAAACAAAATTGAGAAGTGAGTGAGTCTGTGTTTAGTAAGATTTCCTCAAAACATCCACAAAGGGGCTTTACCTTGGGACAATCAAAGACAAGTTTATTTTAAAAGAATTAGAGACATCCGCAGTTTAAAAGGTAGAAGGCAATGCATCTCATTAAGGAATGGACCCCTCATCAGTGGAGACAGATGGCCTTCCAGGGCCCCTCAAACTCATGCCATGTGGGCACCTGCCAGTGGCCTCCATGGATTCTACTCAGAGAGGCTGTCCTGTCTGCACACTCTTTGTGGATAGCTGCCTATTTCTCCCTTGAGGGCAGGCTCTCACCCAGTGACCACTACACCCCAGTCTTGCACTAACTGTGTCATTAAAACCCACAATTTCCTATTAAGCTCTAGTTCCATGGCCACCAATTCCATAAACATCAGAAAAGCTTTGATGGAAGTCTAGATACTGTCTCCGAAATCCCACTCATTTACTCACTCTCTGCTTCATTTATTTGAACATTTATTGAGCATGTGATGTGTGCCAACAGCTGTGCTGGGTTCTGGGGATCTGAAGTCTCAGCCTTCAGGAAGGTGCTAGACTAAAATCAGTTTTCCCTAAGTGTTGTGTGTGTATCTCTGGTGGTGGTGAGATGGTTAGAGACAGCATAGCCATCAATTTTTTTTTATTTAAGTAGCTAAGTATTTCTTTTAATATGTATTAGAAAAAAACATATAACTAATTATTCATGCTCATTATTGCTGGAATAGTATTCTTTAGGGCTATGCAAACAAAAAAATGAGCTGAATCAGAGTAACCAATGAAAGAAAATAACATATAGAGGATGCATGAATATGGAGAAATTGTATGAGAAATGCTAGTGTAAAGTGAAAGATACATGAACATCCAGAACACAAAGTGGTACAGGCTGGGCCATGGACTGTACTTAGGGCAAATAAGCCCAGGGGTGGGGAGGGGATGGGAGGAAAGAAGGCAGTCACTGCTGTCAGGGTGGGGAGTGGAGCTGGGGGAAAAGAAGGGACAAGTGGAGATGAGGAGTCCAGGTAGGCCAGCTTCTCCAGGAGGTAGCAGGTGCACTAGACTTTGAGAGAAGGTATGAGTTTTCTAAATAGAAATGAGAAAAAAAGGCACTCCAACTAAATGGGGGACCAGGCTGAAGCTCTGAGAAAGTAAATTGTTTGCCTATGGTCAGACAGCCAGTAAAGAGGCTCGAACCCAGGAGTGACACATTCTCAAGTAGTATGTAACAGTGGTTAGGAGTGTGAGCCTTGAAGTTGGAAGGAGCATGAGGTCAAGTTTTGGCTCCACCATTTATTAGTTGTGAGCCTTTTGACAAGTTGATTAGTTGCCTTGAGTCTGAAATGGGAATAATCATAATGTCTCTCTCCTAAAGATTTTTTGGTGTAGCATTACATGTGATAATGCAACTAAAAGTTATTAGGGCTATGTAGCACATAGTAAGTGCACAATGAATGTCAGGGATCATTCTTCTTAATATTAGGTACTTACTTATTCCATTGCATGCTATTGCCTCCAGAGTGAATTATCTCATTAGACTTTGGTACGGTGCAACGCCTGGCACAGGAAAAGGTATAACAAATATCTGTTGATTTGTTGAACGAATAAGTGAATGAATAAATAAATACATGTCTATTTATACGTGGAATTAACTGGATAATACAAATACTCCCCTTTTCTTTGTAATGTTTGAGAATACAATCTAAAAAATCAAAAACAGATGTATTTAAAAACTTATATATTGTAATAATCTCTGCAGATGATTTCAAATATTGTCAAATTTTTCAAATAACTTGAAACCTTCTAGGGCAAAAACCACAAGAACATTAAAAATATCAGTGGCTGCCACAGAGGTGGCAGGGGTGGTTGAGGGAAGGGATAAATAGGAGGGATGTAATGGTAGACACAGGACATTGTACCTTTGTCAAAACCAATAGAACTGTACAATACAGAGAGTGACCTCTAATGTAAGCTATGGACTTTAGTTAATAATAATGTATCAGTACTCGTTCACCAATTGTAACAAATGTACTACACTAATGGAAGAAGTTAATAATAAAAGAAACTGTGGGAGCAGATTATGTGAATGCTGTACTTCTTCTGCAATTTTTCTCTAAACCCAAAATTGCTCTAAAAACACAAAACCAAACAAACAAGCAAGCAAACCCTCTAGGGACTAAAAGAGATGATACAGGAAGACAATACTTAGACTCCACTGAGTCCCAGAGAGGAATCTCAGCACAGGCTGGCTCAGAAATGAAAGAGGGGAGTTTGTTGCCGCTGTGGTCTGTAACAGAAGCTTGCACATGAAATAAGAGAGGCCACAAAAAGATGTGTGCCCATGCCTGACAGATGAGCCAAGAATGCTTGTGCTTAATGTATTGGAGAAATTTTTCAAGGACAAGCCGTCCTCGTGTGAAGATTACATTAGCCATCATGCCAAGGTCAGCAAGACCTAGTGATGGAGCCTCTCCTATAGGTGCAGGCAGAGATGGACCGCTTGGAATGGGTGGCTCCAAGTCTTCAGGGGCTTGAATCTGAGCAAGTTCCCTCTCCCTGTACCAGAAGGCTCCCTGCTTTTGCAATGGAGCCTCCTTGAAGTTACGAAGTAGACTGCCTTCCTATCAGGGTGTTGGAAGCCCTCAGTTGGGTTGGATTACCACACACTATCAGGTAGCCAGGGCTGGCACCATGCACCTACAATGATGGCCATTCCTACCTCATCTGTACCTCAATTCAGGCTTCTGTCTTCTCTTGTCTGGGATATTCCTCTTGTCTGTTATGGATACACAACAACACTGCTATTTCCCTTTCTGGTCTTATTCATTCATATATTCATCCTTTATTTCTTATTTTTCTTTTTAATGAAGGTATCCCTGCATATAGTGAAATGCACATCTCTTCATTGCACAGTGTGGTCAGTTCTAACAACTGCATATACCTATATAACCCACATTCCTTTGAAGATTTCCATCACCCCAGAAAGTTCCCTTCTGCCCCTTCCCCAATCAATCCCCCTTCTACCCTAGAAACAACCACAGTTCTGATTTCTCTCACCATACATTAGTTTTGCCTTCTCAACTCTGTATGCCCACCAGGAAAACTCCTTATTAATCCTTCAAAACCCAGCCAGATATTACCACCAGAATTTATTACTTCCCTCCCTGGGCTCCCTCAGCAATTTGAGTATTTTTCTTATGTGTCTCTCTCCCCCATTAGACAGTGCACTTGTGAGGAATCATTATCACCATATCTTATTCATCTTTTACAACTAGTGCCTAAAATACAGGAGATATACAATGCATGTTCTTTGAATGAATGATGAAAAATATCTTCCAGAAGAACATCTTTCTTTGCCTTTTTTAAATCCCTAATTCACACAGTGTTTGTTTTTTGTTTTGTTCTTGCATTTTTAAAAATTATAAAACCAATGCAAGCTTACACAGAAGGGTATAAAGTGAACAGTAGAAGTCTGACTCCATAGATTAATTGCTATCTGTAGTTTCCTGTATATCCTTTCAGAGACGTCTATGCATTTGCTTTTACACACTCTACATACCTTCTTGAAATTTCCTTTTTTACATAGAAATATGAAACAACAATAATAATACTTAAAACTAACACATAGCATCTACTATGTGCCAGCTAGTCTGAGCATTTTATATACATATATTAACTTATTTTTTTCCCTCATAATAGTCCTTTAGGCCAAGCATGGTGGCTGACACCTGTAATCTCAGCACTTTAGGAGGCTGAGGCTGGAGGGTTGCTCCCTCCAGGAGTTCAAAACCAGCCTGGTCAATATAGTAAGACCTTATCTCTATGGGAAAAAAAAATGCCAGACATGGTTGTTGTATTAGTCTGTTTTCACACTGCTATAAAAACATACCCAAGACTGTGTAATTTATAAAGAGGGTTAATTGACTCACAGTTCCACATGGCTGGGGAGGCCTCCAGAAACTTACAATCATGGCAGAAAGGGAGGCAGGCACGTCTTACACAGCAGCAGGTGAGAGAGAGCCAGCAAAAGCAGAGAAAACTGCCTCATAAAACCATCAGATCTCCTGAGAACTCACTCACTATCACAAGAACGGCATGGAGGAAACTGCCCCCATGATCCAGTCACCTCCCACTTGGCCCCTACCTCGACACATGGGGATTGTGGGAATTACAATCTGAGAGGAAATTTGGGTGGGGACACAGAGCCAAACCATATCAGTTGTGTATGCTTATAGTCCCAGCTACTTGGGAAGCTGAGGTGAGAGAATTGCTTAAGCCCAGGAGTTTGAGGCTGCGATGAGCCTTGATCATGCCACTACACCCCAGCCTGGGCAACAGAGTGAGACCCTGTCCCCCCCCAAAAAAAGAAAAAAAGTAGTCTTTTAAAGTAGGTACTATTATTATAAATTTTGATATTTATTATTTATCATTCTATTATTATTTACTATTAAAGTTTGTTATTTTACATATGAAGTAACTGAGACACAGATTAAGTAATTTGCTTAAGATCACACATCATAGAAATTATTTTAAGTTTCTACATATATATCTATCTACCTTATTCTTTTTAATAGCTACATAGTATTCCATTGAATGGCTCTAACATGATTTATTTAACCAGCCCCTTGTCATGGACATTTAAGTATTTATAGTTTTTAGCAAGTAAAAATTAGACTGCAATAAATGCCTTTACACTTGTAGTGCTACTTTCTTGCTGAAATATATTCATTCTGGCATGGAACTAGGTCCAAGATGTACACACTTTACATCTTAAGAGTTATTGTTAAATTTCCAGCTGAAGTGATCACACCAAATCACATACATACACTTGGCATGGGAGTGCCTGTTTCCCTGTGCTCTCTCTATCTCTAATTCCAGTATTATTAAACTTTAAAAATTGTATCTCTTTGATAAGTAGGGTATGTCCTTGTTTTGATCTGCATTTTATAAAACAGGTGTGAGATTGAGTATCTTTTCCATATGTTCAGGACCATGTAGAATTTTTTTCCTGTGCTGTTCATGCTTTTCTTTCTCTCCTTCTTCTTTCTATTGGGTTAGCCTTCTTCTTGATTTGTGAAGGCTCTTTGTATATTGAACCACTAGCGTTTTGTCATATATGATGAAAATACTCCCCCCATTATCATTAATTGTAGTATTTTTTATAATACAAAGTTCTTAATCAATTTGTCAGCCTTTTCTTTTAAGGCTTTTGAACTTGGCTCCATCGTCCTTTCCTCTTTAGCCAGAGAACTTCTGACATTGACACGACATAACTTTCACAGTGAGTCTATGTTGTAACTAAAACCAGCAACGAAGGGAAATTAATCATTTGGAAACAAGGCCACAGGGCTTCGATGGATTCTTCATAAGGTGATAACCGTTTGCTGGATGTGATACCGGTTCAGTGGGTGTTTCACATCGATAGATAAATCCCTTTCCCTAGCAGATGGTGTCAGAGTGGAAATTTTTGTAGTATGGGACAAGTTAAGGGAGTACATAAATAATACTGCATTTGATTCCCAACTTCTTGTGAGTTACAACATGTGGATGGTTTAAGCAGGTGCAGCCATGTTAATACGCTGGCAGGGAATGATTGATATTACCAGTGTCAACTCCAGGCAGCAAGCAGGATAAATAAAAACATTTCATCAGGGCACTGAGGGACAATCAAGATCCCCAGGCCCTCCGAAAGGTTTTCACTGAACCAAACTCCAGGCATCTTGATGTAGAAGACCTACTCCCACACTTTGTGAAGGGGGCGGTGCACACAGGAATTTAAATAACGGATAAGAGCCTTCATTTTTCAACCCTCATCAAAATAATCCCCACACAGTTTTATATAGTACTTTGTTCCACCTAAAGGACAAAGGTAAAGGTTGTAGAGAAGTTTTCTGGGACTTGTACGTGTGATTCAAAAGCATCTCCTCTGGAATGCATTTTCTGACTGGTTCAAGGTAGGCCCTGACTTCTATTCAGTTGTTCAGGATTTTTAAAACACTCTCTCCACCTCTCAGGAGATGGATGGTGTACAAAGGAAGGAGACAGTGAAACGTTATCCATTTCCTGCTTGTCTTGCCTCTGTATAGTAAGCTTGTTCCCTTCCTTTCTTTCTTAGTTCCCTTCTACAAGGGGTCATTCTAGAAAGAGAGAGAAGAATGAATTAAAAAAAAAAAAAAAAGAGGAAGAAATGCTGCTATAACCTTCATCAACAAGAATCATTAGTAAAGATTAGGAAGCCTGTTTCCCCCTCCCCGTTATTGGAAACACAGCAGTAGAAGTAAAACACGGCTTTTGGAAGAGAAGCGGTGGAAAGGCCTTAAGAGACAGGCTATTTACCTCCTCCCGCCACCAGAAATGTCAACTATTTAACCTACTTTAACAAAATAAGGGTTTTTTTTTTTTTTTTTACAAAATGGTGACATATCATGTAATGCTGAAGTCAAATAGTACCACATCTTACCACCTTTCAGTAAGAAAGGGTTATTTCAAAGCATGTAAGCTCAATACAGCAATGACTCAAGTGAAACTGGGTTTTTTGTAAGTCACAAAACTAAGGATTTTTGTGAATACTGCTACTTAGGCAGAAAAGAGAACATACAAGACTTTGATTTTTTTTTTTTTTTGAGACGGAGTTTTGCTCTTTTTGCCCAGGCTGGAGTGCAATGGCACGATCTTGGCTCACCGCAACCTCCTCCTCCCGGGTTTAAGCGATTCTCCTGCCTCAGCCTCCCGAGTAGCCGGTATTACAGGCATGCGCCACCACACCTGGCTAATTTTATATTTTTAGTAGAGATAGGGTTTCTCCATGTTGGTCAGACTGGTCTCAAACTCCCGACCTCAGGTGATCCGCCTGCCTTGGCCTCCCAAAGTGCTGGGATTCCAGGCATGAGCCACCGCACCCAGCCTTAAGGGTTTGATTTCTTTTAAAAAATACAACTCCACAAAAAATAACCCTTAAACTAAACCTTTCTCTAGTTCAACAAATAGAAACATTTGATCCATAAACACCAGACTCATTTGCCAAATATTCCTATTTGATGGTATTAAGCTTAAAAATAAAAACATATCACATCTAACTTAAAGAGTAATCATATAATTAATAGGTGAAAAACAGAGAGAAAGATTGCTGGAGATTAAGATTAAGCCCTGCAGAAGCGAATGTTCTAACTAGAAATTGGTTTAATTAATAGCACATTTTACATAATGATTACAGTGTAATTGCGCTGACTAGCAGAGTGTCATTAAATATATCCGTGCTCCTTTACAACACCCTAAGGCTAAAAATAATGAGTTACATTGAAAATCACTGTGCAACAGGTTCATAAATAACATTTAAGCCTATACAAGGCGAATACTTATAAATAATAAATATTTGCCTTTTGTAATTGAAGAAAAAATGACAGCCTTCTTTTTCTACTACCTTGTAGATTGCCATGTTATAATGCTGAAAAGATTTTTTCCCTTGCTTTCTCTAGAAGGTGTTGAATAATTTATTCAAATGCTAATATTCCACGTAGTCTGACTTTGAGGAACAAATATTCCTACATAAAGAATAAATGCCAAGATGCTTATTACTTCTCTTGCTTTACTTTACACCATGTATCCCCCCAAAACCACCACAGTCTATCACACCTGTCAAATGAAGTTAGTGGCCAAATTTTCTTGCAGAGAAGCAGCATTTTTCTTTATTTAAAAATTACCCCTTCTCCCAAAATATTCATCATGTTTGGGGTTGTTATGGGGCAGCAACTGCTCCGTGACTTCAGAAAGGAAGTCAACAGTGCCTGATAACTTTTTCTTTCTTTCTTTCTTTCTTTTCTTTTTTTTTTTTCTTTTTTTTTGAGACGGAGTCTCACTCTGTTGCCCAGGCTTGAGTGCAGTGGTATGATCTCAGATCACTACAGCCTCTGCTTCCTGGGCTAGAGCGATTCTCCTGCCTTAGCCTCGCGAGTAGCTGGGATTACAGGCGTGCACCACCACGCCCGGCTAATTTTTGTATTTTTAGTAGAGATGGGGTTTCACCATGTTGGCCAGGCTGGTCTCAAACTCCTGGCCTCAGGTGATCCATCCCCCCTCGGCCTCCCAGAGTGCTGGGATTATAGGAGTGAACCACTGCGCCCAGCCACTTGATAACTTCTTAATCTCTCACTTTTCTCCTGTGAACCAATGACATCCGATAGCAAAGGATGCTGCTCCTTTGATCCAGGTAGTTTATACTGGCATAGGCTCAGGTCCGCAGAAGGTCAGCCTCCACGAGCCTCCTCTTCTTCATCTCCTCAGCCCTGAAATGGAGTCGCGTTCCCCCAGGGCCTGAGAGAAAGCAGAAGGCAGAGCTCCCTGGCAAGGCAGCCTCCAAGGAGGCTTCCCGAAAGCTCCAGAGCGGGGCTCTTAGCCCCTGGCTTCTCTCCAAGGACTGTGGGAAAGAGGGAGTCTCCAAGCTATAAGGAGAATACGATTTTCTGGGGGGTGATCTTAGGCAGGAAGGAGGACAGAGACATCTGCAGCTCCCTAGGAAAGGACACAAGGAGAAAAGCCTCCTTTTCTCAGAGTCCAAGCCATGTCCAGGTGCGGGTGAAGCAGGTCAAGCACTGTCACTCTTGGAAACGCAAAAGCTCCCAGGTCAGGAAGCCCTTGAAGGAGGAGGTCACCACTTTCGTCTTCCCACTTGGGAGAGCGGGTCTTTTTTGGTGGAGGGAGGCATTGTTGCCTAGCCTAGCGATGAAGAAAGGACTTTAGCAGTAGCCAGAACTCAGTTCCAGTACTGGATCTACCACCTGTTGCCTGTGTGATGTTTGGTAAGTCACTTGACCTCTCTGAGCCTCATTCCCTAACCTGTAAAGTGGCATGACACCAGTCTCTGCCCTCTAAGATTGTTGTGAGAATTGAATGAAAAAAATTTTTAGTGTGTGAACTCAGTATAGTGTCTCCCAATTTGTCATGGCTGAATCTGTGATAGTTCTTATTTATCTCATCATTAGAAAGTTTTTTCTCATATTTAGCCAAAATCTTTCTTCTTGTCACTTCCTTCCATGGACTCTAGTCCCTTCTGGAGTGATGAAGAACTGAGGTTTTTCTACTCACCCCCACCCACTTGCACATCCAGTACAACCAAAGGGAATTTTTCACCATGCAAATAATACCTCCCCTGCGATTAAAACCCACCATGATGACCCATGGTTCTTAGGGAGCCTAAGGCTGAGAGTCCTTATTCTGCATGATCTGGCCGCTGCCTGCCTCACCAGCCTCATCTCAGGCCACTCAAGCCCTCATGCTCTGTGCTGCAGAGGCCCCAGGCCTCTTTCTGCTCAGGTAGGCAACTTTCCTACTGGCCCCAGGACCTTTGCATAATGCCTTTGTTTGAAACCCTCTTCTTGTCTGCTTTTTCTAATTAGCTCTTCAGACCTCAGCTCAAACAAGGCTTCTTCAGGGAAGTCTTAGACTAACTCCCCAAACTAGATTAGGTTTCTGCCTCTCACAGCTCCCTCTACTGTTTCTTCATAGGTTTTATCATTACTGAAAGTGGTATAGTTTTGTAATTATGTGATAAATTATTATTTTCCATTCATAAACTGCCCATTCTATGAAGGCAGGGAACCACGGCTGCTTGGGGTTAATAGTGGGCTCACCCATTACCTGTCATATGGCCCCTGTCAATACTTGGCGTGAATGAATAAAGGATGGAAAGAACTAATATCCATTTCCACATGAGAGTCCTGCACATATTTGAAGATAGTTCTTGTGCTTCTCTGCTTCACAATTTAATTATCACAAGACGAATGATCACAGTGCTCCTGTACTCTCATCACGTTGCGTTGTAGACCCCTCAACAGCTCTGCACTCACACCCAAGGGAGCTCAATAGAGTGAGAGGATTGAGTGAGAAGTGAGAGAGTGAGAAGATCTTAGGATCTAGACATTCTCCTTTCACTACTGCACCCAGAGGCTGCACTAGCTCCAAATATACGCACGTCTGTGTCTGTGTGTGTATTATATACACACATTGTTCTTCTGTTTAAAAGCAATAGACTTATGAAAGCAAATTTGGAAAATAGAGACTAGAAAAATGTAACAAAAATAAGCCTTAGTCATGCAAAAAAAAAAACCCCACTCTTAACAATTTGCAATAATTTCTGTGAGTACCTTTTTGCATGTGAATAAGTTATTGTAGCATTTAAGGAAGGATTATATAGTGGAAATACCCCTACATACTCATATGTATCCTGCTTTTTCACCAGTATTAAATTATAAAAATATTTCTGTATTACCAAGTAAACTTTACAAATATCATTTTACATAGTGCTGTATCAGAAACACTTTCTGCTGGTACTTACAATAAGGCTTGGAAGACTATTTTACTCACCCCCTAAGAAGTCTGAAGGTAGGTGGTTGCTGACATGCTTCAAACAGGTTTTTGCTTATGGTTGCAATATAATTGCTGTAGCTCCTACCATCACATTTATATTCAAGGCAGGAGGGACAGGAAAAGGATGTGCCATTTCTATCTTTTTTTTAATCAAGAAAAGTCAACTCCCTCCCAGGGCCCTCAGCAGACTTCCACTTATAAATTCCTGCCTAGACTCTGTCTATGATCAACACTAGGTACAAGGACATCTGGAAACGTGAGTATTTCCTTCTTCCAGCCTATAGGGTTGAAGCAGGCAAGGGAAATTGGGCATCTTTCCCACCTTCTATCAGATTAATTCTATTCCATTTGATTCTCAGCTGTTAAAACAAAAGCCTTGGCAACTTGCTTCCGAAAAGACCCTTTCCTCCTTTTGCTTCCTGGTTTATGAAAATCAACCAGATCACAAAGGGAGTTAATAGAAGTATTTTCGGTTATCATGATGTTTATGGGGGTGCCAAGGCTAACGGACATCATCGAATGTGCAGGAAATCTGCAAAATAAAGAACTGCCCATCCCTAAATGCCAATAGTGTCCTTGTTGACTTTCATTCAATGACAATTATGGGAACTATTCAATCAGAAACAGGGAAGGAAGGAAGGAAGGAAGGAAGGAAGGAAGGAAGGAAGGAAGGAAGGAAGGAAAAGGAAAGGAAGGAAAGAGCATTGTGTCATTAAACATCACAAACAACAGAAGACAGATAATAATTCTCAATGATGGGATACAACCCTATGCATACTACTTTCTCCTTCCCAAACCCACAATTCATATCATGTCCTATATACAGACAAGATTATTTAAACTGCCCTTCGAGTGAAGTAGTTAAGAAAAGGCATGGGTGTAGATCTTTATCCTTTCTGGCTTTCAAAGGGTTCCCGCAGGACTTTGGGACCTGATATTGTTTGCAATTTGTTCTCCCCTGGAGGAGATTAGGAAAAATAGAAAGGCCCAAGCCAGGTACTGCTTGGTGTTTAATGATGATAGGCAAAGGTGAGAAAGCACAGATCAGCTTTTTCCTCTCGGCAGAGCCTGGGCTATTAGGAGAAGGAAATTTAGTGTTTGATTTGCCCATTTTCCATTCCTCATCGAGGTTTTGGTCGCAAATTACTAAACCTCCATTCAACAGTTAAATTAAACATAACTAACTTTGTTGATTTTATTTCACAGCCGAATAACTTGATATTCATACTCTTTGTATGTTCAATACGTACAGAGCTCAGACACATTTTTAAGTCTCAGCTGGTGATGAATTCTGCTGAGCTAAACTTGTGTTTCACAGGATCCTGCTCAGCTGAGACGGGGGACGCTATTGCACTGTAAAAATAAGCTTCAAGCCATAATTTTGATGGGCCCCTCACAGCAAGGAAGCATCCCTCTTCTCCTCCTCCCTCTTCATGGTAGCAACTGCCATTTGCCACTTGCACATCCTAACCTAAAGGAATCTCTTGCAGACAAGTCCCTCATACCAGTGCCTCCAATGTGGAAAGGGCACTAAACTCAAACTCCAAAGGCCTCTGTATTTACCCCCTCTCTGCCTATTTCTTTATGAACTTGTGACTGTAAGCAACTCACTTAATTTCCGATAGCCAAATTCCACATTTGGGAGGGATGGAGATAAAAATTCTGCCTTTCTATCTCACACACTGGCTGTAAGCTTGGGTTGAGAGAGTGCCGCAAACTGTCAGGTGCTACTCACTATGATTTACATTTTCTCCTATAATGTGGACTCCTGTCCTTTAAACATGATAGGAAGAGCTTAATAAATAGTTGAATTGAATAATAAATGTGTGTGCTTATTTATTCATCCAACATGTATTAGGCACCTTCTGTGTAGCAGTCCCAGTGGCAAACACTACAGCAGTAAAGAATGAAATTGTGCTGTAGTTTGAGAGAGAAACAAGTGAACAAATAATTATAATATGACAAAGTATGTACTCTATAATGGAGGCAGTGACAGGGGTTTTGAGAACATGACATTCTGCCCAGGCGAGCAATGGCTGCTTCACAGAGGGGGCCACTCGTGAGAGAAAGTGGGGACCATCTCAAATACTCATGAGAGCCAATGCTGGCCACTCTTCTGAGGATGTACGCACATTCTGTCCTTTCGTGGTCACACAGCCCTGTGGAGTGGTTTATATTTACTTCATAAGTAAGAAAGCCAAGGCCTAAATAACTTCCATAAGGTCACAAAGCTGGTGAGGTGAAACCTGGATCCCAAAACCCACACCCTCCAACGGGAGGCCAGGTCCTCCTTGGCTCCCCAACACCTCCACATGCTTGTCTCACAGGCTGAGGAAAAGCCTGCCAGGCTTCCCTTTCAACAGTGGTTTAAAAAGTTACCCAAAACAAACAACTCCATTAAAAAGTGGGCAAAGGACATAAACAGACACTTTTCAAAAGAAGACATCATGTAGCCAACAAGCATATGAAAAAAAACTCAATATCCCTGATCATTAGAGAAATGCAAATCAAAACCACCACAATGAGATACCATCTCACACCAGTCAGAATGGCTATTACTAAAAAGTCAAATAATAACAGATGCTGGTGAGGTTGCAGAGAAAAAGAGACACTTATACACTGCTGGTGGGAGTGTAAATTAGTTCAACCATTGTGGGAAGCAGTGTGGTGGTTCCTCAAATAGCTAAAAACAGAACTACCATTTGACCCAGCAATCCCATTACTGGGCATACACCCAAAGGAATATAAATCATTCTATCATAAAGACACATGCATATGTATGTTCACCGCAGCACTACTCACAGTAGCAAAGACATGGAATCAACATAAATGCCCATCAATGGAAGACTGGATAAAGAAAATATGGTACATATACACCAGGGAATACTCTGTAGCCATAAAAAAGTATGGATCATGTCCTTTGCGGGAACATGGATGGAGTTGGAGGCCACTATCCCTAGCAAACTAACACAGAAACAAAAAAACAAATACTGCATGTTCTCACGTACAAGTGAGAGGTAAATGATGAGAACACATGGACAGAAAGAGGGAAACAACAGACACTGCAGCCTACCTGAGGGTGGAGGGTGGGAGCAGGGAGAGGCTCAGGAAAAATAATGAATGGGTACTAGGCTTAATACCTGGGAACTAAATAATCTGTACAACAAACCCCCATGACACAAGTTTACCTATATAACTAACGTGCACATGTGCCCCGAACTTAAAATAAAAGTTAAGGCCAGGCACAGTGGCTCACCCCTGTAATCCTAACACTTTGGGAGGCCAAGGTGGGTGGATCACCCGAGGTCAGGAGTTCGAGACCAGCCTGGCCAATATGGTGAAATTCCATCTCTACTAAAAATACAAAAAATTAGCCAGGCATGGTGGTGTATGCCTGTACTCCCAGCTACCCGGGAGGCTGAGGCAGGAGAATCGCTGGAACCCGGGAGGCAGAGGCTGCAGTGAGCCAAGATCGCACCACTGCACTCCAGCCTGGGTGACAGAGTGAGACTCCATCTATAAATTAATTAATTAATTAATTAAAATAAAAGTTAAAAATCCCCTAAAATATCTTAGGTAACATTAAACATGTGTTTCCAAAACTTATGCAAATTAGCTTAAGAGGGAAAAAATTGGGTACAGAGGTTATTATAGGCATAGGCTGATATCTCAAAAGTGGGTCTCCCAAGGGACTGAAACCCAGTTCCAGAAAGCTCCACCAACAAGACAGAGTCTCTCCCCCTCTCTCTGGCTGTATTCCATTGTCTTTGTTCTCTTTGTTGTGTTCATTTTGCTCTCTCTTTAGATCAGCTTTTGTTGCTTCTCCATGAACAAAGCAGGAGACAGCCACTCCACCCCTCGTTATACCAGTTTAAGCAACCCAAGGAGACTGACTAGCATCTCTACATCCCAATTCTGAATTCCAGGAAGATGGTATCTGATTGGGTTAGCCCAACTTGGGTTAACTGTGTCCTTAAGTGTGGGCTATGTATAGTGACTTCATTCCGAAGAGTACAGCGTGCAGGGGCCTGGTGGGTAGAGAAACATGCCCAACACCACCTCAGCCAGGTGATCAAGGTCTACATCGACAGTGATAATCATGTTGAAAGTATGTATCTTTGACATGCGATGGGATAAAAATGGTACATTATCTCTGTGGTCTTCCTCCCCAAAACCTATAACTTCAATCTATTCATGAGAAATACATCACACAAATCCCAGATGCAGGACATTCTGCAAAACGCTTGACTAGTAATTCTCAAAACTGTCAAGTTCATAAAAAAACCAGAGAGCGCTGATAAACTGTCACAGTCAAGAGGAGACCAAGGATGTAGGACAACTAAATGTGATGTGGTACCCTGGATGGAATTCTGGGACCAAAAAAATAGATATTATAAAAATCTAAGAAAACCTGAACAAAGTATGGACATTAGTTAAACATAATGTATTGATATTGGTTTATTAATTGTAACAAAGGCACCATGCTTATGTAAGATGTTAATAATGGGGAAACTGGGCCAGTTGCAGTAGCTCATGCCTGTAGTCCTAGCACTTTGGTAGGCCGAGGCAGGAGGATCATTTGAGTCCAGGAGTTTAAAACCAGCCTCAGCAACATAATGAGACCTATCTCTGCAAAAAATGTAAAAGTTAGCCTGGCATGGCGGCACATGCCTATGGTCCCAGCTCTTCAGGAGGCTCAGGTGACTGGATTGCTTGAGCCTGGGAGGTCGAGGCTGCAGTGAGCTATAATTGCACCACTGCACTCCAGCCTGGGCAACAGAGCAAGACCCTGTCTCAAAAAAAAAAAAAAAAAATAGGGGAAACTCGGTGTGAGGTACATAAGAACTCGGTACTATCTTTGCCATTATCTAAAACTCTTCTTAAATAAAAAGTTTATTAAAACAAAGGATTGTGTGCTTACTCTGCCCCAGTTACCATGCTGAGTACTTTAGACACTGCAATAACTAAAACAAAAAGTCCTTCTCAAATTACCCTGTCCCCTTTTCTACCTACCACAGTATACGTTGCAAGCCCTTTGAGATAAGGGAAGCTGTCAAGACCCAGTACAGTCCTGACACACAGTAAGCAGTCAGTATATCTGTGCTGATGTGAACTAACATCTATTACTCACAAGAGAGGCCCCCATCTTAACATTCAGAGATGTGACCTTGTCCTGTCACATCTGATGGGGTCACTGTCCTTGGTCACGGAGACATGGATGACTTCCTTTTGCTCACTCCCACTTTTTTTTTTTAAGACAAGGTTTTATTCTGTCTCCCAGCCTGGAGCACAATGGCGCAATCTCAGCTCACTGCAGCCTTGAATTCCTGGGCTCAAGCAATCCTCCCACCTCAGCCTCCCAAGTAGCTGGGTCTATAGGTGCGCTGCACCACACCTGGCTAATTTTTGTATCACTATGTTGCCCAGGCGGGTCTCGAACTCCTGGCCTCAAGTGATGCTCCTGTCTCAGCCTCTCAAAGTGCTGGGATCACAGGTGTGAGCCGCTAAGCCCAGCCACTCTCTTCTTATCGAGCAAGTTAGTCCCTTCCCAGGTGGCCACCACCAACCCCTAAGAGGTCATGAAAGGGGCCTGGCCTAGCCTCTGAAGGATTTGCCTTCCAATAATCCTTTAGTCCTGGACTGGCAACTCCAAATGGGACCTAGACCTCATCAGTGTTTTATGCCCTTTAGGGGACCTAAAGCAAGGGCTTCTCTCAGGACAGTCTTATAAAACCTTTCAAAGGATAAGAGCCTCTTGTCATGACTAACCTTTGGAATGGGCACTAAAAATAATTCTGCATTCACTTTAACAGTTCAGGTTTTAAGGGGAAAGACAGATGGGTGTGGCTTATTTAAGTATTTGCTTTCCTAAAGCAATGGAGAGGGATTGAAGACCCAGAAGGAGTTTTTGGCAGCTGAGCTGAGATTTGGACATTTTAACCCTTTTCCACCCTCTTCGTTCTCCCTTCTGAGTCTCCATTCAGTCATTTCAATCCTGTGAACTGAATATTAGCTGATTAGCTAATTCCTTCAGGAAAAAATGTCGTTAATTCATCAGTCCTCTTGATTTCACTTTTTTAAACTGGCTTTGAACATCTTTCGTTTTAATAAATGACTGAATTCTGTGCCATGGTTTGCAGAGTCATGATGAGCATGGGAATTCAAAATCCTCGCTGTGGCTGACTTACAGGCCTATCATAAAGAGAACCATACTGCTCCTCACAATCATGCCAGAGTTTTCCCATAAAAAGGGACCATGCTAAGTCCTTTGGCTTTGGGCACTAATATCACCACCCCACTGCGTGAGCTTTTGTAGCCTGAAATCGAGAACAGCCCTCACTGCTACCTGTACACCTGTGCGATAGGACACAAAAGCAGCCCCTCTCCCGCCACACACACCAGTCGAGTAATGTGGACCCTTGGGGCTGAATAATTCCAGGCTCAGTCCCTTCTGAGACTTTTCCCCAGGCCCTACAGCCTTAGCTTATGTAAGCACACACACCAGTCTCTCTCTCAACTAGAAGCTTCTATAAGGGTCATGATTTAGTCATCTCCATAACACCCGTAGTGCTGGCATGATGCTTGCATGTCATATACACGAGCACATTACAAAAAAGGAGGGCACAGATACACAGGGCTTCCACCTACCCCGGGTAAGCCAAAGTCACTGCTACAGACATGGATGGCGCTTGACGCGTAGACAGGTAGAGAGCAGAGATTAAAAAAGAATGTCTCCCCGTTTCCTCGCTCTGACTGGGCAATGATATAATTTCCAGTCTCACGTCTCTATTTCAGACCACATATGGCAGTAATATTGGCTCTTCCCCACCTCAGCCTAACCATGACTAAACAGGTTGATGAATGTCATGCATCTTATCATCATACATGCATATTTTTAAATATAATTCACTTTTGATCTGCACCCTTGTGCAGTGGCGAATGAAAACAGTTAAGATTTCTTCTACTGTCTGCCTTTAAATGTATTAAACAGCCCTGCTGTCAATAGATTATATTCTTGTACAATGATAATAGCCCCCAAAACTAAGAGGCCTTGTCAGGAATTGCAGTTGTCACAGTTTGATGGGAATGATTTTACTCGGGGTTCGTCTGCTGCACAATCATCTCATAATCTGGATATACATCACAGCATGACATGGAAATTTCCTGCTACTCTGCTTTCATTTCCAGAGGCAGCAATCAAATGAAAACCACTCAACCTCACCCAAATGTATAAATAATTTTCATTCAAACATATTAACAGTCAAAATATGAGAATTTATCACAGAGTGCTAGGCCTTTTAAGAAGCAATAAAGACTTTACTTTTTAAGCATATTTCTCCTTAGAAAAGTAATACGAATAGTAACTCGCAATTTAAAAATCGCTTTTGAAAGTCCACGTAGAAACCACCTGATCTGCAAACTTAAGGGATGTGGGTGTTTTGCCATAGATTTGATGCTTGCAGGAAAAGGGCTGCAAGAAATATCGGGTAGGAGAATTGCATGTCGATTAATAATCACCTACAGGAAAATACCAATACCTAGAAATGCGAATTTCTTTCATCTTTACTAAGCATCCCTTTTGTACTGCAAAACCAATAGTAGATTACTTCCTTTAAAATGTAAAACACCAGATCCAAGAGCAATTTGTATCCTGTGGCAAACGACACTGTTTTTCCTCATAAATATCAGATTTTAATTGAAAGCAACCTCCTAAAGCCCATCAAATTGCAGGGGTGGACATGGCTGACTCTCCCCCACTTGAGGCTGAGTTCCAGCCATACTGGCTGTCAGTTACCATGAAAGGGAGAGACGCATTCACAAGCGAACAAGAAAAAATATTTGTACTTGATGCTCTGTTAACGAAGTTGAGTGAGAGGAGGGTGCTGGTTTGCTCCTTAGCCTGATTGAAGGTGAGTGTGGAGTGGCCTCGGGGAACTGCACTCGAGGGAAAGGACTTGGGCTGCAGAGTGCTCACCACGGGAGCCTGGGGACTCACCAGCCTGTCTATAAAGCTCGCCCTACCCCGCCGAAGGTGTGTCCAGGCTAAGCCTTCAGATAGGAACTTTCTCTGTGGCTGACCAGACAGAGGTGCTAAAAGACATCAGTTGACCAATAAGACACCATGTTGACAAGAGTTTATTAGGTATGGAACAAAACCCCAAAAGGCATATAATACTCTGACACATCGAATTCAGTAATCAATCCACTCATATTTCAAAGGGTACCTTCCATATTTTAGAAAGGACAGCACTTTGCCTCTGGGTAAAGGCTAACTTGAAGGTTTCTATCATATCCACTGGGACAAGTGACATGTGGAGGGTGGTTAGGAAGTGTGGGATGAGAAGGCGGGGTTCGGGATGGAGGACAATTGATTTTTCCTATTGATGCCAGCATCTAAAAATTTTGCTGCCTCACTTTAAATTTTTATACCCTTTTCTTCTCCCCGCACTGCCCCCTAACATGTGCAAAAACTGCTAAGATGACAGTTTTTCCCATTTCCCCAGTAAGTGTGCCTGCAGAAGTAGAAGTACCATAACCCGGGGTACAGCAAGCTCAGCCATTTGAAATAAAACTTTGCAGTACTAATGTTTTTGTAACTGCTTCCATATTGTAATGATATTTTTCCAAGCACTGGTTTTATTTGATCTTAAATACCTTTTTGGGAAAGTCCAGTGAGCTGACGCTAATAAAATCATGCTATTGAAAAAAGGTTTAAGTAGAATGTTCAGAATAAATTACAAAACTGCATGCAAGAATACCAGCTAGTGCTGCAATAAAAAGCTGAAAATGAGTATTCTTGCAATATATTTTAAAGAAGTAGTATACTTTTTTTGTTCATTTTTTTTCATTGAATGTTTCATAACAGAATGCCTCCATGTCGTGAAAGGAGGGGAATGCATACCAAATGAACAAACTGCGGGAAAAATTGCGTCTAAGGGGAAAAAAAAACCCTTGACTTTTTGGGGGAGTATAGAATATATTTCATTTCATTTTCAATAACTGTTGGAAGATAATAGGAAATGTAATTTCTTTCCATTTGCTGTGCCAAAATACTTAAATTACATCATACTTATCCTGTCATAATTTTCCCCAACATATTCAGGACCCTTTAATGGATTTCACATTCCTATATATGCACTAAGGAACCGTATCTGCTTTAAAAGACAGAAACTACTGGAAGGCCTGAGTGAGAGACACAGCAACCGTATATCTGACTTTCTCATAGTGAAGCAGAAGTCAGGAGCTCCTCATAAGGGATGGAGGTGAAGGTATCCTCCTAATTACTCCTGAAATTCTAGGTCCAAAAGAAACCATGAGCCCTCTCCAGAGCCCTTCCACTCAATAGGACAGTCACAAAAATTGGACCCTGAGAGTCAAGGACTGCAGATGGTGAATTTTGCCTGCCATGTGAGAGTCTACTGTGTTTTGGGCATTGAGTCAAGCATTGAGCTTCAGGTTCTATAATGACCAATATTTATTTACATTGAATTAACTTATAAATCCAAGTTCACATCTCTCATCATCAAGTAAGACAAAAGCAATCATTCCCATCCTATGAGGAGAAACTGGGACAAGGAAAAGATAGCTGTCGGCTGGGTACAGTGGCTTATGCCTGTAATCCCAGCACCTTGGGAGGCCAAGGCGGGTAGATCACTTGAGGCCAGGAGTTGAAGACCAGCCTGGCTAACATGGCAAAACCCCATCTCTACTAAAAATACAAAAAATTAGCCAGGCGTGGTGCCACATGCCATAATCCCAGCTACTCAGGAGGCTGAGGCATGAGAATTCCTTGAACTTCAGAGGCAGAAGTTGCAGTGGGCTGAGATCATGCCACTGCACTCCAGCCTGGGGGACAGAGTGAGACTCTGTCTCAAAAAAAGAAAAGAAAATAGAGAAGAGAAGAGGACAGAAAAGAAAAGAAAAGCTATGGCATGATGAACAAAATTTAGAATATAGTAGAAACTGTTGGTGGCCTACCCAGCATTCCTTCTCCCCACCATCTTCTTTCCTGGCATAACTTGATTTTGTTCAAGAACCTATTTTTATACACAGCCATGCATCTCAGGGGAAGCTGATCTCTTCGTTTATAAGAGTGGTGCATTAGTGAGCTTAGGCTGCCATAACAAATATCATAGATCGAGTGGTTTAAACAAGCAGAATTTATTTTCTTACAGTTCTAGAGACTGAAAGTCCAAGAACAAGGGGCTGGCAGGGTCAGTTTCTGGTGAGGGCTCTCTTTCTGGCTTGCAGATGGCTGTGTGCTCACATGGCCTTTTCTCAGTTCATGCACACAAAGAGAGAGGAGAGAGAAGAGAGAGAGAGAGAGATTTCTATTCTCGTAAGGTCACCAATCTTTTGAATTAGAACTCCATCCACCCTTATGATCTCATTTAACCTTTTTAAATTACTCTTAAAATTTAATTTAATTACTCTTAAAATTCCTATCTTTAAATACAATCATATTGAGGGCTAGGGCTGCAACATACAGACTGGAGGGAAGACAGTCCAGTCCTCACCAGGTGGGTTTGACTGGTCATAGGCAACCCTATTCCGTTTGCCATTTCTGAGTTTGAGGAAAGGCATGGGACTCTGACCAGTGAAGTAGGAGAGGAAGTTGGCTGGGGCCACAGCAGAGAAGAATATTCTGGCCAACCAAAGAAGCTGGACATTTTGATATCTGGATGTGACCTCTGAAAGTGAAGTAGCCATCCTACTACCAGCATAGGATGAAACCAACACCAATGATGGCAGAACACAGTGTTAGTTTCCTAGGGCTGCCACAACAAAATAACTGAGAGACTTAAAACAACAGAATCTCACAGTTCTGGAAGCTAGAAGTCTGAAATCAAGGTGTCAGCTGAGTCTTCCTCTCTGATGGCTCTAGAGGAGAATCTTTCCTTGCTCTTTTAGCATCTGGGTTCCTTGGCTTAGAAAGTGCATCACTCCAGTCACATGGCCATCTTCTCACTGTGTGTATTCACATCATTTCCCTTCTATTTTTCTGTCTCTGTGTCTAAGTTTCCCCTTTTTATAAGAACACCAGTCATATTATATTAGGGCTCACCCCAAAGACCTAATTTTAACCTCATTACCTCTATAAAGATCCTATTTCCAAATAAGGTCACATTCTAAGGTACTGAGGGATTAGGACTCAATGTTTCTTACTGGGAGACACAATTCAACCCGTAAATTGCTCAAACTTGGGCAAATACCAAGATGGAGTAGACATTAAGACCCTGATGACATAACTGAGCCTCTGAATTAACCAACTCTGAAACCCATCCTGCCTCAGGACTTGCTGACATGTGAGATATATATAAGAACACCTTTCTGTATTGTTCAAGTCATTTTGCATTGAGATGTCTGTTACTTAGAGCTGAACACATCACTGCTGCAACAGATGTTGAGTAAAAACAGACCTCATTCTACCATTTAATAGTTGTATATACTTGGGAAAAAATTACTTGCACTCTCTGAGAATACTTTCTGTATCTCTACATTGAATCAAATATTACATCAGAGTTGTCACAAGGATTAGATAATGCCTTTCAACAGCATTATACAGATAAGGTGTTCAGTAGATTGGTTTTATGATCTTTTTTAAAACTACCCATGTGACTTTGGAAGAATAAAAACAATACCATATAATCTATTGTAAACAGACTAACGAGAACCAATAGTTCCTTATGGTTATTACATTTCAAAATCAATCATTTTGCCCATGTTCTTCACTTGGGAATTCTACACCTTTCCAAGTCTTTGTTAGTCTTTTCTGAAAGCCACCATCTATGAGAGGCAGTGAACACAGTGGTTAAAAGCATAGACTTTGGAATCAGACCACATCGATTCAAATCTTGCCTCCGCCACTTTCTATGTGTGATCTTGGGCATGTTACTTAACCTCTCTGTACCTAAATCCTCATCTTTAAAACAGGGAAATGAGGATGATAATAGTTTCTCTTGGTACACCTAACAGGAGTCAAAAGATGAAAGGTGATTAGTAGAGTTTCGTGTAGCAAGCATGTTAAACACACACTCTTTCTTCCTTTCAATCTCCATTATTGTCTGCAATCACCTCGGGAAGCAACAGCAGTAGTTTGCAAACTTCGGTGAGTGTAAAAAGCACCTGTGATGCTTGTTGTATACAGATTCCAAAGACTTCTGCCTCTCCTACCCAGAAATTCTGATCCAGCAGATCTGAGATGCTAACAAACACTCCAGGAGAAATTGATGCAGATGCCCCCTTATCACACATTGAGAAACTCTATTTTACTGATTGAAAGTCAGAAGACGTGGAAGTGGTTACTCATCTTGGAGACAGGTACTTCCCTTATCCTCCCTACTAGTCTGAAAGCTTCTAAAGGCAGAGATATCATTATCTCTCTATCCTTTCTCTCACCACACACCTAACACAGTACCTTGCTCACAGTAACTCAAAAGTATTTATTAAGTTAAATTTAAAGAGGGCTCAGATGACATAGAAACTGAAGTGGCTGAGAAAGAAATGGAGATACAGGCACAAGGAAAATACGGTCTGCTAATCATTTAGTAATCCCAAGAAATTCTGTTAGGCACAGCTGCCCTGAACCAACCAGCCCCAGCACCCAGTTTTCTTTCTTTCTTTCTTTCTTTCTTTATTTTTTTTTTTTTTTTTGAGACAGGGTCCAGGCTGGAGTGCAGTGGCACCATCAGGGCTCACTGCAGCCTCTATCTCCCCCAGCTCAGGTGATCCTCCCACCTCAGACTCCAGGTAGCTGGGACTACAGGTCCACCACCACATCTGGCTAATTTTTGTATTTTTTGTAGAGATGAGTTTTGACATGCTGCCCAGGCTGGTCTCAAACCCCTGGGCTCAAGTGATTCACCCATCTCAGCCTCCCAAAGTGCTGGGATTACAGGCATTAGCCAGCGAACCCAGCCCCATTTTTGTTTCTATAAGCCCCACTAATAGTGCGACCCTGGATAGCAGTCACTAGGAAACTCTAGGATTCCATGCTGGCTTCACTTTTCAGACCTCTGCCAGTCTGGGACACAACTCCTTGAGCCCAAAGCAACCTAGAGACCAAGGGCAGAAGGATAAAGGGGCAAAAATGTCCATTGAGAAGCTGAATTTAGACTTCTTATTGTTACTAGGTCACTCAACCAAATAAGCCTGGGTCACTCAACAAATTAAGCTTAGCTGTTTTGGGGCAACTGCAACAAAAAACATTTTCAAGGTTGTTTTGTAAACTCATTAATGTTAATCATGTAGCAATACATAGCTACTATTTATTGAAGGAAGCATCTACTATATGGGGTAGATGCTTTTCATGAATTATGTAATTAAGTTCTCAAGAATTTGTTCAACTAAGATTTGTTGATCATCTACTATATGCTGGGCTATCAAATAAAAACCAGTATGTTATACCTATCAATATATAAAACTATATAACTATATCTTTGTCTCACTTATGACTGTACAGAAAGAAATTTCCTAAAAAGACTGGGTGGCTGGTAAGTAGAAAGCATTGGTCTGGTATCTGATGCAGTAAGCACTTAAAATGTAAGTCATTATTATTATTGTTGTTACCTGTTTTGAGAGTATACACACTGCTATTGACTCCACAGAACTTTCTGGAAACATTCTGGGTGAATGTTTCTTCATCTTGCTTATTTGTACTTACTAAATGTTCTACAATGACTATGCAATGTTGTAATAAAAAATAGAAGTAATACACTTTAAAAGCAAGTTATTTTCCATCTCCCACATCCACAAATGAAAATCATTGTCTTTGACAGCACCACCTAGTGGTTCCCAGAGAGTGTGGCTGCAGATCCTTTATTTCCCCTCATCCACATCCTGTGGACACTTTCTCAGAGATCTTCATTCTCAGAGATCTTCATATCAACATCTATAGGAGGTGTGATTATGAGAGGTTCCAACATTCACACAGTATCCTCCATTCATGTCTGACCAATTACTGACATGCTTTATTTCTGTGCCTTTATTGGTCTTTAGAACTCACTCTATTTTTTTCATGATGGGATGATTTTATTTCTTATGGGATTTTTATTTCAAGACTTTTTCCTCACAGAAATACAACTTAGGAATCCAAGGAGACCTCTGACACACCAGCACATACACAATACAAATCTCCTAATATTTTAGAAATATAGCTAGAGGTATAAAAATCATTAGGTAAAAATGTTTAATAGTACAAAAAGCATTTATTGAGGACCTACGCAGTGCCAGTCATCATGTAAGATGCTGCAGTGAAAAGCTAAATAAAACATGCTCCTTCAGTATGGCAATTCCTCAAAGACCTAAAGACAGAACTACCATTCAACCCAGCAATTCCAGTACTGGGTATATACCCAGAGGAATATAAATCATTCTATTATAAAAACACATGCAGATGTATGTTCATTGCAGCAGTATTCACAATAGCAAAGACGTGGAGTCAACCTAAATGCCTATCAATGGAAAACCGGATAAAGAAAATGGGGTACATAGCCTGGGCGACAGAGCAAGACTCCGTCTAAAAAAAAAAAAAAGAAAATGGGGTACATAGACACCATGGAATACTATGCAGCCATAAAAAAGAACAAGATCATGTCCTTTGTGGGAACATGGATGGAGCTGGAGGGCATTATCATTAGCAAACTGACCCAGGAATAGAAAACAAAATACCACATGTTCTCACTTATAAGTGGGAGCTAAAGGATGAGAACTCATGGACACGTACAGGGGAACAACACACACTGGGGCCTATTGGAGGGTGCAAGGTGTGGGGAGAGAGAGGGTAACATGAAAAATAACTAACGGGTACTAGGCTTAATACCTGGGTGATGAAAATAGTCTGTACAACAAACCTTCATGACACAAATTTACCTATGTAACAAACCTGCACATGTACCCCTTAACTTAAAAGTTAAAAAAAAAAATGCTCCTTGCCCTCAACCACTTTTATGGGAGACTCAATGTTCAATGCAATATACTGTGACACAGCATCTCATGAATGCACCCATTCATTCATTCCACAAGTATTTTTTGAGCACATACTATATACAAGGTACCGTTCTAGGCACCAGAGATATAGAAACGAATGAAATAAACAAAGTCTCTGCCTCTAGAGCTTCCCATCTAATGGGGGAGAGATAATAAACAAATGAATGTAAGACATAGTCATGATGAGAAGTACTCCAAAAAAAAAAAAAAACTAACTGGTTAAAGGGAATAGAGTGCCAAGGGAATAGAGTGCCAAGGTTGTTTTTGATACAGGATAGCCAACAAAAGCCCCTCTAGTAAGAGGCTATAAAGAGACTTTGAAGTAGTAAGGGAGCAAGCTGTGCAGATATTGCAGGAGCAGTATTCTATGCAAGGGTGCTGAGATGGGAGTGTGCTTCCCGTGTTGACAGATCTGTGTGGCTAAGCAAAGTGACTAGGGAGAGAGTAGAAGGTGAAGAATTTGGACCAGAGTCTGTAGATCTGGTGGTCACAGTAAAGACCTTTGATTTGACTCAAGAGTTAATGAGAAGCCACTGGCAGGTTTTAATCAGAGGAGCAACAGGCTCCGACTTACATTTGAAAATGATCATTTAGTTGCCGAGTGGATATTATCATAGCATGTAGGAGGACAAGAAGAGAAACAAGAAAACGATGCAGTGATCAAATGGATGAACGTCTGTGAAATAAGTGAATGTATGGATAAGATGTAAAAGCAGAATAGAGGAAGTAGTGTTTGATTACACCCGGAGTGGCAAGAAAAGGCTCCTCCTTCGAGGTGAGGCCTAGACAGGGATTTGCTTTATATTTTCCAGTTTGATTTTTCTTTTTTCTTTTTTTTTTCTTTTTGGCAAAGTGTGTCCTTTCGTCAGGAGACATAATATCAGTGTCTCTCCTTTGTGATGTTAGTAGCTGAATTAATGCCTCAATCCATTCATTCATTAGAGGTTGCAAAATGTTGATAGTCTCCTTCTTTCTGTCTTTATTAGGCGGAATACGTTTACAAAAAGAAACTTTCCTTCATCTTCAATTTGGTTATCCAGTTGTGTAATTCACATGGAAAAGACAAGCCAAATGCTTCATTCTTTCCCTTTATTTTCAGTTTTCAGACAGCATATTGGTCCACTGGCATCTTTTCATGGTGATCCACTGCTTGATTTCTCCCTCTCTTCCTTTTTGCTGCTCCTTCCTCTTTCCCACTCCTTCCTCTTTCCCCCTTCCCTTTACTCTCTCTTTCTTTTTCTTTTTTGCTATCATTGTGAATTTATGATTTTTAATTATACCTGATGGGTTTTAATCAATTACAGTTATTACCTTTATGGATGCTTGAATTGTCCCATTTTTAGCCAGGAGACCCTTCAAATTGGCTCCTGAGTCCTTTTCACCAAACCCCAATAGGTTCTGATCACCTCCTTGCCAGCTAATAGAAGTTCTGACAGGCACACGTTGAACATTCCTTGTCCCTAACTTGGAATCAGCTATTTCTCTAAGGAGCCTTGGTTCCTTTTAGTGAGCAATGGTATTTCAGCACCACAATCTAGTACTAGGGGTGCTCAGTGTTTCTGTATTGGTCATTGTTTCTAGGACTTTTCACTGGATAGAGTTGAAATTCCCAAAATAAAATTAATTATGATTTCCCATTGATACTTTAAACTACGAAAGTTTTATTCATTTCTCCCACACTGATAGTCCCAGTTTTCAAAAACTCCAGAAATGATAGAATTACAATAACTCTTAATTACTAATTTGTTTTATTTCCCCCAAATATACACAAAAATCTCATAATCTCATAACCATCCACAGGATTACTGTAAATAGTTTAAGATTCTTACCGCAGTTCTTTTTTCCTGAGGATATCTTGCCCACATGAGGAACAGACAAGTTTCTGAGGATTCAGTTCTTTGGAATTGTTCATGTTATGGGGCTTTAGAGTTTGTTGTGGAAGCATACATTTAATAAGTGATTATAAGGCAGTAAATATTACAAAAGAAGTACAGGGATCAAAGTGAGGTTCGCCTGTCTGTTACATGTCCTGCCTGAGGAAGTGATGCTTAAACTGAAACCTGAAATACGAGTTGGAATTATCTCAGCAGAGTATGGGTTGGGGAGCAGGGAGGGAGTGTTTCATATAAGGAGAAGAGGTCCCTAGACTCAATTTATAAGGCACTCTGCAAATAAAATGCCAAAAAAAACCCATAGCTTCTTAGAATTTTCTTTTTAAATCATGCTTTCCAAGAATCAAAAGATTATCATCCAAACCAGATCTAATCTCTTCTTTGGGAGTGAGTTTCAAGCGAGAAGTCACAAAGAAAGTAACCATTGCACAAAGTCATCAACATGCTTTCATTGTAACCCAAAACCATATTGCTTAGCTTAATCACCCATTTTATTTATCCTACTTAGCTTCCATTTTCAAAAGTGAAGGCCTCAGAGCATAAGGACTTGCCCCTGTTATGAATATTTAAAAAGAAGAGCTTGGGGAGGTGAAGGGCACTCCCAGGAGGGAACCCAGGGAGGGTCTGAAGCTGCAGAAGAAATTACAATAAGCCTGGGGGTTTATTCTGTAGATGGCACTGTATTAATGTACATCTAATCTAATCCTCAAAACAACTCTGTAAGTTAGGTGATGTTATCTCATTTTAGATCTAAGGAATCAAAGAACCAGAGACCGCACAGACAAAGTTCAAAGTTACATAACGGCTAAGTGGGAGGGCCAAGATTCAAAATCTGGATAGATTCCAAAACCAAAATTCCACCCATGACCTTATGAATTTCATTAGTTTATTCTCTAGAGAACACAGCTTATTGCAATATATACACTGTGGTTTATCAAATAAGTTACATTAGCCTAGATGCACATCTCAAGTGTAAAGAGCAGTCACCATCAGAACTGACATTTGATTGGCCCTTTACAGCTTACGATGGAATCTTTTCTAACTCAGTTGATTCTCATTATTCCCATTTCAGAGGAGGAGACTGAGATTCACAAAGAAGTTAACTTGCCCAGCTAGTTAAGTGGCAGAACTGGGGTTTAAACCCAAGGCTTATGACTCTAAATCCCAAGGTATCTCCACCCTTGGTCATCCCTGACTCTTGGTTACTGGACATCATCAGAATGAGGGCAGAAATGGAAAGCTTGACAAGAAAAATCAATGATAGTAAAAAAAGCTTTAGACTACACCCTCTCCCCCAAATTATGATGCCAGTTATCAACAAAATGTCCCTGCTTAGTTATGAAATTGACCATAATAATACAATTTTACTTGAAAAATCTTCACTTTTTAAGCCTCTAAAGTCTACAAATTCAGAACCTTCAACATCATAGCAAAAGAGAAAAGAAAACTTTGCTTTCTTGATTTTTCCTGTAAATCTAGAGCTGTTCTAAACAATAAAGTCTACTTTGAAAGAGTGAGAGAAAAGAACATGACCATCCATGTTTAAATTTTTCCCCTTTCCTTTTTCTCTCATAATTTTGCCATAAAGAGGCAAAGTTTCTATGCTTTTGATAAATTCTTACTTACTGCTGGTCCCAAACAGGGAGGCCATTCTAGGTTTTTGGAGTTAGATGGACATATTTTCAGACCTTGGTTTTGCCTCTTCCTAGCTTCAGTTTTCTCCTCAGTAACCACCTTCAGTAAGGGTGTAAGGATGAAATGACTGACTTAGGCAGGCCAAGCACTTAGCCCCATGCCTCACACATAGTAAGTGCTCAATAAACAGCAGCTGCTATTCTTTGCTGTGTCCCACCCCCTCTCCTTGTGCTTATGGAGTAAAGGTTGGAATTTGGATGTGGGAAAATATGAAAAAAAAAAAACCTTAATGTTCATTCATAGTTCTTTTTTTTCTTAAATAACAAAAATTACTAATTCAATTTTAATTCCTGTATTTGAAATATATAGGCTAAGGACTAAAACAACCCAAAGTTACATGTTATTTTTATCGTGTTGCTTAAATTAAAATTTTAAATAGAAAAACAATTTTTTGCCTTTTAAAAAATGAGAACATTGGTTGTGACGTTTTCATCAATCTATGAAGTAGAAAACACCTAGAACACACAGTTTCACTGACTCAGGACCATGAAATCTCTGTTCCAAAGCATCAGCTTTACCCATCCAGCTGCTGCAATGTGTCTGTGGGTCTATGCGGGGGAGTCTCTTAGGACCACCCAGATTCTCATACATCTGGATCTTGCTCACTCGTGACAGAGCCTGATATTTGCGGTTGCAATACATGGAGTGCCACTAGGGCAATCTACTTAGCAACGCACAGACTTGTGCTATGATAGAAATACCAGTGCTGAATTTTCCTCAAATCACTGTGCACCAACCACAAAGCTGTCTGCTATTTTTGACCGCTTTTAATTGCTCTGAACACTGGCCGCACCTCTCTTTTTAAATCAGAATGGCAGCTACCACACAAGGGGCTACGTGAGCTGTTGTTGCCTTTCACACACTTCAGGGGGCGCAGTGGAGTTTGGCAGAAGTTTATAAAGTATTTAAATTTTAAATTTTCAAAATTGTACATGATGTGAAATTAAGTTTTTACTTTATGGCTTATCCCGTTTCTGGACCAAATAGGCCTTTACTTCCCTTCCCCCTCCACCCAGTCGATTGCTAAATGTTCTAAATGTCCTGCTTCTTAACGTCAGCTCTACATGGAGGATTAACAGTAAATATGAACTTTAAAAAGCAAGTATATTTTGCTCCTTTTAAGCAACACTATCTGGGAGAGACAATAAATTAAAAAAAAAATGTTAGGCAAAACTCTTTTTAAAAAATGAGCTTTGTATTTCAATTATTTCTCTCCACCCAGGGTCAAAAAGAAAAAGGAGACGAATTCAAACTGCACGACGGCAAACAGAGCTTCCCGAGGAGGAATCCATTGCTCATCCTGAAACCAAGCCCAGGACACTCACTGCTTGCCAGGTATGGGCCCAGTTACATTCGAGCTCCTTCAACTCACGCCTGGGAGCATCAGCGGTAAGTCACTGGTACGCACTGGTTCTTTGAATACCAAGGAGCATTTCATTCTCAGTGGCAGTAGTAGGTTGGGTGCTTGGAGGTCAGAATCACTGCTGGGTTTTTTTGCTTTGTGTTTTTACATTTCATTTACAAACACTTACCTTCTGTAGCTCAGGGCCAGACAACACACCGCCAGAAGCCCTATCTCACAGATGGGTCTCCCTTGGAGGCAAGGTACGGCTGCCCTGAGACCGGGAGGAAACTTCACTAGAGCAGTCAGCACCTTGTACACTGATGGGGTGCCCCCAGGGAAACGTGCTTCCTTGGCCTTCGGTGGGCTTCAGGATAGCACTGGCTGCCAGCTCAAGCAGCAACCACCTCTCTTAAAATACATGTGGCATAATAAAAATAGAGGGTCACTGTAAAGTTTAGTTTATTGACAAGAACAAATAACTTTAACATTTGGCTCAGGCGCTGAACCCTGTGCAGACATTGTATTTGATACATCAGTGAGCAACTAGGCGTGACTGCACTCCACTTGTGTGTGCCTCTAGTACCGTGATTCATGCTAGGAACATGGCAGGTGTCCATTTTATAGAGTCATTCAGTTGGAAAAGGTAAATGTTCTGGGGTTTTGAGCCCACTGTAATTGTCTGTGCATAGCCCATCTCTCCCTGGCCTTCCACCCTTGTCTTGATTCCGTAACCCCACCGCCTCCCAGAACCGTATGATAAAATACCAGGGCCAAAATGAAGCGCCATCAGTTGAGAAGCTTATCCACTGGCAAAACCCCATGCCTCACTGAAAATTTGGGCCGTGCAACAATGCTAAACTCAGCAGCACGAGGAGAAGGTGTTCCCGGAGCATTTCCTGTTGTAAATAGAGATGCCGCACACTAAAACAGCAGGCTTAGTACATTAAAACACTCCTCAGTTATTAAAGATGATTCTCTGATTAAAGGAAGAGAAGTAAATGGGCAGACGGCAGTATTCTCTCATGATACATTGTGCGAGGCTGGAAGCAAGATCTGCACACAGCTGCTTGCTTCAACTGTATTTGTTAAACCCATAACTCTCTGGTGCTTTTTCCCTTCATAAGCCATTCTTTTACTACTTGAAGGTTTTGAGTTGATAATATTCCCTCATAACTGCAGGTAAAATGTTATGCTAATTTCAACACATGGCCACAATATTATCTCCCAAAGGACTTCTAGACTGAAGAACCATGATTATCATAATTATCACCAGCTTTTATTCAGGCAAAGATCCAAGAATGTAACCACCCCCCTTACACACACACACACACACACACTCACACCCCCCCACACACACTCACACCACCCTTTGCATATTTGACTGTGTTTCCTAATTATTCTACAACAAAAGGCTTCTGCAAATGCATAAATGCGAGGCCAGATGTACTCCACTATTCCAGGGAATACAACAACCCTCCTGTGACAATAAAGAGAAACTTCAGTTTAAACAAAAAAGTTCCACCATATTTGCTCAGACTAACTATGATGAAAGGCAATGAAGACACGAGCTTCTCATGTAGGTATCAATATAAATATTACTGGAAGGTCAATTAATATGTAAATTAACTCCTCCATTTAATTAGCTATTTAACTATTTTCTGAAGCATGGACATATTAAATCATGCTTAAAGACCCCTCTAACTAGCCTCATGACGATAGCACTAGGGAGTCGCAGGCTCATAAAGCACCGACTTGACCTATAAAGAGCCCCGAGTCTGCTAATTCCATCTCAGGCTAATTTTATTACTTGCATAAAATAACCATAGTGCAGCTTTGTGGCTGTAAAGAGGATATGGGTAATAAAACTGGCACAGAAAAGCATCTGAAATATCCTCTTTACCAGTGTCCTCATTTATTATTCTATTATTCTTTGCAGGATACCAAGCCCATGCAAAAGATAAATGACCTTATTACATTAAATAATTTGTGAGGATATTAACCGTTAATCACACATAAACAGCATTTAAAAGGTATTGATTTTCCGCACTCTCAACAGCTTGTAAAATTTATGTCCAATAACAAGATAATAGATAATCAGATGAATTATGCCGGTCATTCAGGGGACAAAGAAAGGTAAAGCTAAAATGAAAGGGTCAAGGCTCCAGAAATGCTCAGCTGGTAAAAAATATATATATGTACACATATATATGTATGCGTCCATCTATACATCAGGAGAAACGACAATACGAACACAATCTACCATTATTTAGGGCCCGCTGAGAAATGAGCCCTTAAAATGGACAGCGAGTGACCCCTGCTCCGTGCCAGTGCACACACACCTCAGTCAGCCACACACCGAGGTCTCAGAGACCATGGAAGTAAACATTACGCTGGGGAGCCCTTTTGTTTAAACGCGTACAGACAGACAGACGCTCTCTTTCCTGCAGCCAAGCAATAAAGATTGAATCCATGGCCTAGTTTTAATATTCCAAACCAGAAACGCATATTAATTTTACATGGTGAATTAATTATAAATTACCCATGTCTAGGAAGTAAGCCCAAAAAAGTTAAGTTGACAAGTGAAATGTGCAAAAGGAGAAGCCATCATTCCTCCTAGCCAGTGTCTGAAACCAGACGACAAGAACCAATGGATAGACTTTTCTTTCAATTCTGGCTACTTGGCAATTTCTCCGTCACCTCAACCAAAGGCCTCCCTGGCTTCACTGGCCCCCTCTTGTCTCTCTGGCCCAGTGGGTTGGACCAATGTCTTGCCCCAGTGCCTTTTTCCTCATATAGGACCTAAGACCGTTTTTGCAAGAGCAAAGTAAAGAATGTTTTAGCAACAGTATCATGGATGCAATACCATTTCAAAAATTGTCCATAATGCTTGTGCTCGAGACAGTGTATTTATTCTTTGGCATTTTTTGAATAATAATAATAATAAGCTTCACTTGAATAGTATAGAAACAGCCAAGGGAGAAAGCAAATGAAGATGGAACCAGATGAATTCATTCAAGGCCTGCATTTTCCACACCTCTTGGCTTGCTTCAGTCTCCTCACTCAGTCTTTATTTGCACCCTTGAAGTGAATGATTTCCACAGGAGTCAGTGGGAGAAATATGTATATCTAGGTGACAGGAATGGTGCCAGACGGAGACTCATATAGACCAATATAAATGAGCAGCTCCTAAGGTAATGGGGTCTACTCACCATGTCAGAATAGGAGGGTGGTCTTCTCTGAATGCCAGCAATAATACCACCTTGAAAATTAAAGTGGAGACACCAGTCTGTCCCTAATTCTACACATTACGTTCACGTGTATATTTGCCCTGGTGTGAAGATGGTTACAAAGAAAAAGGAAAGGACGGGCGGGAAGGGAGACCCTAAGAGGCCGACTCTGTTGTTATTTCTAGGCCTGTGTATTAAAATATTCACACATAAATGATGAGGGCAATTTACTATCTCCGCTCATACCTCTTAGACGTCCTTTTTGGTTTCGGTTTTGCTTATTTTTAATGCTCAGACCAAATTTGAATGGTCCTTTCCAGAAAATTAGGGTGAGAAAAAGGAAATGGTTACAAATTTTAATTCTTTGGGTTGCTCTGAGACATTTTTCGTTTTTGATTTTTAACCATGTGCCTCCTTTTTCCTTGAATTTTGTGTTACATCCTCTAACACAGTAAGCATTCAAGAATACATTAAACTGTTGAAATAATACATTAACTGGAAAGAACTGTGATGTGGTACACATATCATCATGAGATGAATATTTCATTGAATTTGAAGGCAGAAGCTCTGGACTCAAGTCCAGGTCTGGGCATGGCCACTTCTTAGCTTTGTAACCTTGGGCAAGTCACTTAGCTTCTCTAAGGCTCAGTGTCCTCCCAGTGATATCTATATCCATCTCTCAAAGTTTCTGTGAGGTTTAAATGAGAAGTCATTCCAACAACATTATTTACTAGGATTCTCCAAAATGCCGGCTGTGCAAGTCACTGGGAAGCTCTGTAATGGCACTTGGTAATCGTTAACAAATATGAAGAATTATTATAACCATAAAAAATAAAACATATTCCTGTGTGTTATCCAAATAGCATTGCCAAGCAATATAATAGTAGCTAAAATATGTTGAAATATTATTATATTCCAGTCAATGTACTAAGCTTTCTACATCATTATTTATTCTAACATGCAACTCTCTGAGGGGGATGCTATGAGTGTCCCCATTGCACAGATGAGGAAATGGAGGTTTATAACAGGTTATGTAACTTTCCAAAGAATGTGTAAGTTCCAGAAGCTACGTTAGAACTCAGGCCTATTTGACTCAATATATCCAGACTTTGGCCAAATCCTTGTCTCCCACCTCCCCCCTTAACATTTTCAATTCTTTAAAATGTAATGTTTAAATGTTTTTAGATAATATTTGGTGTGATCACTTTCCTCGTCCCTATGTTTCTCCTTTATTCAATTTCAAACAAGACTTGAGGCTCCAGGATGATGCTACAGAAAGCATTGGCATAAGACCTTGCTTTGTCCCAGGTGCTTTCCCTTGCCACATGACAAGCCTCACTACATCCCAGGGGGGTGATAGGGACCAGCGATCCTCTTTACAGATGGGGAATGGAGGCACAGACCAGTGGAGGGACTTGCTGAAGCTTCCATTGCCTGTTAGTGATGGCATCAGGACCAGAGACCAGATCTCTCAACTCCAAGTCAGGGCATCTCCGTGTTTCCTCTGAAGGGAGGGGTGAAAGAATGCTGAGAGCCCGAACATGTTTAGCCAAATCCTGTATACAGAAGACATAAGGGAAGGACAGTTCATATTTATTGAGCATGAAACATTTTTAGGGATTTTAGTGAGTTTTCTATGCTTTATTTAATTAAGAAATAGTAAATAAAACAGTTCACTTATCCATACATGCCTGACACATGCCCATACATAATAAATGCTCAATATATTTCTTCAGTGAAGTAAAAGTTTCAGGCTCATAAGGAAAAAAAAAAAGAGGACTCACGATATTTCCTAAATGTATATGGAAGCGTTAAATGTGATGCAGGTAGAAGAAAACATCTACTTTGTATTAACCTAGATCGGTACTGGTTTGGTAGCCTTGAAGTAACTTCAACCGAGAAAAATCAGCAACAGGGAGGAATGCACAATATACAAGTTTGGAAGGGTAACCCTGGCAAAAATGCTGCCCTTGCTCCCTTCTTCCACCCCTTCAGCATGGCAGGCATTGCTAATAGATCATGGCACTATTTCCTGCTGATCCTGGATAGAGCCTCAAGAGTCCTCAAACACCTTGCTCCAGGCAACTACCACTAATCCATCAGAATTGACACTCATGCTGAAATCTATTTGTCATCCCTGATAGACTTAAAGGCTCTTTCTCTGTGGCCTAAGGGGGACTCAGAACCAGCTCAAGCTGTGTATACATCTCTTTCACTTTGCCAAGAGAAGGGTGCAATCTACAAAGCTATTCTTTGGGACCATTCTGATTGGTTTTAAACTTTATGGAGGAAGTGCTGGCCTTAATTACAAAATCTCTGAATGGGTTCCTGTGTGACACTGTGAAATCTTTTAGATACTTTTTGTAAATAAGCTAGATTCCTACTGGTTCAGAATTATTGGGCATAGCCCTGCCTATGAAAAAGATTGAAACAAAATAGTCTCTAGAGATGAGCTCTGGTCCTATTATTGGATTTGTATCGAGCCAGGGTTAATAAAACATCTGTGAAACAAAGGTATGTATGTTCATAGATAATATTTGGTATGATCACTTTCTTTGTCCCTATGTTTCCCCTTTATTTAAACAAGACTTGAGGCTCCAAGATGATGCTACAGAAAGCATCAGCATAAAACATTTCTTTGTTCCAGGTGCCTCCTTTGCCACATGACCAGCCTCACTACATCCGCGGGGTGTGAGTAGGGACCAGTGATCCCCTTTACAGATGGGGAATGGAGGCACAGACCAGTGGAGAGACTTGCTCAAGGTCCCACTGCCTGTTAAGTGATGGCATCAGGACCACAGACCAGATCTCTCAACTCTTTGAACATCTTATGTATGTTCAAAACTCAAAATGTTGTGACAAAATTGGGGAAACTTTTATGTCTACAGTTAAGGGATGTCATATGTGCATTTTAAAGTATTTTCTGAAATATACATTTGTGGCATATTAAGAACTTTAAAACAGAACATTTTGGAAACCACAAATTATATAATTTGTATAATTTTTGGTATGGTTCCACATGTTAAGCCCTTAGAAGATACCACAATATGATCCACTCCAAATCTGATCAATTGACCAAAATTAAATCAAAATCTTATCTTTTCATTAAGTCACATTCTAAAGGAAGACAGTTAAAAGGACGGTAAAACCATATGATGATTAGGTTATGTCTTGATTTCATACTGTGTCATTTTAAATACCATCATTCATGATTCTGAAACTCATCAAAATTTCCTGACCTGAGCAGGTCTCTACCTAGAAAAAAAATGTTCTAATTAAAACTATTAGCCAGTATAAGAAGAGCTCTACACTAAAAGCTTGGCTTGGAATAGCAGCACATTAACATAAGATGCCACTCTACTAAGAGGAAAGGTATCTCAGAGGTTCTTGTCCAAAAAAGAGTGTCCTGAAGAATTTAACTAACCCGAATAAATTAGCACATGATGTCACCGTTATTCCCTTCCTGGAGAGTGCCACCCTAAGCAGCACCAACACTGAAACCAAATGAGAAAGATGTGCTCCTCTTGTGGAACCTGAGCCTACAGCAGAAAACCTTCACTGGAGACCTTAAGTGAGTTAACAATGAGCTGTTTTGTTTTTTAAGTACCAAACATATTCAATAGATTCCCTAGAATATTAATAATTTCTGTGAACCCCAAGAAGGAAAAAAATGTACTTAAAACAGACAAATGATATCAAAAGTTTATGAGGCCAAATATCTATCAGTAATGCTAACATTTTTTGAATGCTTACTCTGTGCCAGGCACTTTTCTAAGCATTTTGCCTTATGAATCCCCACAGTAATCCTGGGGGTCAATGCCCCATTTTACAGAGGAAGAAACTGAGGCACAGGGAGGTTGCATAACTCACCCAAAGTCAGTGACAGAGCTGATATTTGAACTCAAGGTCCGGGGTCTTCATCATCATGCTCTACTTCTCTTAATATGTTTATAGAATTTTTTGTTCTATTTTGGAAAGAAGGAGGAAAGGAACCATGACCTTTTCCTCTGACTTTAAGCTGGGATGAGAGGAAATTTTCCATCACAGTCTTCTACATTCTGACTGTGGGTGACTAAACAACTAGAAAATTCTGGTTTTCAGGGATTTAAAACAAAGACGGAACTAGGCCATCCAGATGTCATTTGGAAGGCTGTGTAAAGAGAGCCTAGTTTACATAAAATCGATTCCATCATTTCAATGTTGGAAGTAAGGTGTGCTAATAATGCAGGTGATGAGGAGCCTTACAGAATTATTTTGAGGTTAACTAAAAAAATATGTAGTCCTACTGTAGGAAGAGATATAAAAAACAGAGGATGCCAAAGGCCTGGAAGATCAAGAGCAAGGATCTGATGGTCCTTCCTTCCTTTTAAGATTTTGGATTCACATTCTTCCTGAATGTCTTTACATTACATTGTTGTCTGACTTATACCTGCTGGAAGATTTTCTTTTGTCAAAAACCAGTGCATTAACATTTCACCGAGTATAGCCCTGTGAAGTTTCCATAATGAAAATGTGGTGCATGTGCACACGTACATACGCATTGCACATGCACACACATACACCAGACGGGGACGGACCTCTACCTTGAGAAAGCCTGTTTATGTTCTCGGTTTACATATTATTAAACCACCCATCTGATCTCTAATGGCAGCCCTGCTGACACTGTCTGACCCAGTTTGACAATCTGGATAGAAATCATAGGGTTGGCTGTTCAATGGCTGTGACTTTTAACAGCACTGCTTTTGGGCCTCAAATCAATTCTCTCTGTTTACAGACCATTTCACAGCCCTTTACCTGCAACATCACTTGTGTCAGTCCCATAAATACTTTGGTGTATATAATGCTTGAATTAGCATAATGGTTTAGGCTCTAAGCTCTCAGCCCAAAGAAGGACACATCAACATGTTCTCTTCACTTAAGCAATTAAGAGCCATTATGCTGCTTCAGTGGAAATATCATCAAGGTTAAAGACAATCCCAAACAGCCCTCTCACCTTTTTATTCTAAGTCTAATAAATGAGGCATAGAAATTGAAATGTTAGTAAACAGTTCTACTTGCAAGCTCTTTTTGAATCATGCTTAATCAGACCCTCATTCACTAGATGTTTGCAACAGATTCAGAAATATGTATATTGAATTGTTCATTTCGTGTAAGAAAACAGAGTTTACTGATTTTATTTCAAAGCCACAGTGAGCACTGATTTATCTTTGCCAGATTTTTAAAAATTTTAGCATCAAGTTACATAAAAAAATTTCTATACTCTTATTATTTGATACGACAAAAGTGACATTTTAATGATGTGATAATGTTGCTGTGACTTTTACACTAAGGCTGTATTTCCAAAGTCTTTCCTTACTGTCTTCATTTAAAATTTTTTTAACCCAGCTTTATTGTAATATAATTTATATGTAATGCAACTCAACTTTAAGTGCACAGTTTGATGCATTTTGGTAAATTAATCCCATTGCATAATTACCATTATAATCAAGATACAGAACATTTCCATAACCTAAAAAAATTCCTTCATGCCCTTTTGCAGTTAACCCCCTCCCCCTCCCCCTGGTAACCAATGATCTGCTTTTGGTCACTAGTTTCGCCTTTTCTAGAATTTCGTACAAATAGAATCAGACAGTATCTACTCTTAAGCGTTTGGCTTCCCATTTTCTTTATATCTTTTCCTCTTTATATCTTTTCATCTTTATATCTTTCCCTCTTTATATCTTTCCCTCTGTTAGCAGTGGGAAGGTAATTTTGTAGGAAACATAACTTGGGTGGAATCTTGGCTCCACCATTTCTAGCTCAATGGCCTTGAGTGAGTTATTTACATTCTCTGGACCTTAGTTTCCTCTTTTGTAGAATGGAGATAATACCCTCATGGGGCTGGTAGGGGGTATAACTAACTCTCTGCATATATGCTTAGGTAAGGCAGCTCAATCAATGTTAGTTCCTTAGACTGGTCATTCTCTCTCCAGCTCTTTGACTTCTCACTACAAGTTAGGAGACAGCTTGCTGCAGCTCTCACTACTAAGACAGAATCTAGTGAGGCACAAGAGAACTTTTTCAGTTTTGGAAATATTCTATTTCTTGGTTGTAATGGTAATTACACAACTGCATACATTCGTCAAAAACTCATGAAACTGTATACTTAAAACTGAATTTATTATATGTAAATATATTACAATAAAGCTGAGGGTTTTTTTAATCTAAAAGTAATAATATAGAAGGACCTTGAAAATATCCCTTGGTTTAAAAGAGACGTGATGAGAGATAACCTTGACTCAGTGCTTCATCAACAGAGCATGTTGCTTTGGTCAAATAAGGGAAGCGTTCAAAGCCTTCAGAGTAGAAAATCTAATATAGCCAGCAAAAGCACTAAAAGTAGCAAATGTTATGTTCACAAATCATTGTCTTTGTGTTGACTTTTTAAGTTTAAGAAAGCAGTTGTGCAATGAAAGTATAAGTAGTGTGACATAAAACCCGTGTGTGTGTGTGTGTGTGTGTGTAACAGAAAATGACATTGTGCTGACCATTTTAAACTAAAAACTTCAAAATGTCATACAAGAAAAACTGAGCTCAAAAACAGATAATTGCCAGTCATGGCAGCTCATATCTGTAATCCCAGCTACTTGGGAAGCTGAGGCAGAAGGATCTCTTGAGCCCAGGAGTTTGTAACTAGCCTGACCAACATACTTAAAAAAAAAAAAAAGTTTTTTTAATTAGCTAGGCATGGTGGCACACACCTGTAATCCCAGCTACTTAGGAGGCTGAGGCAGGAGGATCGCTTGAGCCCAGGAATTCAAGGCTGTAGTGAGCTGTGATCCTGTCACTGCACGCCAGCCTGGGCGACAGAGAGAGACCTCCTCTCTAAAAACAAACAAACAAAAACAATTACCAGAAGTGTCACTTTCTTTGAGACATCTTCCCCATATCCCACCGATGTCCTCATCTCCATTCTGAGTTAGGTACCCCTTCTCTATGTTCTGACATTACTCTGTCCCTACCTACCTCTGTTGCATTCATTATCACACTGCACTTTAATTATTGGTTTATGTGTCTATTCTCTTCACAAGACTGTGCAATCCTGGAGAGTAAGTACTTTTTTTTCTTGTATCTTCATCTTCCCATCTCCCCAATACCCTGAAATGCCCTACGTAGGGGCTCAGTAACTGTTTGATGAATGAAGGAGGTCTTAATCACATTGCCTCCATTCATAACATAATAAAAAACATTCATTCCAGGCTCTATTTTAATAGTGATTTGGGCCCAATGTATATGAAGATCTGAAGTAATGAGGGAACCGCTAAGCAGCATGAAAAATAACCAACAAGGAGAAGATTTGGAATCTAGTGGGAGCATAGGGAGCAGTTAGGAGAAGTGTCTGTTAGCCTCCACTCTCCGAATCTCTGGCTTGGGCAAGTCGTGTACCATAGGAGCTCTGAGTCCAGGTTCCAGAGCCAGAGGACCTGGGTTAGATCCCAGCCTGGCCAAACTCTGTGACCTTTGACTAGCTTCTAAACCTCCCCGAGCTTCAGTTCACCTGGGACTTCACTTCTGTTCTATAATATAGAGAAAACAATAATGACGTCTTCTTCACAGGGTTTCTGTCAGGATTAATTGAGACGATGTGGGCTGTGCGTGGTGGTTTACGCCTGTAATCTCAGCACTTTGAGAGGCCGAGGCGGGTGGATCACCTGAGGTCAGGAGTTCGAGACCAGCCTGACCAACATGGAGGAACCCCGTCTCTACTAAAAATACAAAATTAGCCGGGTGTGGTGGCACATGCCTGTAATCCCAGCTACTCAGGAGGCTGAGGCAGGAGAATCACTTGAACCCAGGAGGCAGAGAGTGCGGTGAGCCGAGATCACGCCATTTCACTCTAGCCTGGGCAATAAGAGTGAAACTCTGTCTCAAAAAAAAAAAAAAATGATGTGTATGAAGTGCTCAGCAGAGTACCTGGCACACCATAAACACTTACACAAGGTTAATTTTCTAGTATATTTCTACAGTGTTGTCTCTGGAGGCGAACAGATTACGTTTGAATTTCAACTCCTTCTAATTCAGCTCCCCATTGTCAGTGTGAGCCTAGACAGATTACCTATAACCTCAGGCACCCCAGGTGCAAAATGAGGATGATAATGGTATCGCCTCATAGAGTTATTTGAGTTTTAAATGAGATAAAGAATTTACCATCATGACTGGTGCATAGTAAGTGTTTAATAAAGCCTCACCTGTCAGGATCTATCACCATATAAGCCCTGCTCCTCAACAAGAACCCTTCCCTCCAGTCAAGCATATTCCTTCCCTTATCCATATGAGCCATGCTCATTCATTTGTCATTACTTTGTTTATGCTACAGCTATTGCAGAGCAGTGGGGTGGGGGGGAAAAACAAAGGTTTTGAGGTCAAGTGACCTGGGTTCAAAACGTGGCTTTGCAAACTTCCCAATTGTGTACAAGTTTCTTACCCTCCCTGAATAATTTTTTACCTGTAACATAGAGATGATAATCCCCACTTAGCTGGCTTGTTGTGCAGATTTAATGAAATCACATGTAGAAAGGTGTTGAATGTATAATCAACATTCTGTTCAATTAATTTTAGTTTCCAATCCACTGTGTCCTTCCAGTCAGGCACACTTGTCCTCTCTTCTCTACCTATCCAGACATCTTCTACCCTTGAACACACACCTAAAAATCCTATCTCATCCTGGAAGCAGTTCCTGATCACATTGACCCACCTTGATCTTACAAATGTATTATATACCACCATTCTTGTTTAGCAGATACTGTAAATTAGCTTGTCTCTCCCACTGGATCAGTTAATCTTAACCTCTTCTGAATCATGGACTCCTCTAATAATCTGATAGTCCTCTCCTCAAAGATATGCATATATACATGAAAATTTGCAAATAATTTCAAGATGCTAATATCTCTTGAAACCTCTGAAACAGATTATGTTCTCCCTGAGGGTGGTGATGATGTGATACTCTGTGTCTTTTGGGGCTGAGGACCTAGAAGGTGTTAGTAAAGACCAGTCGATGGACTAATTGACTTTCTGCATCAGGAGGTAAGTGGTGGCAGCACCTCCACAGAACAGAGTAGGATGCTGACCATGGCAGAGGTGGAGAAACTCTCTAGCAGCATTTCAGTCTTTAATTTTGCCAAAGCACAGCAACTTGAAGCTTCACTCTGATTCCTAAGGATAGGAAACAAGCACTGGAGTGGTAAGTAGAAGTATTTAAAAAGTAATCATGAAAATATTCCATTCCTGCCCCATAGATGTTTTCAGTCCACAGATGCCAAAAGAGGCTACTCTCCTCTTATCTTCAACCCAGATCCATAATAACTTTTCCCTGGCCTTGGCAGTCTCTCCTTTCCCCTTAAAAGGCTGGCTGCTTGGTTTGACTATTTTTTCTCTTAATGGCCTTTGGGTTTTGCATAAAACCATTAACTTTTCTCTCTGCTCATGCAAAATTCTTTGCTTTTGGTTTTCCTGTCTGTCATCCTAGATCTAACAAGAGAAGAGCCATATATGAGATGTAAACAGAACGAGTCTAACCTGAATTCTAGTTGTGGCTTTTAGTAGCTGGCTTTGTGACCTCGAGTGAAATCACCTGTCTGTGTGGTCTCAGTTTGCTTCTTCATACAGCTTGGTGATCTCTCCCAGTTTTAACCCTGAATGATTCTGAGACATTGGAATGCTTCATGGTTGGAACTAAAGGATTTTCTAAAAGCTGCACTGTCATACACAAGAAATGCTTGTAGAATCTAGTAATGGTCTGATTACTGGATTAAATGAGACTTTCCATATTTACCAGTTTTCAAAACCATCCTACAAAATACACTTAACAACAATGAACACATACTTAACAACAATGAACATAAGCTTTTATTTCTTTTATGATTCAAAAACTTGACAGATCTTGTATCTACTCTTCAAAGCTACAAAGAAAAAATCCAACTTTTCAGGCTTTCAGATTGTGGTGTTTTCGAGAAACGGGAGTGGTAGGTCTAACTGAAGTGAAATATATATCTTTAGATCATCTGTTATACCTCTTCTTCCTATAGCACCTGTATAGCATTGCCAATAAAGAAAGTAAGTGGCATAATAAAGGCCTTCGTTGCTATGATGGGTATTCTTTTGGCAGAAAATTATCAGCAAAACATCTCAACATTCTGATAGTCTAGTAACAATATCAGCCTACACCAAAAACTGGGAAGTATATGAATAGCCAGTTGCTAATTTTATTCTGCCTACTCGGACTATGCTAAGAGGAAAAAAAGATGATAAATAGCCAGAGAGATTTTCCTGACATCATGCTTAACTGAAATTTCTAAATAAATCAGTTGGACTCATTTTTAAAGACCTACAACTAAATTATCATTGGGTCGTTTTGTTCTGCTCCCAGCTGGGTTTCTGAGGGACTAGTGGTGAGATACAATGAGATCTGAAAATGGGCCACAGTACGCAAACATTGCGGTTTGGTTTGATTTAGTCTAACTCTTGTGTAATAACTTTCTTTGAAGTGTGGGTTGAGGAGCAGGTTAGAAGCCCGAGGCCACAAGCTCATCTTGTTCTTGTTACAACTCGGATGCCCTGCAGTCCCTGCACTATATATCAGAGGCTTGGCACTGGAGTCCCTGGGCTGATCAAGAGTGGAGCCCTCATTCCCTGCACAGCAGAGCTACTGAGAGACAAACAACAACATAGTTGTGTTTGCTTGGGAAATCCTATTCGATAAAAGGAAACAAGTGGGTCTTTGAGGAGCTTGTGAAGCAGAGGAAGCCTGACATTTCTGTCAAGGCAAGAAAAAAGGTTAAAAAATATTCCACCCTAAAGAAAGGCTGATGGTGTCCCTGACCTAGGGAGGGATAGGACATGTTTTCTGATGGCTGGCTGGCCCCTCTCCTCCTCCAGCTTTGGAATTGTGACTTCCATTGCAGATCTCTGACCCAAGCAAATCTCGAGTGATGAATAAGGCAAGTCCACTGCTCCTCTCTGGTCTGATTTTTCATTGGCAAAATGAGGGAGTTGGACCAAGTGATCTCTTAGGCCCCATCCTACTCTAAAATTTGACAATTCTGACCCTGTGAGAGTCTTGTAGCCTGCAAGGGACTAACCTTCTTCCTCCTGTTGGTCACATGTTTGCCAATGGCCCGAGTCAGATCCTTAGAGCTAAGTTGGATCATGGATGATTCCAGTAAATAACAATACCTGCACAGTTCCTTAGAGTTTGTAAAATGATTTTACATACAATATTTCATTTGATCCATTGAAAAACCCTTTGAAGAGGGAAAAGAGTATTATTCTTTTCCTGTTATAGAGAAGGGAAGCTATGCTAAGGGAGATTAAGTCAGAACTGCTAAGGTGAAAAAAGCTATCTATAGTCAGATCTGAAGAGAAAAAGCAAATGTAAGTCTCTTAGGATGAATGAAGCACACACATTAAATCAAAGAGGTGCAATGAGTGTCACAGATGGGAACAGAGAGCATTCTGGGAACCCGTCTCTGAATTCATGCATATCAGAGCCCCCAGTGCAAATTCTGTTTGTGTGAAAAGGCAATAGTCTGAAAAGAAACCATAGAGGTTGGAACTGATTTTTCACTTCTAGGACAAAGACTCTTGGCCAAAGATAGGGGACAAGGGTCATTCTTCAACTCCTCATGCTCCGACAGGAGAGAATAGAGGAAGGGGGGAATTTATCTTAAGGTAGTAGATGGTCACCAGTTCAAGCCAGGGACATTAGTGGAGGGCTGGTGGGAAGTGACCATTTGGAGTACTATATTCTGGACACTGAGTACCAACTGTATACCAATGCTGCAACAGAGTTTATAACCATTACTTACAAGTAATTTTGTGTTTTGGCCCAGACTTGAAGGAATCTTGTGGAGAGTTAGGGAGCCTATAAAAAGCCTAAAGGTGGAGTGAAATAAATAAGGTCTATAACATTGACGAATTTTTAAACACATACACACACACACACATACATACATACATACATACACACACACACAAAATAAAGCCTTATTCTTTCTGTGGCATACAATTAAAGAACTACAAATCTTAGAAGTGGAGAATTCCCCCATCTGAGTGTAGGTCTGATGGAGCAGAGGAAGTACTAGGATAACCAGAAGGTAAAATGAATGATGACAACATCAGCAACAACATGAGAATAAGCAGAGTGCCAAAGCCCAAAGATATATCCATATGTGTACATCCATATCTGCAAGAGTGACAGCAGGACAGTGGCCGAAACAACAGAGGTTGAGGGGCAATGCAGTGTGGAGCCATGTCAGCTTCAACAGCAGAACAAACCATCAACGAAAGTTCCTGAGCTACACTGAAATTAGGAAAACTCAAGACAAAAAAGGAGTATAAACAGATGAATGTTAAGAAAGAATGGCCAGGCGCAGTGGTTCATGCCTGTAATCCCAGCACTTTGGGAGGCCGGGGCAGGCATATCATGAGGTCAAGAGATTGAGACCATCCTGGCCAACATGGATGGGGAAACCCCCGTCTCTACTAAAAATACAAAAATTAGCTGGGCACGGTGGCACGCACCCAGCTACTCAAGGTGGGCGGTGGCCCAGCTACTCAAAAGGCTGAGCCAGGAGAATTGCTTGAACCCGGGAGGCAGAGGTTGCGGTGAGCCGAGATCACACGCACCACTGCACTCCAGTCTGGCAATAGAGTGAGACTCCGTCTCAAAAAAAAGAAAGAATGCAGGGCTTGATGCGGTGGCTCACACTTGTAATCCCAACACTTTGGGAGGCCAAGGTAGGTGGATTACTTGAGCTCACAAGTTCAGGACCAGCCTGGGCGACATGGCAAAACCCAGTCTCTAACAAAAATAATAATAATAATAAATTAGCCAGGCATAGTGGTGCGTGCCTGTAGTCCCAGCTACTTGGGAGGCTGAGGTAGGAGGATAGCTTGACCCCAGGAGGCAGAGGTTGTAGTGAGACAAGATCACACCACTGCACTCCAACCTGGGCGATAGAACCAGACCTTTTCTCAAAAATAAAATAAAAATGATGCAACTAGGCTGGGCATGGTGGCTCACACCTGTTATCCCAACATTTTGGGAGGCCAAGGCGGGCAGATCACCTAAGGTCAGGAGTTTGAGACCAGCCTGGCCAACATGACGAAACCCCATCTCTACTACAAATACAAAAATTAGCTGGGCCCATGGTGACGCATGCCTGTAATCCCAGCTACTCTCTTGAACCTGGGAGGCAGAGGTTGCAGTGACCCACTGCACTCAGCCTAGGTGACAGAGTGAGACTCCATCTCAACAAACAAAAAAAAAAAAAGGATGCAACTAGAGGTAACCAAGTTAACCACCAAGGAAGAAAGCATTGCAGATGACACAAATCTAAAGGCATGGTTAATATAATCCTTTTGAATCTTGGATCAGTTTCAAATTTTTATAATGGAAAAACTCTGGGTCTACAAACCCAAGAAGATGAATTTAACAGGAATATATATAAAGTCCTACACATAGATTGTAAATATCAGTTGAACTGAATGGGATAGACAGGATAAGAAAGCCTGGGGTTTTGGTGACCAGAGATTCAGCAGGTGACAATGATTTGGCTGCTAAAAAAAAAACTAAACACCTCAGGTTGCAATGATGAAAAGACATATTAGGATCATTGGATTTTTGTGGCCAGACCATGTGCACAGTGTTATAATAGATTGTTGGGGCTGTATCCTAAGAGTAACACTGATATTCCATGCATGTCCAAGGATCAGGACCATGGTGGTAAGGGGTCCGGAACTATGTCTCACAAAGGACAGCAAGAAATGAGGAAACTTGGGGAGACACAAAAGTCATTTCTAATTCCTGAGTAAGACTTCTTGAAAAAGAATCACATTTGTATGGTCTATGGGATATAACAGAACAAATGAGAGAATGCCAGTTTTGACTTGGTATAAAGTAAAATTTTCTAATAGAGCTTGTTCAAAGGTAGAGGGTTCTACCATCATCATCATCTTACCCAAGGACTCTTTCAATAGCCTCCCAAGTAGACTCCCATCCCTCCACTCTTATCTTCATCAATACATCCTCTATAGAGCAGGCAGAGTAGTTTTCAGAAAGTGCTAATATTACAGACCCATGCTCCTTTTCTTAAATAGCTCCCCACTACATAAAATAGTAACAGCTCTTAATGCTGCATGGAAAGCCCTGCAGCCTCATGTTCAGTGACTTCCCATACATACCACCAACCCCTTACACACACACACACACACACTTTGTGCTTCAATAATACCAAATTATCTGTAATTTTCTATACACAGTATGCTATTATGCAACTTTGTGCCTTTGCATATTCTGTTCCCTCTGTCTGAAATGCCTTCACCCTCTCCAGAACCCACGTTATGTACTGGAAAAACTCCTATTTATATGTTTCCATTTATAATAGGTTTGCTTGGGCATAACCTTTTATGAAACCTTTTCACTTCCTCCCCAACCTACCCATCTCTCAGAGTTAATCATTCCCTCCTATGCTACCTCTGTACCTTTGTACATGGTTCCATTATAGCATTTATTATACCATATGGAAATGTAAACTGGGTGTGGTGGCACACACCTGTAGTCCCCGCTACTTGAGAGGCTGAGGCAGGAGATATGCTTGAGCCCAGCAGTTTGACGTTGCAGGGCATTATGATCGTGCCTGTGGATAGCCACTGTGCTCCAGCCTGGGCAACAAAGCAAGACCTCATCTCTAAGGGAAAAAAAAGAAATGTAATTATTTACATGCCTACCTTCTCTACTTTCTTGGGCTCCTCAAAGGTAAGAACCAAGTAATATTCCTCTACAAATCCCTAGTACTTGGCATAGTGCTTAGCACACAGTAGAGCTCTCAAGTATTTGTTGAATTGACATGACAAAAGGATTCTACGGTAGAAAACAAAATTAAAATGTTTGAAATTCCTCAGTAATTTTAAGTTAAATAAAAGGAACCCAAGGCTAAGAACAAGGACAAATAGAAGAAGGGGAATTTTTTTTTTTTTTTTTTTTTTTTCCTGAGACAGGGTCTCGCTCTGGTTGCCCAGGCCGGAGTGCAGTGGCATGATCTCAGCTCACTGCAGCCTTGACCCCCCAGACTCAGTAATTCTCCCACCTCAGCCTCCCAAGTAGCTGGGACTGCACCCGGCTACTTTTTAGAATATCTTTAGTAGACATGGGGTTTCACCATGTTGCCCAGGCTCCTCTCAAACTCCTGAGCTCAAATCTATATGCCCACCTCAGCCTCCTAAAGTGCCTGAGGCCAGAAGGGGAAATTTTAACCCATAAATTCCTACCATCATTTTGCTTTTGTCTTGAAAAGCTTTAATCAGGAAGCTGGTCCCAAAGAATATTGGGCCATTATTCTTGATTTTCCAAAAAGGGAATGCTCAAGTCAAAAACTGAGACACTTAATTTATTCACCAAACATTTATTGAGGATATACACATACAATTCATGGTGAAGTACTGGGGTAATCCAAAAGGGATATTTTGAGGCTATAGTAAAATAATAAAAGAGTTTTACTGTATAGAATTATAGGATTATTAATATGCATAAGGAGCCTCTTTACATGGAGTTATCCTATATTATGTACAATGCAACTTTATAATTGGGATAAAATAGTGGTTTGCATTTATTGGGCATTCATTATGTACTAGGAACCACGCTAA